>NC_000016.10:33742411-34042411 GCF_000001405.40 Homo sapiens
ACTTGCCTGACAGTTGAGCAGGTAAACAATGACAATGGCACTTTAGTTGAATGTACACTTCTCAAGTGCTCTGTGGAAGTGTCCCTAATTGATCAGCTTAAATATATGTTTGGTGAATCCTAGCATATAATATTCTTTATTTCTCACACCCCTGTGGTGTCATAATGTGCCTACATTTCTCGTATCCTCTAGTTTAGCCTTCAGAAAGTTTCTTCATCCACTCATGGCAAGAAGGTATAATACATAAACCTCATCAAAAAGTATAAACCATCAAATTTGGCATACTTATACAAAATAATGTTACTAAAAGCATTAGATATGAATAAGCTTTTCCATTTGGAAATTGCTCTGATATTCATTGAAAATAACCACTTTAGGAGTCAATTAATGAATTCAACATTATTTTTGTTTCTAAAATAGTCTGTTTTGAAGGAACATGTTATTCTCTATTTTCATTAAATTGCTATTTTATCCAAAAGTTTGCTCTCTGAACAACAAAGCCAATGTATGCATATTTACATTTATCTCATCTGACTAACTGATAACAACAAAACATATATCTCTGATGCCCAATAATAACAAAGAGGGGTAACAGGTGACTGTGGTTTATCACAATTCTGGCACTCTATCCTGCTTCCAGTAGTTCCTGGAGCAGCCAAAATCAAATCTTCCTTCATGCAAACATTCTAAACGCATCTGAAGTGAGTTCCCTCAGGTTTCCTGAGCAGAAACCCTGAAATTAAATAAATAATTTCTTTTCCCTTCTTCCTGCCTCACAATCCCTCTTCCCTGAGGAAAATAATTACTACATCAGCGGTCTCGTTACTTCTCGTTCTATAGTGTTTATGGCTTATTATGATCACTTCCTCCCTCTGGTTTTAGCAGTGTGATCTGGCGCCTATAAATTCTAGTACTTCATCTTGTTCTCCTTCCCCTCCTGATGGAAACATGCTGTAGAATTAAAGGAAAATTATGCTGTCCCCTCAGCCTGTTATGTCTTGAACTGCTCTCCAATGGTTCTTCTTCCCAATTTCAATGTAGGGAAGTCTATAATCTTACTATTCAGATCATGGCCAAAAATCAGCAGAATCACCATCACTCCAGAACTTATTACAAATGCAGAATCTCAGGCCCACTGAATCAGAATGCGCAGTTCAATGAGCCCCCTGCTGATTTATTCGGGGAAGGGAAGTTCTCCTCTATCTTGAGTGTACATGACATTAAATGTGTATTGCAAAATTACCTGTCCCAGAATTTTGTTCATCTTTTAGTTCTGTAGCTATGTTCGAAACAGAGTCTTTCTTGTCACTTGTATCCTGAATAGGATTTCAAACAAAATAATCAATACATACAGTATATTTCATAGACTATACAGTTAATAATTCAAAATATGAATGAAGAGTGTAATACCTTCAAGGCCGGTTGTTTCTGAGAAGACACTGAAAACCAAAAGGGACACATAATCACTCGTATGTAAATATGATAAAGTTATCCATACTTTCATGCAGTGTTAGCATCAAGCTGTATCCTCCTGCCTGAATTAGCGTAGGCTTTGATGTTTTCTACTTTGTGTATTGGGACACGAACATGACAGAATTACACTGTAGAAAACAGAAATATAGTCTTCACAAAACAAACACTTCCAATTTCATAGGTGATATTATTCTTCATATGTCTGTTACTACAATAAAACAGTGTCTATATCAATGTGGATATGCCGAGTGATGAGGAAAAATGTGATCTAAAATCAGAGCAGCAACTCATACACTTGGGAATCAATGTCAAAGCAGGTGACTAATGCTCCTGCATGTTTTTCATGTAAGACATCAGAGGGATTTATACCGTTATACTACAAATATTTATCATGCTCTTAAACTTGCCTGACAATTGAGCAGGTACACAATGATAATGGCACTTTAGTTGAATGTACACTTCTCAAGTGCTCTGTGGAAGTGTCCCAAACTGATCAGCTTAAATATATGTTTGGCGAATCCCAGTATATAATATTCTTTATTTCTCACACCCCTGTGGTGTCATAATTTGCCTACATTTCTCGTATCCTCTAGTTTAGCCTTCAGAAAGTTTCTCCATCCACTCATGGCAAGAAGGTATAATATATAAACCTCATCAAAAAGTATAATAAACCATCAAAATTGGCATACTTATACAAAATAATGTTACTAAAAGCATTAGATATGAATAAGCTTTTCCATTTGGAAATTGCTCTGATATTCATTGAAAATAACCACTTTAGGAGTCAATTAATGAATTCAACATTATTTTTGTTTCTAAAATATCTGGTTTGAAGGATCATGTTATTCTCTAAAGTATTTTCATTAAATTGCTATTTTATCCAAAAGTTAGTTCCTTGAAAAACAAAGCCAATGTATGCATATTCATGATTATCCTATTCGAATAGCTAATACCAAGTAAACATATACCTCTGATGCCCAACAGTAACAAAGAGGGGTAATGAGTCACTGTGTGTCATCACAATTCTAGCACTCTATCCTGCTTCCAGTAGTTCCTGGAGCAGCCAAAATCTAATCTTCTTTTATGCAAATATTCCAAATGCATCTGAAGTTGAGTCCCATCAGGTTTCTGCAGCAGAAACCCCAAAATTACATAAATAACATCTCCTTTTCCCTCCTTCTTGCCTCTCAATCCCTCTTCCTTGAGTAAAATAATTACCACATCAGACGTCTCCTTAGTTCTCTTTCTACATTGTTTATGGGTTATTCCAATCACTTCTTCCATGTGGTTTTAACAATATGATCTGATGCCTATAATTTTTATTACTTAATCTCTTTCTCCTTCCCTTTACAATGGAAACAGGCTGTAGAATTAAAGCAAGAATATGCTGTCCCTTAGCCTGTTATATCTTGCACTGCTCTCCAATCGTTCTTGCCAATTTCACTGTGGGGAAGAATATAATCTTACTACTCAGATCATGGCCAAGGAACAGTAACATCAGTGTCACCCGAGAACTTATTACAAAAGCAGAATCTCAGGCCTGCTGAATCAGATTGTGCAGATTCAATGAGCCCCCTGCGATTTATTCAGGGAAGAGAAGTTCTCTTCTATCCTGAGTGAACATGACATTAAATGTGTATTGCAAAATTACCTGTCCCAGATTTTTGTCCATCATTTATTTCTGTGGCTATATTTGAAACAGAATCTTTCTTGTCACTTGTAGCCTGAATGGAATTTGAGACAAAATAATCAATACATAAAGTGTATTTCACAGACTATATAGTTAATAGTTCAAAACAGAAATGAATGTGTAATTACCTTCAAGGCTGGTTGTTTCTGAGAACACACTGAAAAGCAAAAGGGATACATAATCAGTCATATGTAAATATGATAAAATTATCCATACATTCATGCACTGTTACCATCAAGCTGTATCCTCCTGCCCCTATTAGTTTAGGTTTTTAAGTTTTATACTTTATGTCTTGGGACTGGAACATGACAGAAATACACTGAAGAAAACACCAATACAGGCTTCATGAAATATACACTTACAATTTCAAACATGATATGATTTGTCACATGTCTAAAACTAAAATGAAACAGTGTCAGTATCAATGTGGATATGCGGAGGGATAAAAACAAATGTGGTCTAAAAACAGAGGAGCAACTCACGCACCTGGGAATCAATGTCAAAGCAGGTGGTACGTGCTCTCACATGTCTTTAGTGCAAGAGATGAGAAGGAAATACACCATTATACTACAATCATTCATCATGCTCTTTAACTGGCCCAATAACTGAGAAGGTACACAATTATGATGACACTTCAGCTGAATGTACATTTCACATCTCCTCAGTGGAAGCGTCCTAAATTGATCAGCTTGGATATATATTTGGTGAATCCTAGTAGACAGTATTCATTATTTCTCAGACCCATGTGGTGTAATTATTGCCCAAGTTTCTTGTGTTCTGTAGTTCAGTCTTCTGAAAGTTTTTTCATCTACTCACGGCAATAAGGTATAATATGTAAACCTCAATAAAAAGTATCATCATTTATCAATATTGACATACTTCTACAAAATAAAACTGCTACAAGCATTAGATATTAATAAGCTTTCACATTTGGAAATGACTCCAATATTCATTGAAAATAACCATTTTATGAATCAATTAATGAATTCAACATTATTCTTGTTTCTAAAATAGTCTGGTTTGAAGTATCATGTTATTCTCTAAGGAATTTTTATTAAATTGCTATTGTATCCAAAAGTTAGCTCCTTGAAAAACAAAGCCAATGTATGCACATTCATGTTTATTTCATTTGAATGACTAATATCAACAAAATCTATGTCTCTGATTCCCAATAGTAACAAAGAGAAGTAACGAGTCACTGTGGTTTATCTGAATTCTAGTACTCTTTCCTTCTTCCAGTAGTTTCTGGAGCAGCCAAAATCAAATCATCTTTTATGCAAATATTCTAAATGCATCTGAAGTGAGTTCAGTTATACTTAGAGTCATAATTTAAAAAATCATTTTCTTTGTACTCATGAAGGCTCCTAAGATTCCTACATTTCCCAGATTCAGCAGTTCAGCTCTTTTGCCATCTCTTTTTCCACTTTTGCAAAAACATACATGTCAAAGAAATCATGCATAATCAGATTCCCATGTAAATAAGGTAAACAAAATCTCTAAATTACAAGAGACTTCTTTTTTTATTAGTAACCAACAAAATATATACATACGTACATATATATATGTGTGTGTGTGTGTGTGTGTGTGTGTGTGTGTCATGATTGCCAAGAATATTGGTAGTTTTTTTTAGTACTCAAGATATACATTCTTTTATTACTTTGTTTCTAAAGCTAGTTTGAAATAATATACCATAGGGATCTCTCAGGTCCTTTTATGAAATAACTACCTCAGCAAACACACCTTTCCTAAAGAAAAAAAAAAACACTTTTTCTAGATTACGCTGCATCCCAATATGCTAACTGATGTGAACGAAGCACATATCATTGATGTGCAAAACTTCTAGGGAGGAGAAATGAAACCCTGGGGGTCACCCTCATCCTTCTAACTTCCGCTTTCCATTAAGTGACTCCCCACAAGTCTCCTCATCAGAAACCCCCAAATTACCTAGCTAGCCACTTTCTTTGTTCTGCCCAATTTGACATACACTCCTTTTCATTCATAAATCTAATATCCATATTGGTGGACTTCATTCTTTGCCCTCCACATTCATTTCTTCATTATTCTCACCACTACTGTATTGTGACATCTGTACAATCCCATTCTGACACATGTGAAGATAAGGTTTTGCTTTATTAAAATGTTAAATGTATCAGACACTTGACTAATGTGTACAAATTCCTTCTTCACAAAAGCAGCCCCATGGCCTTCTCTCTCCCATAGACACTCTTTCACAGCTGTTCTTCACTCACATCGGTTTGAGTATCTATCATCTCTCATTTTGTCTCTATGCTTTCACCTCATATCATGAGTTATTATCATAGGCTTAGCAGCCTATCTTACCTATTTTCCTCTCCAGGAGAAAGTACTGAGTAGTAAATTAGAATCTTCCAGGATATGAACACTTTCACGTACACAAGACTTTGTGGAGCTATTTTATGTTTAACTACACATAAAACCACTATGTCTATGCCTTCCAGAGAAACGGGCTCTGAAATGTTATTGAACATAACCTATTTAAAAACTTCTTTAACTACAATGACACTGCCTCTCCTCAATGCACCAACATCTTCAGAAATAACTTGTGAAGACTTGAAAACATGTCAGTAATTGACATGAAAAATGAAGAATGATGTAATTTTTTGCAGGTATAAATAAGACATGCTGAGATCCTTACTAGATCCAAGAAGAGAAGAGTGCCATGAGACAGGAAATAAATATGGAACAGAAATATTTTCATCTGTAATGAAAATTATTCTATTTACAGTTTTCAGAAGAGAAAAAAATACACACACACACACACACACATTCACACACAAAAACCAGAGCAATACGGCTTTACAGGGTGTTTTTTCTTCAAAAGCCTATTTGTCATTTGACAACTGGGAACACTCTATAGGGATCAACAAAGGGGTTCTAAATTGTGACCTGAGTAGTTTAGAGTTTAAAATTCATGAGGGGGAGTCAAGAGGACAAGTAACACTTTGACCATTGGCCATTTCCTCTCCTTACTGTCATTCTCTGAAAAGCACACACTGGATTTTCTCAGGATCATGACATGTCAAAAAGACATGCTTTAAGGGGGAAACAGTTGCAATCAACACAGCCATGGGAGAGATACAGCTATGCTTGCTAGGATTTCCAATACTTCTGTTTCATTTCTAATATAGTACAAGTCATTAAAAGCAACCACATAAGCATATCCATGCTGGTATCTCATCATATTTATGTCCATATGGTATCAGCATGAAGAGAGCATAATTAAATATGCTGCAGTCATCACATGGCATATCATTAGATCATACAATAAATCGAATACCTCACTGGGTCAACGTGGATAGATCTGAAATATATATCACTGATTTTACAAAGACCAAGTTGCAGTCATTGTGTGCACTGTCTGAACTTTTCTACAAGGTTTTAATACACAAAATCACGTTCTACATGTTATCTATGAATGTGCACATATGTTATAAGAGGTTTTTAATGTGTATTTGGGTGATTTCTTTTTCTTTTTTTAAAAAAAATTAAGTTCTTGGTTAGATGTCGTCAATAAGTTTTAGTAGTATAGAAAACCCTAAGACCATGACAGCTCAGAATGACTGTCTTAAAAGGCTATGTCTACCAAAGAGTCAGGAAAGCACGACTACTTACTTTCTTCATTTTTACAACTCAGAGGTACCCCACGCACACTCCCAAATAAAGCTGCACACAAGTTCTTTAGTTTAATTAGATCCCATTTTTCAATTTTGGCTTTTGTTGCCATTGCTTTTGGTGTTTTAGTCATGAAGTATTTGCCCATGCCTATGTCCTGAATGGTACTGCCTAGGTTTTCATCCAGGGTTTTTACACATTTAGAACTTACTTTTAAGTCTTTAATGCATCTTGAGTTAATTTTTGTATAAAGTGTAAGGAAGGGGTCCAGTTTCAGTTTCCTGCATAAGGCTAGCCAGTTTTCCCAACACCATTTATTAAATAGGGAATCCTTTCCCCATTGCTTTTGTCAGGTTTGTCAAAGATCAGATGGTGTAGATGTATGGCATTATTTCTGAGGCCTCTGTTCTGTTCCATTGGTCTATATATCTCTTTTGGTACCACTACCATGCTGTTTTCATTACTGTAGCCTTGTAGTATAGTTTGAAGTCAGGTAGCATGATGCCTCTAGCTTTGTTATTTTTGCTTAGGATTGTCTTGGCTATATGGGCTCTTTTTTTGGTTCCATATGAAATTTAAAGTAGTTTTTTCTAATTCTGTGAAGAAAGTCAATGGTAGCTTGATGGGTATAGCATTGAACTTACAAATTACTTTGGGAAGTATGGCCATTTTCAAGATATTGATTCTTCCTATCCATGAGCATGGAATGTTTTTCCATTTGTTTGTGTCCTCTTATTTCCTTGAGTGGTGGTTTGTAGTTCTCCTTAAAGAGGTCCTTCAAATCCCTTGTGAGTTGTATTCCTTGCTATTTTATTCTCTTTGTAGCAATTGTGTATGGGAGTTCACTCATGATTTAGTGCTCTATTACTGGTGTATAGGAACGCTTGTGAATTTTGCACATTGACTTTGTATCCTGAGACTATGAGGAAGTTGCTTATCAGCTGAAGGAGATTTGGGGCTGAGACAATTTGGTTTTCTAAATATACAATCATGTCATCTGCAAACAGAGACAATTTGACTTCCTTTCTTCCTATTTGAATACCGTTTATTTCTTTCTCTTGCCTGATTACCCCGGCCAGAACTTCCAATACTATGATCAGAGTGAACAGGCAACCTACAGAATGGGAGGAAATGTTTGCAATCTGTCCATCTGACAAAGGCCTAATATCTAGAATCTACAAGGAACTTAAACAAATTTACAAGAAAAGAACAATCTCATCAAAAAGTGGGCAAAGGATATGAACAGACACTTCTCAAAAGAATACATTTACGCAGCCAACAAACATCTGAAAAAAAGCTCATCATCACTGATCATTAGAGAAATGCAAATCAAAACCACAATGAGATACCATCTCACGCCATTTAGAATGGCAATCGTTAAAAGGTCAGGAAACAACAGATGCTGGAGCAGATGTGGAGAAATAGGAATGCTTTTACACTGTTGGTGGGAGTGTCAATTAGTTCAACCATTGTGGAAGGCAGTGTGGTGATTCCTCAAGGATCTAGAACCGGAAATACCATTTGAGCCAGTAATCCCATTACTGGGCATATATTTGGTGTGTGTGTGTGTGTATATATATATATGTGTGTACAGTGGCTTGTCCCTATAATCTCAGCTACTCAGAAGGCTGAGGCAGAAGTATCACTTGAGAAGCCCAGGAGCTTGAGAACAGCCTGGGCAACATAGCAAGACTCTTTACTAAAAAAAATCATGGAGGCTGGGCACAGTGGCTCATGCCTGTGATCTCAGCATTTTGGGAGGCCAAGGCGGGTGGATCACGTGAGGTCAAAAGTTTGAGACCAGCCTGGCCAAACATGGTGAAACCCCATCTCAACAAAAATACAAAAAAAAAATTAGCCAAGTGTGGTGGCACACGTATGTAATCCCAGCTACTCGGGAGGCTGAGACAGGAGAATCGCTTGAACCCAGGAGGCAGAGGTTGCAGTGAGCCGAGATTGTGCCATTCCACTCCAGCCTGGGTGACAGAGTGAGACTTCATCTCAAAAGAAAAAACAAATCATGAACTTTTGTACATGCCTTAGACCTTGTAGGAAAAATATTATAAGACTTTGATGCTTTATTACAGAGACTCTCATGATTTGTTACAAAGCAGTGCTTTAGAAACATACTTGGAGGCTATACTAAAATTATTATTTATACTATTTGTAGGCAACTAATGAATTAAGAACTCTTATTTCCTTTCTTACATGCTTAGCATATACTTATCAAATGCAAAGAAGAATATATTATCAAAATTTGTTACCTTACATGTGAATTGCGGTATAAAATAGTCATAATTCTAACAGAATTATATCAGACTGACAGAAAATGGCATCATTAGTAGAATCAATATAATGAGCAGGCATTGTCAAAGAACATGATTTCTGGACAAATGAACCAGGTGCAGCTAGAACAGCAGTCCCCCTTATCTGCTGTATGTGTAGAAAACACATATTCAACATGATGTTCCCCTTCTCTCACACCGCAACAACAATCATCAACACAGAAGATTTCTGTGACCAAATATGTATTTTTCCCCAGCAACAAGCAAACAATCAATTCCGATGGGTGCCCTCTAATTCTGACACTATCTACTTGGGGATTATCTACAGGTTGAGGGCTCAGTACCACAAGGCTATTCCCCCACAGCAGTTACAAGTCTGGGCCTCCAGAACTTCTAATCAACTTCCAGTTGGACTTCAAGTTGGGTTTCCCAGGACCCCCTCTTTGGTTTCATTAATTTACTAGAGTGGCTCAGAGAACTCATGGAAACACATTTACCAGTTTCTTATAAAGAATATTAAAGGATACAGATAAAGAGATGCATAGTGCAAGATATGGGGGGAAAGTAACACACTTCCATGTCCTCCCAGGGCACTCACCCTCTGGGAACATCCATGTATTCTCCATATGCCTTCATGTATTGAATGAGAGCATCCAGGTAGCTGAATACAGCTACCTGGATGCTCTCCAAATCCAATCCTTTTGGGATTTTATGAAAGCTTCCTTACATAGGCATGACTGATTAATTGAACATTCAGCCCCTCTCACATCCCAGGTGGTGAGGGGTGGGGCTGGAAGCCCCAACCCTCTAATCACACCCTGATCACTCTGATGATGAGCCCCACCCTGAAGCCATCTGGAGGCTGCCTGCCATAAGTCAATCATTAGCATACAAATGATATCATGTTGGAAGTTCTGAGGATTTTAGGAGTTGTATGACAGAAAATGGGGTTGAAGACCAAATACATATTTCATAATATGACATTGGTGGTTTTATTGACTGCAGATTCAGTTACCCACGGTCAACCATGGTCCATAAATAAAATTCCAGATGTATATACATCATAAGGTTTAAATTGCATAAGATTCTGAGTAGTATGATAAAATTTGAGCCATTACATCCCAGCCTGCCCAAGATGTGAATCATCCCTTTGTCAAGTGCATGCACATTATATATGATATCTGCTCACTAGTCATTGACATAATCTGTACCTAACATCCAACCAACAACATCATCATGGCTCACGGATCCAAGATCACGTGAAGCAGATGATCTTCTTTCTGACATATAGTCAAATAGAAGGTCAATAATAGCCCAAGACTACATGGCAATGCCTACTGCATTTGCCTCACTTATCACATAGCCATTTTATCATCTCACATCAGTGCAGAAAGTAGGGTGACTATAGTACATGATATTTTGTGAGCTCACATTCACTTAACTTTTATTACAGTATATTGTTACAATTGATCCACTTTACCATTAGATATTATTAATCTCTTATTGTGCCTAATTTATGCATTAAATTTTATTATAGATATATATGTATTTTTAAAAATTGTTGTATGCATAGAGTTCAGCACTATTCATGTTTTCAGGCATTCACTAAGGGTCTTGAAATGTATCCCCCATGTATAAGAGGAAATTACTGTACTTATTTTGTTGAAACACAAGTTTCTCCACTTCTTCAGTTTAAACTATTCAGGATAAAGCACTCTAATACAAAAAATCTAGGTCTATGAAAACTGTACTCTATTCTATGGCAAATCACAGCATACAGACCAGGGTCAAGGATCCCTGCAAAGACTTTTCAGCTGCCAGTGCAGAAGAGCCTAAGAGAGATCAGTATCCTTACCTTCACTAATCCTCTCCTAGGGAAGATTCTGGTAAGTTTGCTTAGTTCTAGCTATTCATTCACCCTATGTAGGGCACAAACAATGCTTAAATTCAGCTTTCATTTTAGCTCCTTCAAAAAAACACACACAGAGGAAATAGCACTCCCTTAAAAGCTTATCCAATCTGAGTCTTGTCTCCTTTTCAGAGAGAAGCTTATAAAGAAATGCCGGGGAGGTATGGCAAGTTGCCAGGGAGGACTTTCTAATATATAAAATATATATAAAGGAACCATAAACTCACTGGAGCTACCAAGATGTGCCAACAGTTGTCCCACTACCTAGTGGGAAAAACAACAACAACAACAAATCTTTGTCACTTTAGGTAAACAAAAATAGTATGACTCTCTTGGCATTTTTCATGATGGAGAACCTAGTTATAAGTGAGTCATGTTATAATAATATAGACTGTTTTCAAACTGATCCCTCAAAGAAAGAAGGTAAATAAGAAACATATTTGTATGCCTATAGTATTCACTAGCTGGTCTTATTTCCAACTGCAAGGTAAATAGGAAAGACTTTCTGACTCCAGTTTTATAAAGTACAGCATCTTGAGATTGTCCCTTTCCACTTCTAGTCTATCTGGACCCATCTCACAGAGAAGGATGATCCAGTTAGTGCTGTGTAGTACACAGCATGAAGCCATTTTCCTCAACCCTCCTCATTATGTGGCAAATGTCTATATAAATTATGATTTTTCAACATGTAAAGCATATGCCATTAAATCCTACATTAATAAACTAAAAGCAAAAAAGCACAATGGATAGCTTAATTGAATACATTCAATTATCTTGGAAATTTATGTTTTGTAATATTGAAAAAGATATCCACTATATTATCCTTAATATATGACTATGCTGGACATATCAAAACTATGGAGACAGCAAAAATATTAGTAGTTGACAGGGGTTAGTTGGGAGGGAGGAATAAAAAAAGAGAGACGAATTTCAGGGCAGCGAAAGTATTCTAACGGCAGGTACATTTATTATATATTTGTCCAACTATATAGAAGGTACAATACCAAAAGGGAACTAAGATATAAACTATGGACTTTGGGTGATTATTATGATCCAGCAATGTAAGCTTCTCAGTTGTAACAAATGTACCACTCAGGTGGGAGATATTCATAATGGGGGGAGCTATGCATGTGAGGGGGGATGGCATATATGAAAAATCTCTTTAGGTTCTTTTCAATATTGCTGGGAATATAAAACTGCTCTTAAAATAAAGTTATTAATTTTTTTAAAAGATTTTCACTGCATCTTCTATTACTAATATATTGCTATAATATATTGCCATATATTATAGCAAGATGTACTCAATTTGAAACACAATATGAATATTCTCTCCAGAATTATAGTATATAAAAGTACATAAAGCAAATAACTATATTAACAGGCAAGAAAATAATGGATAAATGATTGATTTTTTAAATTTCATAATTATAAACAGAAATTTAACAAAATATAAAACAAAACTGAAACCTATATAATTAAAATGAAACAAATTTTTTATTTTAATTTTAAATCAGAAATCATTACTTATTTTATCTATTTTACTGAAAGGTTAATTGAATAAGAACAGATTATAATTACCTAATATTACCATAGTAACTTCTGTATAGAAACCTGTTAAATATTCACCAAAATTCCAAAATCTAACAGCACAGAAACTTAGTATTTCATATTAAGTTGCAACTGACGCAAATGAAATAAGCACCATGCTATGTTATATCACCATGTTATTCACTATTAAATAGAATTTTTAAGACACTAAAATTAAGTTGGGGCTGTAACTGCTGTGAAGAAAATAATTCATATAACAGTCATAAGACTGTCATTCTTAGAAATGCCTACATGCAAAACTGGCCCTTCGCTGGTGTTTGGAAATTTGCATTTTAAAGGTTTGTCACCATTTCCTGAGAAAAGTAGCTCACTGTACCTAAACTGTTTGCATAAACAATGTGGTTGACTCTGAACAGCTGCTTTTCTTCTGGAAGTGTGGAATTTTTGTATATGTGTGAGAGAGAATGCTTATGTAACTAGCTTCCATAAAAACCTTGGATACTGTCTTGTCAGACTCATATTGGTAGACAATACTGCCCATGTGCTGTCAAAATTCAAAGCTACAGGAATTCAGCACATCCTGGTAACTTCACAGAAGAGGGCTCCTGGAAGCTTGTGCCTGGCTTCCCCAAGACTTGCCACATGCCCCTTTGACCTGAGCCAATTTTACTTTGTATTATTTCACAGTAACAAATCAAAACCCAGAGTAGGACTGTTTGCTGAGTCCTTACAAGTGAATCACCAAACACAGAGGTGGTCTTGGGAAACTCTGACACAGTGGCATTACATGAAATTAGTTTTCTTTAAGGTGATGTGACCTGTGACTACAATCAGAAGGCTGTTTATAGAATACCTTTCCCTAATCTGTTTTCCTTAACAGTTGCCTTTGAGATTCCTGTATTTCCACATGAATAAATCCATAAAGGAATAGAAATAATTATGCCAAAAAAATGAAAAACAAGCAGCAATCCTATTTTAACCAGAATAAAAAATTGAGAATATGGATGATTAAAAATATACCCCATAGTATGAAAGCTTCTAGAAGAGAAACAAAAAGATCACAGCCAATTGTCTTCAACTCTCCAAGGTTTCTTTTATAATAATTGGGGATCAGGCCAGGCACAATGACACACACCTGTAGTCCCAACTACTCCAACGGCTGAGGCAGGAAGATTGCTTGAGATCAAAAGTTCGAGGTTGCAGTGGAGATTGTGCCTGTGAATAACCATTGCACTCCAGCCTGGGAAACAGAGTGAGACCCTGTCTCTAAAATGTATTAGTAGGCTGGGGGTGGTGGCTCATGCCTGTAATCCAAACACTTTGGGAGGCTGGGGCGGGTGGATCACAAGGTCAGGAGATGGAGACCATCCTGGCTAACATGGTGAAACCCCATCTCTACTAAAAATATAAAAATTAGCTGGGCGTGGTGGTGCACGCCTGTAGTCCCAGCTACTAGGGAGGCTGAGGCAGGAGAAGCACTTCAACCCAGGAGGCAGAGGTTGCAGTGAGCCAAGATCACACCACTGCACTCCAGCCTGGGCAACAGAGTGAGACACAGTCTCAAAATATATATATATATATTAATAAAAACATATGTAAAATAATTTGCATCATTCAGGTCATTGTGATAATTATAGAAATATATGTAGCCATTGGTTATAATACTGTACTATCAATCATAGAGCTCATTTAATTTGTTTCTAATCTTTTTTCTTAAGTTCTTATAAAACTAAAAATATCTATTAAAACTAAAAATCATCTGTTAAAGGCAGTTCTTCACAGAACAGGTCAAAAAGTCAAAAACTGCATTTAAAATATAAGACGAGTTATCCACTTCTCCTCCTAAACAGTGGGTTTTTATTATTAAGGGCCAATAGGACTTTAAACTCATTTTGGGGGATAAAGGAAGTTATGGACCAGCACGATGGCTCATGACTATAATTCCAGCACTTTGGGAGGCTGAGGCAGGAGGATCACTTGAAGCCAAAAGTTTGAGACTGGCCTGGGCAACAGAGAGAGACCCTTGTCTCTAAAAAATAAAAAATAAAAAAGTTAGCTTGGTGTGGTGGCATATGCTTGTAGCAGTCTCAGCGACTTAGGAGGCTGAAGTAAGAGGACCACTTGAACCCAGAAGTTTGAGGCTGCAGTGAGCTATGATCACACTATTGCACTCCAGCCTGGGAAACAGCAAAAGACTCAATCTCAAAAAAAAAAAAAAATCAAGAAAGTTATATATAGATGGTTAAAGGTGTGGTAATCCAACCGACCAAATATTCCAGCTAAGTAACAGATTACCAATATTCGAAGAAATATAGCACCAGAAAAGTGTTTTACATTAAAACTATGTCAAGTTTGAAAACTTAAAAGACACCTTAAGTGTCTTAACTTAATTTGAAAATTTAAAAGACACTTAAAGTTTGAAAACTTAAAAGAAACTTAAAATCTTAAAGGACCAGCATCACTTACACTGTCACTGTGCTAAAGATATAAAGAAGTTTAGCATTAAAGATTAATAGAATACCAGACATACTTTAGAATAGGTAGCTAATTCTCTTAAAAGAAAATCATATATAGTTGTCAAAAATACCTATGTTAGAAATGTGTTCTAATAATATTTTCTTTAGGGATGAAATTCAAAAGAAAACAGTAAAAGTAGAGATATTAGAAGAGGTCATGAAAAGGGAATTGCACTAAAACAAAGTGTCCCAGAACACAGAGACTTGGTATACTTAGCATATCACCTTATATTTTTCTCCATAACATTATATAAAAGATGTCAGCTTCTCCAAACTGCTCGTCTGTAGACTACTTCCAATTGAAACTTGAAACTCTCGAAATGTGGCTGTGTTATGATTCCATGTTGGAGGGAGTTGGGATGTATGTGCTTTGGACAATCTGGTTCCAGTTACTGCTGCCAGACTTTTGTTTCAGAATGCATCCAGAAGAACTTATCAGGGATTTCAGTACAAACTAAGTATTTCCACAAGGAGCAGATAAGAAGACCACAGTTTTTCTCACACATTACCCTTAGGTTTTGACAGTTCTGTAAAAGAGTGGGCACATGTCAGAAGTCAAGACCATTTTCCCTGACCCTGTGCATGTAGCTTCTGCAGTTACAAAAGAGTTACGTAGGATCTTGGTAGATTTGTTCCTCCATATTTGGACACCAGATATACCAATCACATCAACAGCTCACATTACACCTCAAAAATGGTTCTTTTGAAAAGGGTACTGCCAAAGAGCTTTTAAAAGTTAAATCTAATTGGCTTTTTAGTAATCTTACTTGTTAGAATTGATACTCCCTCCTTAAAATTCTCACATTTTTATTTTTGCCACATCACTTCCTCTGACTCCTCTCCTACTTTTCTCTAGCCACTGCTCATTCTCCTTTACCAATTCTTTTTCTCCTGGGGGCGGGAGGGAATGTTGACATTCCCAGGGTTTTGTCACTGGATGCCTTCTCATTCTACATCTGCATCATGGACAGTTGAGATCGATGACTTTGCCTAATAATTATAACAACATCATTCTACGTCTGCATCTCCAACCTCAGAGTTGGAGGGAAGGGAAGTTACTCTTCTCTGTTGACCAGCTGTACTTCTCCATTCAGTGAACACATCCTACTCCTTTCTCCTGTGCAGTATAAAGGCCAGTACACAACCTGGAAACCTATGAATGATCCAAGATTTCTCTCTCCCCACTAATGTTTTATATTCAATGTTCACTAAATCATATTAACTGTACCTCTTTTCTGCTTCTGCTTTATATTTCTACTGCTACCAAATAAATATGTTTATATTTCCTAGATCAACATGGCCTCTTCATTGATGGTTTTCACAGGAAAAAAGTCCCTACCAACTATTATTTTTTTATAAATAAAAAATTAAGTAAAACAAATGAAGAAGCCATAAGGGCAAGAAAAAGACCAACATTTTAAAATGAGTAAATGGAGTAAATTTACTTTATTTTATCATGGATGGGTGAACACCTTACACTAGATTGATAGTAGTTCAAGCATCGAACTAAAAGGAAACTACAGCTTTAACTACTGCAAAACTTCCTTTCTCTAGCTTACTTTCTTGTACTCAGAATACAATATATAATATATATAACATACCAAATATGTATTTTCATCAGCATGGGCATTGGCAGCACTAAATCCCATGTTGTTCAAGGGCCAACTGTAATTACTGATTCATTTACTAACTGCAAAGAATTTATTTTACAAGTTAAATAGAAGTTCTAATTATATAAAAAGTCTAATTCATTATTATGTGACTATAAAAAACCATGCAATGTAATAACTTAAAAATTTGTTTTCTTATTTACACAGAAAGATCATCTAGAATATTAGGAACCATCATAAAATAATAATTTTTTCAAACAATACTGAGATGAGATTATAAACTACCTACAATTAACTTTTTAAATAATTAGAAAATCTAGACTACTAAGTATTTTTTAAATGTGTGCAATTTAAACTGATTTTTTTAAACTGTTTTTTTGTAATCAAAACATCTTTATTCTTTTTTATCTATGGTAGTACCATCAAGAGTAATTCACTATCATAAATCTTACCTGGATTGCTATTTATAGAAAGCTCTTCATATTTCTTTCTTTTGTATTCAGAAATTAGTTCGGCAATGCTATGTATAAAAATAAATGAAATTAATATTTTAATACCATTATCAAAAACATTTACCAAATATACTAAATTATTAGAGTATCTTGAACAATATCAGGATGTTAATTATCCTATACACTTCTCTTCTGTAAGCTCTACAAACTTCTTAGTACCTTTCTAATTAAATAATAAAAACAGGTGAAGTACTCATGAAGTGAAGGCAGTATAGCTCAGCAAACTATCTCACATCAGCTTGACATAATGGAAAGTCACCTTCCTGGCTCTTACTGGAAGGTCCTGGCTCTATAGCCAACAGGTATTTGCTCTTAAACAAGTTGCTTCTCTTATGCACAATGTCTTCTTCTAGATTTTACTATCTTCTTTCACTAGGTTGTTATATAGGTTTAATGAAGTAGCATTTTTAACATTCACAGAGAAATAGTAAAGCAGTGGAATTTGTTCTTGAACTTTATTGCTGAAACTATTTTGAAATCCCAAATCAAACCCAATGTGTATTTTTTCATAGGTTCTAATATTCAAATGCTTCAGTTTAAGAAAAATGTTAAGTCCTAATTTTGCTTATTGTTCTATTATTTGTGGCTTATAATTCAGGGCATCTCAACTATTTCATAATTCATAAATAAATTAATTTATGAATACATTATTTCATTAAAATAGGTAACACGATTGTTCACTATTATTGAGCTCATCAATTCCAAGGGCAGAAAACTAACAGATGTCAAGATCTGGCTTGGGCTACCACTATTACTTCTCTGCAGACTCTAACTGAACCAGCAGATGTTTGCCAGAATGATGGTTAATCTCCATCAGTGATGTTATCTCCAACTGACATGGAAGACAAAACCCTACTTTCATTTTTTTTAAGTTCCATGAAGTAGATGAAAGTTGACATTTTCTCATTTCCAAGATACATACTAACAAAATATTTACACAACACCCCATGTGTTACTTATCTCCATTCTCAGTTTATAGATCACCTTACACAAATGTTTTTGTAGTGAAAAATCACAATTCAAATATAAGGGGCCACCCATTTTGTTTCAATTCAAACTGTGACTTAGCTAGCCAGCAAACAGTCAAATGACCTTCCCCTGACTGCAAAATATGAAATGTCTCACGATGCTAATTTTCTCTGTATTGTTCCAATTTTAGTATTTGTGCTGCCAAAGCAAGTACAAAGCCTTACTTTTACATATAAATGCTGATAAGTCATGGATGAGGGTTAGCTCTGTTAAATCTAACTAACCAACTTGAGACTTAGATAATTCCGACGAATGGCTTCCTGTAAGGTAGAATCTGAAAATATTTTACAAACTTGAGATAGTGATGCAAGCAGCTTGGGAGATCTTCATTATTATAGAAAACAAATCACTTGAGGAGCCAACCACAAGTTGATGCCTCCTACTCTAAGGAAGGATGGCATAGAAGCTTCCACTGCCTGAGAAAAGCTCTTACACTGTTTATTTAAAAAGTCTCAGGGTACAGATCTGGTAGCAATAAAGAAAAAACTGTGATCTCTTTCTACAACATTATTTGAATATCTCTGACAGTTTAGAACTATCCCAACTAATATTTGAAGAGAAAAAAAGGGACTCAAAAAGTAACTCACCATGAAGGTCTAGAAGCCCAGGTTAAAATGCGGGCTCTACAGCAGGTTTTGAGTGTGGGTGAAAGTGTCAATTTGCTCAGTATGTATGTTGATAAAGTTAGAATATCCAGCTAACAGAGCAAGGTTCTGCTGTTTTGGAAACAATGGCTGAGCATATAAGTATGTGCAAGTGAACTAAAAAAATAGTTGTAACTTTGAAGCCTTTTTATGGATCAACATGAAGATTGAGGGACCTCAAACAGAAAGGGCATCCTGGTGGCAAAGGTTAATCATTACCAGACTGCAAGAGTACTTTCAATGGCAAGAAAGCAGCAACAGAATCAATGAAAACAAAGTAAAAATTAGAATACCCTTTCCCCTTCTCCTTCTGACTTGTAGACACTGATTGTCTTCCTTGGACTTAGGGAACCCCTTAGGTTCTTGAAAAATTCAATGATCAGGCTATAGTAGATGGTCCGCAGTACACAGCACAAGATTTTTTGATAAACTGGACATTTTGAGACCCAAATAACTAATTAGAAAAATCAAACATGTGAAACTACTTTATCCTATGCATAGGGGTTATACTGGAAATAAAATGTACAACATTGGAATCCCTAAGGAGAAAAGTCCTAAAAGTTTCAATATCAAGAATCCTGCACCTGCTGCTACTTATCTAGCCTTTTGCTTGATTTCTGGCTGATGAAGTTGCACAACTCTCGAAAACTTAAAAACTTGAAAATTTGTCACTTGAAAACTACTTGAACCAAACTATGAAATCTCACCTGATATATAAGATGCAATTGTTACAATTATTTTAAACTTCAATTTAGTGTTCACTAGCCTTTTTATGTAAAGACTTACACTGAATTCCCAGCCTCAGAGGCATAATCTTCTGCAGTCTTTCCACACACATCTCGAGAAAACATATCAATATTTGCTGCAGAAGAAGAATGACTATATCTTTGTGTTCACGAATAACAGCAAGTGTGAGGGCCGATCTAAAATAACAGAGAGGTAATTAAAAACTTTAATGACATTTTAAAAGCTAAGTTTATATACTTTATCAACTTAATATGTTGTCTGTCCATGTAGAATTAACCCAATTACATGTACTAAGAAACAAGCATCTTGGGTGCTCAAGGGTTTATCTTTGCAAGTTACCACAAAGGTTAAAAGCAAGGAACAAAAAGGAAGCCTCTTGTCCCACTGTGGTATGACATAAAGTTGCTAACTTAAAGTCTTTTGATGGGCAAGAAACTATGCTCAGGCCACCTATCTACAGTAGGCAAATTTAAGTGAAAAATTATTCATTTCTTCCCTAGTCTGATACTATACATTATAATGCAAAATCAACTAAAGGGTCAGATAATAGCTATCTGCAGGCTTAAAACAATAATATTAATAGGAATGCTAATAGTAGTAGTCGTAGCTTCAGTTAATGATGCTCATAAGCATGTGCTAGGCATTTAATTAAACACTATATATAAATATATGTATATGGAGGATAATAATATATCCTTCAAGGGTGTTTGTGTATAAGTAACATAAGTAACATCATATATATATAAAATATAAATATTGTATATTATATATTATCTACAAAATATATAATATACATTATAGATTATTATCTATAAAATATATATTGTATATATTATATATGATGTTACTTACATTATCTTCTTACATACATATGTGTGGGTATATATATATTATATATATGCACATACTTATATGCTCAGCCATTGTTTCCAAAACATCAGCACCTTGCTCTGTAAGCTGGACATTCTAACATTATATATATATATATATATATATATATATATATATATATATATATAATGTTACTTACACACAACCACCCTTGAAGGATATATTATTACCCTCCTTTTCACAGAAGAAAACATACTTGGTGATAAGTAATGTTACCAAGGTCACACATCTAGCAAGTGGGAAAACTAGGGATTAAATCCAGTCCTGTGTGAACCTAAAGCTTGTTTTCATTAAAGTAAAGTTTTATCCATTTAAAGCTATCTTTTCTCCCTCTCCCCATATCAATTAAAAACAACACCAAAACACAGTAGAAATGAAAAACATGAAACCTCTTTAGCTAACATAAGATCATACAATCAAAAGCATCACATTATTACATTATAAATAACACCACATCATATTACAAATAACAAACATCTATCAATATACAAAGCTTTCTATATATAGAAGCCTTTTATGTGTATAATGTCTATATAGAGAGACAAATCCTGCTATATACTGTTCTTTATGTTACTCAGTCCAAATAATTGTTTTTCTACCTGTGATGATCTGTGTTGATATTTCTCACTATATCCCAATAATTAAAAGTTAGTCTTCTTATTAATATAATATTTGTGACTTGAGTGACCGCTACCACTCTACAATGACACTCAGGTTTAAAAACAACACAATAAGAACTAAGGTCTGTACCTGTTAAGACAATTAACTGCATTTATATTTGCATTTTTCTTTAATAAAAATTCCACCATTATCAGTTTTCCTAGATGTGCAGCCAGTAAAAGTGGTTGACATTCAATCTGTAAAACAACAGCAACAATTTATAATCACATAATTACATATTTATCAACTGAACTGAAAACCTTATGTAAGATCCTGTGAGCTTAAATATATACAATTGAAAGGACGTAAGAGGTAGTCCCTTTCTTTTCACTCCTCGGTGCTTTTCTACGTTCTGCTCCTTCCGCTGGAAACAGCCTCCTCTGCCTCACCACAAGAACTCTGGTCATCTCCAAAACTCACTTCAAACATTTCCCAGTTCCAAGAATCTTTGCTTCTGTCACAGCATTTAGCATGGCATGTTTCAAGGATTTTATTGTTTCCCACCTGAACCAAGAGCTTCTTGAGGGCAGCAGCTGTATTTTTTTTCTCTATGTCCTCAAACTCTAAGACACAGTAATAAATGTTTCAGGTATTTTTATAAATGATCTAAATTATTATCTATAGAGCGGTGTTTCTTAAACTATTAATATATTCCAAAGGATATTTACTTTACCAGAAGCTCAACATTATACCCCAAAAGAAAGACTTCATGATCACCCATGTTTGAAAAATGTTACAAAACTGTGCATTTTGTGTCTAGTATTTGAGAAATCTTTTTAACTTCACCTAATCCCTATTTGTAAATACTTATTTTGGAGAACGTTAACATTTGAGAAATGAGAGTTTCACGGATACAGTTGTGAGAGCTTACCAGTAAAGGTGGAGGTTTCCTCTGGGTGATACACACTTGCCTCATTCTCTTCTAACCATGGTGTCAGAATCTCAGATGACAACGTCAGGTGCAAGCACCTAATGTTGTCGTCTCAGATTCTGACACGATTGACAGTTCATTTGAAGCCTATCTCTTTTTAATTTGGAGAGCCAGGCTCTGAATTAATAGAGATAGGCTTCAAATGAACTTTCACTGCTTATTATTAAATAGTCCATGGGTTTTCTCTAGTAATATTTTTATCTTAGCTGTCAGAAAGCTCTGTATGAAATGTTATTCTCAATTACAATCTTAGGACCCTGATGCAAATATTTATGTAATTATAATCTTAGGACCCTGGTACATAATTCCTTAAAAAAATTATTTGTATTCTAGTTTCCATATTAATTCTTACTTAACTTTTTTATTTTAGGTAAAATATAAATCAGAAATAAAAATACAGTGGCTTATCAATTAAACCTCTAATAATGACCTATATGAATTATTTATAGCATAATGAAAGCCACTAAATTATTTGCATCATTCATCTATCTATCTATCTATCTATCTATCTATCTATCTATCTATCTATCTATCTGAGACGGAGTCTGCACTCCAGCCTCAGCAAAAGAATGAGACTCTGTCTCAAAAAATAATAATAGTAATAATAATAATTTTTAAAATAAAGAAAAAAGTATTCATGACTCTTGTTAAAGACAGGTAGGAAGACCTTATTCCAGGGGGGCTACCACAATGGGGTTTTGCTGTAGGAGAGCGAGATTGGGCTCAGTCTCACTCTACAAAGGATGAGTAGGATGTACAGTCCAGGAGCAAGGGTGCCGGGTGGGTGGAAAATGACAAAGAGGAGACATTGAGGAGAGGGGATGCTTGCTCGGCCAACTCAGCAGGAATCTTCCTGAAAGCAGGCCAGGGTAACAAGATATCGAGAGTGGAGGATGAGGAATTTGATCAAATATTGAGGGTGATCCCATAGGATTTTCACTAAACTGACCCAGCAGGACTCTTGTTAAACCTGAACTAAACAAGCCGAGGACAGAGCCTAAGGTCAGCGCCTTGAAGGCTTAGTGGAGTAGAGTTAGGTCTAGGAGAGGGTCAGTCACCTGACAGCCATCTGATCATAAGAACCAAGTAGCTTTTCTATCTTTTGTCCAATAACCTTTCTCTAAGCACTGTACCCCAAGGAAAGAAGGCAAATATTAAAAATCAAAGAAAGAAAAGGAAAAAGTCAGTGGTGTCAAGATACTCACAGCTGCACTATTTTTGTTTGTTTGTTTTGTTCTGTTCTGTTTTTTTGAGACAGAGTCTTGCTCTGTTGCCCAGGCTAGAGTGCAGTAGTGTGCACTCGCCTCACTGCAATCTCCACCTCCCAGGTTCAAGCAATTCCCATGCTTCAGCCTCCCAAGTAGCTGGGATTACAGGTGCGCACCACCATGCCCAGCTAATTTTTGTATTTTTCGTAGAAATGGGTTTTTGCCACATTGGCCAGGCTGAACTGCACCATTTTTTAAATAAAATGTTGTCAATAGCCCCAAAGCCTGACAATAGAATCCCAAGTGAACAAAGGCTGGTAAATTGCTGCCTCTTGAAGCAGCTGAAGCTGAACGCTGGGGCTTGGGAGCCAGAACGCTTGGGTTCCAGCTCAGCTCCTCCAGTCACCAAGTGACTTTAACATCTCTCTGCCTCAGTTTCTAACCTGTAAACTAAGGATTGTACTAACTCCTACCTCAAGAACTACCTCCAAGCTTCAGTGAGATTGTGGCTATTGCCCAGTGCCCACGGACTGTGGGAAATGTCCTGTAGCCATGAGCTACAATCAACCACTGCACACCCTTTCCATCCAAGCGCTCTATGAGATCGGGGAGAAAATGGAAACCTATATGGGGTGACCCAAGGAGCTCCCCAGCAAAGCGGGATTGAAGTACAGAGCCAAAAACCAGAGGAGAGTTACCCAAGCATGGCTGGGATGTCCTGAGAGGAGCAGGAGCAGACCTTTCATGCCATCTCCAGACCAGGCCCAGGCAGGTAAGAGGGTGAACAGGACCAGGAATTCGCACGACCCCGGGGGGCCGACAGGAGAACCTGCAGAACCATGGACCCCAGACCTGCAAGACACCAAGATCTGCGCCGGCCCCAAGCACACCCCAAATGCACCTCAACAGGGGCCTGGCCAGGCCCCTGGACCACTGCCTCGGCTCCTCACTCAGGCCCTGCCTCCCTGGCGGCCCTCTCGAGCCCTACCCCACAGCCAGCTCCTGCTTAAACCTAGCAATGCCCCCCAGGCCTGCAATTCTATTATCAGCTTGAACTAGGTCCCGCTGAGAGTGACAGGAAACCCAAATAATGGAAATTGCAACCAGGCAGAGTGTGTTGAATTCTCCCCGGGAGGATGCAGCCTGGAGCTGAGCTACACAGGACGCTGGGAAGCAGGCCCCTTCTGCGCACCATGGCCATCCCCAGGGAGCCCCTCATCAGGCGGCTTAGGGTGGCTTGCCAGCCAGAGGCATCAGATGGAGGAAAAATCAGAAAAGAAGAGAAGCAACGCTAGCTTCTGGCAAGAGGCTGGGACTGGTAGGTGACATTCTCCTTTTGCCCCAGTGGCCAAAATGTGGTCACGTGGCCATGCTTTACTGCAAGGAATGCTGGGAAATGTAGTCTTTCTTCTTTGCAGCCGTCTTATCATGGAAACAGGGGAGAACGGATAGTAGGGGACAACTAACCAGCTCTGCCACAGCTGAAAATCCAGATTCCGCCATGGCCTACAGGCTCCTCCTGGCCGACCCCCTCGGGAGCCCGGGTGCCTCCCTTCCTCCATGCCTGGTCCCTCTGCCTGAAGCCTTCCTGCCCTCTCTCCTGGCTCCAAGCATCCTGTGGGCTTCCCCCAGCGCTGGTGCCAGCAAAGCCCGATCTCCTCTCTCGAGGTCGCCTGCACTCCCCCTGTGCGTGCATCGCAACCTCTGTCCCTGACACACAGGGATCCTTACCCTCCCCAGGGTCTGTGCTCCCCAGGGAGGAGCCGCACCTCTGGGCGCCCTGAGCCCCAGCCCTGCAGGGCAGGCACCCCATGCGGTGGTTGCAGGCACCCGGCAGTCGCTCCATCCTGGTTTTCGGCCTTTAGTGCACAGAAGCGTGAAGAAGCGGTGGTCACTGGCACGGAGTCCTCCTTGAGAGTCCGGCCGGGGATCCGTACCAGTGGTCCCTGCCCACCTGGGTTAGGAAAGGCTGACTGGCCTGGGGAGGCTGTGGACGACGTCTGCGGTGTCATGTGAGTGCCACGGCCATCACTTTGAGACGGCGTCTGCTTGCTGCAGCCAGGCAAAGGTCTTAAGGAAGGCCAAGGCCACTGTCGACAGGTGTGTGGCTCCAGATTGAAATTGTGACAATACCCCCAGCCATGCCCTTCCATCTTCCCACCGTGCAATCAGTGCACCACCTCCCACCATGCAATCCAGAGCACCACCTCTCAGCAAAACCTCCAGGATCCACCTCAAACCCAGCCCCATCCCACAGCCATCACCCTGGTCCGGGCCACCAATAGCTCTTGCTCGGACACAGGCAGTCACCTCTCCAGGGAGCACCCAGTGTCCCTTCTGCCCTCGTTCTGGTCCGTCCTTCACCCACAAATGGAGAGTGTATTTTAGCATTAGATCAGTTCATGTCGCTCTCTCGCTTAAAACCCGCCCCTGGCTTCCACTGCCTGGCATGAGAATCACCACTGCCTGCCCCACGGGACTGGCCCTGCCACCTGCCCCATGCCCGCTCCCCTAGCTCATGGTCCCCCAGAGTCACTGGCCTCCACCATCCTCTCAGCCAAACCCCACCAGCCACCACTGCGTGCCACCCACCCACCCCGCCAGCCTCTCCATCACGTATTCCTCCTTCCCTTCTTTTGGGAAACTCTTTTCTTCTTGTTTGTTCATTTTATTTTCTGTGTCCCCAACTCGAATGGAGGCCACGCAGAACACTGTCTGTCTCATTCACTTCTGTGTCCCTGGAACCTAGAACCATGCCTGGCACACAGAACGTGCTTGATAGGTACTGAGACAGAGACATACAGAGAAGGAAAGAGGGAGAGAGACAGAGAAAGAGAGAGAAAATAAGAGAAGGGGAAGGAGAGATGGCGGAGAGGGAGGGAGAACCGAACGCTGAATCCAGGGGTTCCTCTCCCACCCCTCATGTGCCCATGGTAACAAGGGAGTCCCCCTCTTCTGACCCCTTGTTGTCAAAAAGTCCATCAAGCAAGAACGCCCGAGCCCCAGGCCCCCTCTGAAATTCCCAAGAAGGAAGCACCCCAAGAAGGAAGGCGCGCAGGACGCTGCTCTGGAGCCATCGGGTTCCCAGTCTGCTCACCACGCTCAAGGAGCCCCTTAACAGGAGCAGGAGGAGAAAAGACACCCAGCCTGGGGTTCCCCCAGGACAAGGCCATGCTGTAACCCAGGCTTGGTCCTGGCCCTGACCGTGGGAAGCCCACCCCACAGGCCCTCGCCCAGGCAGGCCTGAGGCCCATGCACCGCTAAAGGCCTGGAGAGGGGGTCCCACCGCAGCCTCACCTGGGTCCCCTGGGGTCAGGGTAAGCTGGGACAAAGGGACCACCGGTTGCTATGGGAGAGGGAGAAGGCACAACTTTCCCGGTAGAATGGGCTCCTGCTGTGCTCTGAGCCCTGGGTCACTGTCCGCACTCTGGGGAGGGAGGAGAGGAGCCTGGAGCCCCAAGGGCGCGGCTGGCAATAAAGGCAGATGCTCAAGTTGATGCCGTCCCACGCACTTGAGGCTGGGTCCAGGGGTGGCACTGACACGGCTGGGGAGCCCACTCCGGAGGTATGACCCGGGGATGTGCACAGCCACATTCCAAAGACACACGGGATGAGATCAGCCCAGGTGACCCTGGGACTTTGCCCTCTTCGGCAGGAGCCAGCCCTGTGCACCCTGTGTGCCTGTCCATCTGGAAGGCCCAGCATGAGAGGCCCGACCGTCCTCCTCACTGTGGCTCTGCCCACGCTCCTGGCTCCCAGGGCCGGGGCACCGGTACAAAGTCAGGGCTCCCGGAACAAGCTGCTCCTGGTGTCCTTCGACAGCTTCCGCTGGAACTACGAGCAGGACGTGGACACCCCCAACCTGGACGCCATGGCCCGAGATGGGGTGAAGGCACGCTACATGACCCCCGCCTTTGTCACCATGACCAGCCCCTGCCACTTCACCCTGGTCACCGGTGAGTACTGCCCCAGGATGGGGCCTGGGGGTGGGAGGGCCTGAGAAAATAGGTGGCACAGAGCCCTGTCGTGCAGGAAAAAGGGGAGAGGTCCTTGCTCCATGCACAGGACACAGCCAAGGGGAACATTAGGAATACCTCACCGTTGGTAGCAACAGATCTGGGACAAAGAAAAATGACCAGGGGGGTCCTTAAACCCGTGGCCACAGGCAGGGCAGCAACCCCAAAAGGCTTCAGGAGGAGGGGAGTGTGGCAGGCTCCCAGCCGGCTCCCACGGCTCCCCTCTCCTGCCTGCCCTTCCAGCTGGCTGTGTCAGCCTCTCCCTCTCCCTTGCATCGTTTCCATCTCCCAGCCAAGACCTCCCTGACAGATCTGCCCAGGCTGTAGACAATACAGACAGGTTTTTAAAAAGCCAAATATGGGGCCAGGCGCAGTGGCCCACGCCTGTAATCCCAGCACTTTGAGAGGGTGAGGCGGGCAGACCACTGGAGGTCAGGAGTTCGAGACCAGCCTGGCCAACATGGCGAAACCCCGTCTCTATAAAAACACAAACATTAGCCAGGCATGCTGGCGCATGCCTGTAATCCCAGCTACACAGGAGAATTGCATGAACCCAGGAGGTGGAAGTTGCAGTGAGCTGACATCGCGCCACTGCACTCCAGCCTGGGTGACAAAGCAAGACTGCATATAAAATATATATGTCTATACATATATTTTTGCTCCCGCAGCCGCGGCTTTTTGCCGCCGCTTTCTGCCGCCGCCCCTTTTTGCCGCAGCTTTCTGCCGCCGCCGCCGCTTTCTGCCGCCGCCGCCTTTTGCCGCCGCCGCTTTTTGCCGCCGCCGCCTTTTGCCGCCGCCACTTTTTGCCGCCGTCGCCGCCGCCGCGGCTTTTTGCCTCCGTCCCCGCCGCCGCCGCTTTTGCCGCCGCCCCCGCCGCGGTTTTTTGCCCCCGCCGCCGCGGCTTTTTGCGGCTTGTTGCCCCCGCCGCCGCGGCTTTTTGCCCCCGCCGCCGCTGTTTTTTGCCGGCGCGGCTTTTTGCCCCCGCCGCCGCGGCTTTTTGCCCCTGCCGCCGTGGCTTTTTGTGGCTTTTGCCCCCGCGGCTTTTTGCCCCCGCCGCCGCGGGTTTTTGCCGTCGCGGCTCTTTGCCCCCGCCGCCACAGCTCTTTGCCCCCGACGCCGCGCCTTTTTGCCCCCGACGCCGCAGCTTTTTGCCCGCCGCGGCTCTGAGGGCGGGAGCGGCACACTCGGCTGCCAGCTCTACCGGCGTCCTGGCTCGGGCAGCGCTGAGGGGCGCTCCTGGTCCAGCTCTCCCGGATCGGGGGTCCCTTGCCTACGCGCCGGCGCCCCGGGCTCCCCGCCTTGGCCGCTGCGGCGCTCCGCGCGGCCGCGATGTGAGAGAAGAAGGAGGGCGGTGGCGGGGGTGATGCGGCGGCCGCGGTGGGAGGCGCAGGGGCGGCGGCCAGCCGGGCGCTGCAGCAGTGCGGGCAGCTCCAGAACCTCATCGGCAGCCTGCGCGGGCTGCGCACCAAGTGCGCTGTGTCCAACGACCTCACCCAGCAGGAGATACGGACCCTGGAGGTAAGGGGTGTGTGGACCCCGGCTGGGCTCGAGGAGCGGCCCGGACACCTCCCTCCGGGCCCTAGTTCACTTCTGGTGGAGTTGCATCCTTGAGCTCGAGTCGCCCGGTTGGAGGCTTCTCCCTCCTGCACTCGCTGATGCGGCAGCCGGAGGACCCCGGTCCAGCCCTCACCTTGGGCAGGATTTCTGGGGCGGGTGCGTGGTGGGAACTGGGATAGAGGCTCGAGGGGCCCATGGGTGGGGTGGGCTGCGCGCGGACATCCCCTTACCCCCTCCCCCCCGAATTTCCATCTGGTCCAGCCCTCTCATCTTGTAGGTGAGGAAACCGAAGGCCTGAGGGAGAACTGACTTGCCAGGAACCCCTGTTAAGGAGAATTAACAAAGAGTGGTTATTAAAGGAGAACTGAGTTGGGAGTCAGACCTGGAGGCCCACACGCTTGGTTAAGACATTATACCACCTTGAATCTGGCATGCTGACTGAGGGTGAGCCACTCCATCCTCGTCTGATTGTGGGGTCTTGACCTCAAGGGGTTTCTTGCAGGAAAAAGCAAATAGGCTTGCTTTCCTAGCTCTGTCCAGTACCTTAGGGACCCTGAGGACCGGAGAGATTCTTGGAGAGCCATCTGGTGTATGTCATGGGTGGGCCTTTTTTGAAGGTCAGTCTGCCCAGTGGGCTGGCTCAGCCCGAATGAACTGTCTTGAATCTTTGGAGTTGTCTGTGTACTTTTAAGGGCTTCTCATCCTTGCACCAAAAGATCCCCTGGAAATTAGGTGGGAAAACCTTAACTTTTGTGGGGCCTTGTGTTTGTCTTAAAAGTTCCTGCACATGGCCAGGTGGAGTGGCTCACACCTGTTATCTTGTCCTGGATCCCTTGAGTCAAGGAGTTTGAGAACAACCTGGACAATATAGTGAGACCCCGTCTCTACAAAAAATAAAATATTATCCAGGGGTGGTTGTGCGCATCTGTAGTTCCAGGTACTACTGTGGCTGAGGTGGGAGGAGCACTTGAGCCTGCACTGAGCTGTGATCTCACCAGTGTACTCCAGTCTGGGCCACAGAGCAAGACCTTGACGCAAAAAAAAAAAACCAACAAGAAAAATTCTTGAAGATTTTGCATTCTGTCTCACTATCCATTGGTTTTCATGTCTAGATAATGTCAGAAATTCTTTACAATTGCTTCCAGAAGGAGTAGCCTTTTGATCTAGTGCACAGGTGTCCAGTCTTTTGGCTTCTCAGGGCCACATTGGAAGAAGAATGCTCCTAGGCCGCACATAAAATACACTAATGCTAACGATAGCTGATGAGCTTAAAAAAAAAAAAAAGGTTTGTGCATAATTTTCATGATACCCACCACCACAGATAGGTGGAAAAGTCCTTGTAGTCAAAGGGTTGGACACAGCTGATCTAGTGTCTTGTCGTCCATTTTGGCTTTCTCCCTGATTCCAGAATGCAGGTAGAGATGTAGAGACATGCTTTCAGGACAGCTATTGAGATAAAAAATTCGTTGTCATTTATTCCCAAGCACAGCTGTTTGTCATTTTCATTGAAAAAGTCTCCATTTAAACTGCTGTCACATATAAAATCTATTTATATAAGTCTGTATTTTTCTGTTGTCTTGGCCTTTGTGGGCAGTAGTGTGTTTTAACCGAGCAAACTGTCCTTCCAAATAATGAAGCTGAAGTCAGCCTACCTGCTTGCCATTTTTCTTCCCCTTCCATTTTTCTAACCTCAGGATAATTGTAAGAATGAATTAAGATTTGTGTTTAAGGCCGGGCACAGTGTCTCAGGCCTGTAATCTCAGTACTTTGGGAGGCAGAGACAGATGTATCGCTTGAGCTCAGGAGTTGAAGACCAGCCTGGGCAACATACTGAGACTCTGTCTTGTATAATTAAATTAAAATTTAATAAAAGAAGAGGAAAAGACCTGTGTTTCAAATTTAAAAAAAGGGGGGAAAGTGTAATGCAAAATGTGGACTATGCCAGCTATGATTGGGAAAAATAATTTTTCCTACAGCATTATCTGTAGACTTGTATTAGCAGCATACTGGTCATAAGCATTTTGCTTTCCTCAAATATGATGAGGTAAGCTACTTTAAAGTGTGGTGGGGCTTTCTTCTGCGTGGCTCCTGGAGGTGTTGAGTCCCAATTTAGCCAATTAATTTGGGTTTAGTTTTGATATGGATAAGGGAGACCAACTTCGTTCATGGTGCACACACAGTTTTGCCAATAAGGAGAAAAAAAAGCCACCTGAATGTTCCTACTCATTAGATGCTATCTGGAGAGCTCCTACCCCACCCCCACCAAGGCCCGGGCCCTTAAAAAGACTCAATGCAGCCTTTCTGTATCTCATACTGTATTCTGCAAGATGCTCCTGTGAAAGAAAGTTGTGCTGCATCAGCCGTCTCCCTTCTGAAGATCCCTGCGGATGAGGATTTGTGTTTTAAAGGTTCTGAGAAGTCCTGCAACAACAGTTCTCAAACTTATTTGTCCAGGGGATCTTTTCTTCCACTGAACGTAGTTGGGGAGACATGGCCTTAAGCCTTGAGCAGAGAAAGAGACAAGAAACTGTTGCCTCACTTACAACCAAGTGTTGTGTTTATGTTTTAGGTTTTTATGAAACTGAGGTGCTGTTTGAGGTTCTAAATCAAATTGGGTGGTTGAAGAGAGGCTGGTATCCCTGTAGACTTAGCCAGCCATGAGAGGTTGCCTTTTGTTGAAGGAGGTGTTTTACAAGGAAATAGGGTGTCTCCTGGGCATCGCATTAGCACTTAAATACATGTATCACTGAAATGAAATGAAATGATGAAATGATGAAATGAAATTAAATGATGAAATGAAGAAATGAAATGAAATGATGAAATGGAATGAAATGAGGAAATGAAATGAAGTGAAATGATGAAATGATGAAATGAAATGATGAAATGATGAAATGGTGAAATGAAGAAATGATATGAAATGATGGAATGAAATGAAGTGAAATGATGAAATGAGGAAATGAAATGATGAATTGAAATGATGAAATGAATGACGAGATGAAAAGATGAAATGAAATAATGAAATGAGGACATGAAAAGGTGAAATGAATTGATGAGATGAAATGAAATCATGAGATGAAATGAGATGAAATGAAATGATGAGATGAAATGAAATCGAGATGAAATGATGAAATGATGAGATGAAGTGACATGATTAAATGATGAAATAATGAAATGAAATGATGAAATGATGAATAGATGAAATGATCAAATGAAATGAAATGATGAGATGAAAAGATGAAATGAGATGAAATGAAATCATGAGATGAAATGATGAAATGATGAGATGAAGTGAAATGATGAAATGAAATGAAGTGACGAAATGCAAACGATGAGATGAAATGATGAAATGAAATAATGAAATGAAAGGATGAAATGATGAGATGAAATGATGAAAGGATGAAATGAAATGAAATGAGGAAATGAAATGATGAAATTATGAAGTGAAATGATGAAATGAAAAGATGAAGTGATGAAATGATGTTATGAAATGATGAAATGATGAAATGAAGTCAAATGATGAAATGATGAAATGGTGAAATGAAATGATGAAATAAATGAAATGAAATGAATTGATGAAATGATGAAATGAAATGCAATGAGATGAAAAGATGAAATGACGAGATGAAAAGATGAAATGATGAGATGAAATGAAATCATGAGATGAAATGAATAAATGAGATGAAGTGAAATGATGAAATGAAATGTTGTGATGAAATGATGAAATGATGAAATGATGAGATGAAATGAGATGAAATGATGAAATGAAAAGATGAAATGATGAAATGAGGAAATGAAATGAAATGATGAAATAGATGAACCAAAAATACTTATTCATTTTTTTTCTTGGCATCCTTCTAAGAGTATTTTAGTGAGGTTAATTTCTAAAAATAAATTGCTATTCAATGGCTATACAGTTGGCCTTTACACCACAGGGGTTTGAACTGTGCAGGTCCACTTAGCAAAACCAACAATTCTACATCTTTCTCCACACCCTGCCCAGGAAAAGGATGAGGATGAAGACCTGTCTGATCATCTACTTCCATTTAATAACTAGTAAATATATTTTCCTTATCATTTTCTTTTTCTTTTCTCTGGCATGTTTGTTAAGAATACAGTATATAAGACATATAACATATTAAATATGTGTTAATTGACTGCTTGTGTTATTTGTAAGGCTTACAGTAGGCTATTAGTAGTTAAGTTTTGGGGGAGTCAAAGTTATAGTGGATTTTCTACTGTGCAGTGGGGCCAGCGCCCCAACCTCCGTGTTGCTTAAGGGTCAACTGTACATGTTATTTCCTTTCCTGTAAGAGAAAAATGATGAGAAGGTCTTTTCTCCAATAAGTGTATTCAAAATGTAGCAGATTTGAAATGTGTTGGCGCCACCATTTTGCATCTCACTTTGAAAACTTATTATTAAAAATCGTACTAAAGCCTACCTTACTTTTCCAACCTTAGAAAAAATGTTGCAAAGAAAAGGGGTGAATCCATGCTAGTTTGCACTGAAATTTGAAATTATCTTTTAAAAATATATTTTTACTTTAATTACTTCCAAAATAGAGATCAGTTGCATACAAATGGCAGGTCACTCTAATCCACCCTATGACTGCACTTAGATTCATGAGGAATTGTGCCAACTAGAAAGGGCAGAGAAGAGGAATAGAGTGCTCTGCGTCTTGAAATATAAACATGCACATAGCCACATGCTTTGATTCTGTTATCACTGGGTACTTACTGCTAGGAAGAGGGCACGTTTGTGTATTTTTATGCTAATTATTATCCAAGTTGTTAATGATTTAGGCTTTCAGAACCATATAAAGATTTTTTTCCTTTCAGATATAAACTATCTTGCATTGTTCTTCTGACCATATGAGGGATAAATTTGCCTAAACATTCTTCAGACCATAATATGATGTCCATATAAATGCCAGTAGCAAGAGTAGAATCAACCACAACTGCCTTTGTAATTATTTAAAGCATGTGTGCCTATAAGTAATTGGCATTTTATATAATCAAGAATCTTTGATATAATAATCTCTCAACTATTTGAAACATGGCTCACATATATTAATTTTATATGCAAATATATATATAACATCACTGTATATGAAACTAAATTTTGGACTTTAGAACAGCTTCTTAGAATCTTGACTTAAATGTCCACAGTAATATTTGACTTAAAAAATTTAGCACACTGTCACTATGATGAAAAAAATTACTATAAAATTATTTAAAAAATTTTTCCACCCTAACATTTAGAACATTCTCACATTTGTGGTTAAAACCTATTGTGATTGTTCTTAGAATTTAGATAAAAAATGTTCCAGAAAGTTTGAAGAGAAGCACTTTAGTCGATTTTTATTTGTTCAAGCATGAAGAAATGGCATTTCATTGACATTTTAAAAACTATTCAGATTCCCTCTTTGAATTGAAGTGTTTCAAAGATATCTTATTTTAAAATACCAAAATAGGAATAGAATATGAAGGGCTGGTTATGAGTAATATGATACACTTTTTTGAGAGGATGAGATTACAATAACAATACCTCCTCTCATAGAATAGCCAGCAAGTCTCCACTAAATAAGAGTGCCTTGATTTTATAGATGTTTAATCATGGATATTGAGATAATGCGAACGATTTGTAGACACAGGAGTTTATTAAAGAATTATATAATACCTTTCAAGTGTTGAAATTAAGCCTGCATCCCCACAATTTTCAGAGGTGCTGATGCCTAATAAACTCAACCCCTTGCATGCCAAAATTGGCTTAAAGCCCACCCATTACCCAAGCTACACTTCAAGCATCAAGGTTCAAAAATGTAATTTTAAATATGCAAGAGTTTGAGGAATTCACTACTCACACTTTCTTGAACAGTCTATCCAAGTGCATCAAGCAAAATGTGAGTAAAGAAATTTTGACCAAAGGATTGATAGTAATGTTGAAAACATTTAATAGTAGATCTAAGATTAAAAGGTGAGAGTGAGGGTGAGAAGAGTGTATGAATGCTTTGTGTTCTGACAAAGAGAATGTAGCACCCATGTCCTACCTGCTTGGTTGCATTGCCAGTGCCCACGGTAGGCTATTTTATCCAGGTTTTTAGTTTTTTTTGTTTGTTTGTTTTCTTTTGTTTTTTTTTTTTTTTTTTTTCAGGAGAGTTAGTCCAAAACCAATAACTCCATAACTGGTAGAATTGGAAGACTTTAATAGTGCTTAACATTTTGTACATAGCTTTATAACAGTTTTCTTTTTCTTTTTTTTCTGAGAGATTCTTTTCAATATACCCCATCATGGTTGAACTCAAAGTCATTGCTTATTTGAAATTTACAACTGCTGACGTTTTGTAACCTTCGCATTCCAGGTAATTGGTTTTTTGTGCATTTTCTGTATTTTTCTCCATCAGTCTACCTAGATATTTGTTAGATTTAATATTTTAATATTTTTCTGAAAAAGTGAGCTTTTGCGTTTTTAAATATATACTCAGTTGCTTTAATACTGCTTTTTCATGTACTGGTTCCTCCTTTTTTTTTTTTTTTTTTTTTGAGATGGAGTCTTGCTCTGTCGCCGAAGCTGGAGTGCATTGATCTCTACTCACTGCAACCTCCACCCGCCACGTTCAAGCAATTCTCCCACCTCAGCCTCCCGAGTAGCTGGGATTACAGGTGCATGCCACCATGCCAGGCTAATTTTTGTATATTTAGTAGAGAATGGGTTTCACCATGTTGGACCAGGCTGGTCTCGAACTCCTGACCTCAGGTGATCCACCTGCCTCGGCCTCCCAAAGTGCTGGGATTACAGGCGTGAACCATGGCACCTGGCTATTTCCTTCATTCTTTATGTTTATTTTACTGGTTTTATCTCTCTCTCTCTCACTGTTTCTCTCCTTCTCATATTCACTTTGCAGTTGTCAAATAGCCCAGGTGATGTTACAGATTTACTCCTTATAAAAGGAGGCATTACACATTACACATGCATCTTAGTGGCCTTACAAAAGTGTTTGGTTCATTTGTATTGACTATTCACCTTTAAAATATTTCAATATTCATTAAAATAGCTTCCAGCCAATATTATTAGACCTATGTTTCTAGCTTTCTTTTTTGTATTGATATCTACCTTCATTGCTGTTTGTTTAGGAAATATATTCTGTGTCACGTTATTTTCGTGAAAATTGTTTGAATTTGTGGTATGGTCTAGAAAATGTTAATTTTTGTAAGTATTCTGTATGAACATGAAAATAACATGAATTATAATATTCATGTTCCTTATATAACATTTGCCCTTTTTAAAATCCACTAGCTTCTTTTAAAACTTACTCTTTTAATTTTTTCTTTTATCTATTACTGAAAGATGTGTGTTTCAAAAGTCTATAATGATTTGGGGGCTTATCCATTTCTACTTACTTTCTGATATTTTTGCTTTATATAATTTGACTCTCTCTCTAAATACGTATATGTGTGAGTGTGTGGTGTGTGTGTATATATGTATGTATGTATCAGGCTAATGCACATTTAAGTCATCACATCGTCTTAATAACTTAAATCTTTTATCACACTGGTTAGACTAACTTATTTTAATAAATGTTTCTAACTTACATTCTATTTTGTCTACATAGCAAGTTTTTAAAAAATTATATTCATGTAGTATGTTTGTATGTATATCATATATACACAGTATCTGTATTGTTTGAACTTCAAAGTTTCTGTAAATTAATATATTAGTTACCTCTCTTGTAACTATGATAGAGATGGACTTTTTTAATTTTGCCAATCTTTGTATTTTAACAAAAACATTGTCTACTTAGGTTTAAGTTAATCTTTGATCATTTATACTTAATTTGTTTTATTAATTTGTTGTATATATATATATTGTCTCATTTTCTCCTATTAGTTTCTGTCTTCTTGTTTTTAAATTATGACTTTTATTTTTATTGTTTTCATAGATAACAACAGAGAAATGCATAACGTCCAGTGAATTTATTAAAGTTCCAAAGTCGGTCACGTGCAGTGGCTCACGCCTGTAATCTCAACACTTCGGGAGGCCGAGGCATGTGGATCACGAGGTCAGGAGTTGGAGACTATCCTGACCAACGTGGTGAAACCCCGTCTGTACTAAAAATACAAAAATTAGCCAGGCATGGTGGCACGCGGCTGTAATCCCCGCTACTCAGGAGGCTGAGGCAGGAGAATTGCTTGAACCTGGGAGGCAGAGGTTGCAGTGAGCCGAGATGGCACCACTGCATTCCAGCCTGGGCGAAAGAATGAGTGAGACTCCTTCTCAAAAAAAAAAAAAAAAAAAAAAAAAGAGTTGCAAAGTCATACTCACCTTTCTGCTCTTGTCAGACAATTAAGGGGTCTTTGAATACTTCAGCCCTAATAATTTGCTTCCTAACATACATATTGCAGTGCTTATCTAATTTTAAATATATTTTTGTTTCAACACCTAATTTTTTATTTAAATCTATCTGTATGTTTACAATATATTTTGCTCTGTGTTCATTCTTTGATTTCAGAACTTCAACCTTTCTGAAGCATGTTTTCAGTTTCTTTAGTGGAATTCTGCTGGAGGCGTTTTGTTTTTTGTCTCTAAATATGTTATTTAGCCATAGGTTGATGAATATTTTTCTTGGTTGAGAATTTCAGAATGGCATTATTAGTCTTAACAAATAATATTGTTTATTTTACCTTTCATTCTTTCTGATTTCAATATGATTAAAGGTAATTTGATTTTTCTAGTGCTAATTGAAATATTTTTCCCTTCCTGATTGTTTACTATTTCTCTAGGAGATACATAGGTGTAGGTTTATCTCCACTGTAGCTTGCTTAGCGTGCATGGAACTTTTGAATATGCAGATTAGTGTCTTACAAAAGTCTAGAGAACTTTCAGCCAAAATACCATCACATATTGTCCCTTCCCAGTTCCCTTCTTCTATGAGAACACTCACTAAACACATGCTACATTTTCTCACTGTATCTTCCATGTCTCTTAATGACTCTGTCCACATTTTGCATTTTTAAAAATTTTCTGTAATGCATTCTGAAATATTTATGAACTCTCACCATGGCCATGTCTAATCTGATGAGTTCATTTTTGAGTTTTTAATTTAAAATACTATATTTTTATGCAAACTACTTTTCAAATTTGCTACATCAATTTTTTAGTCTCCTAAAATATATTCTTTTTATTTTAAATTTTTTTAAAGCAAATGTGCTTTATAATCTAACAGTGATATTTCTACTAATGAACCTTTATGGATCTGTTTGTACTCTTTTTCTGCTTTCCTTTCAAATGTTGGAATATCATTTCCTTGTGTACTTAGATGCCTTTGAATGACAAATATTTATTTTTCTCCGAAAATTATTTTTGTGCACTTTTGAGTATTAGTAAGAAGAAAACTTGCCAAAGAGAATTTGAATTTTTTTGTGAGTCTACTAAAGGCATCACCATTCTGGGACCACATTATGTTAATTCTTGGTCTAAAGGTGTTTGGATGTATGTTCGGACTGCACATTTAAACAATTTTTTAATTAATTGCTGTAAATCATTAGTGATTGAGTTTCTTTAAATCTGTCCAATCTCAAGTCATTTTTATTTGCCATTTCCAGGGAATGTGAAATGGGATTAATTTACCTCTGATTCTTCTTTATACTGAGGATAGAAATTTTGGTCCTAGCTTTAGGGAGGAGCTCCTGTGTGATGCCCTATCTTGGGAAACACTATGTATTTCTTTACTGTCCTATGTGATGTATGACAGTAGGAATCTGCACTCATTCATTTTGGTACATGTCCGTAGGGCAAAATCAGTTTCGGTGTTTAGGTATATTTTGTCTGCTCCCTGCAGTCCCATGGTTTTGAACTTATATTTTACTTTTTTTTTGTGAACATACCAATGCTTCAATTTTTTTCCAGTAATATAATCAACTATATTATGAGAAAGAGAAAAATTTTGAGAAAACACAAATTTCATGTTTTCCTACTCTAATTGGCTTTTACATAAAAATACAGGTAAAATTTATTTTTGCTTTTTTGCTATTTCTGTTTTGCTATTCTGTTTGTCTATGTCTTCTCCACATAGACACAATTAGGGAATTTTGTACACTCTTGTGCCAACTGCTTTGATAGTAACAAAATGTATTTCTCGAACTCCTAGGTATAAAACTCAAGTATCCGCAATTTAAATTCTTTTTCCCTCACTTCTATTATGTTTCCGGTCTCAATAGAAATCGATGCCAATCCAGAAATACAAGCATTATTCTAATACTTCTCACACATTACAGAGATAGATTAAATTTTCTAGATCTCCTTAAATACTATCATTTTTCACTACTTTTATCTTAACTGTTAAGTTCAACATTTTCTATAATATTAATATATTGTGAAAATTTCCTTACTTTCTTATTTGTCCCAGGTTAAATGTTTTGCAGTCTCTACCTCACCCTGTGACGCATAAACACTGTACATGCTGTACAAATAATACATAGTTCATGTGCTTAGAGATTGCACAATTTTTATTTGGTTGATAATAGCTAATGTTTTCTTCTTCATTTTCTATTTCCTGATTTTTCTTTATTTAGTATATACTACATTATCATAAAAATAAGAACGTTTTACAAACTAAAGCAAAAGCAACCCTAGGAATAAAATGCACAAATAAAATATGTAAACATACAATTAGATGTACCATGTACCCCTCTAATTTATTTAGACATTTAATTTTAGTACGATTTTAATTAAAGTCTGTGTATTACCTGTCATCGTCTTAGTATTTTTTATATAACAAATTTTGTAAATCAAAAAGTCTCAATGTCATTATAAACTATCTTGGCAGAGGTTGATCTCCAAGAATAATTCCTCTCCCAAATTATACCAATTAGAATTTCACTATACCATAATTCTTTTAATCAGTTTCAGAGGAATAATAAATTTCAAAATTGTTCAAGGTACTTGTTGTAGTTCAAGTACATTTTGACATGTGTAAAACTGTAGACAGACTGATATAAACATATTCTAATTGACTCAAAAATATAGATTTTAAAATGTCGTGTCAATATATACATGTTCTCCTTGTGAAATAATTGCTTTTTATTCTCTGGATAGAATACTTTAATCTTTAAACCTTCAATTCACTGTTAAAAACAAAATATTACATAAGGATATGCTTATAAAAATAATTCACAACTAGCTTTTCAATTCAGAAATATATGTGAAAAATCATCAAGCATCTAATGGATTTCAAGGAGAAATGGGTTAGTAATTTATTCCATATGTCTTGATTTTTCCTAGACACAAGGCTTCCTTTAAAATAATTGTAGGCATTTAAGAAACCATGTAAACTAAAAAGAAGAAATTGTGACACTGCCACTTAGGTTTTTTAAATCTTTGGACATGAATCAATATATTTTTTAATTTTATCTTAATTAGACATTGTGAGTTCACCATCTTCCTGTCAGTATAGCATCCAAGATGATTATCATAGATTACAAGTTCAACTATCAACTGTGTTCTGAGAGTTTAAAAAAATAAATGAATGTATTTGTTTTGGTATTCTTAAAGCAGGAGTGAGGACACAGTGAAAGTGAGACAAGGAAGAGAGAACAAAATAAAACAGGAAAGATAGAAAAGCCAATACCACACTTGTTAAGAGGCAAGTTCCTGTGTTAGATATCTGGGCTTAATTCTCTGGGAAGCTATGTGGAACATGCCTCAGAATTACATCACTGAATCCAGGGAGATTCTTCTTAGTTACCCTCACCTTTTCTTCCCACTTCATGCCCAGTAACAAGCTCCCGTGCTGCTAGAGAAAGTCCTCAGCTAGAAACAGGTGCAAATTCTGGAGATGAGACCTTGTAGAGTGTTAAGAATGATTTTCTTCCCAGCAGCTACAGGTGAGGAATAGGGGCTGGGCTATTAATACACCTGCTACAAATCAATATACACCTTATGCTCCTTTTGGTGATCGACAATGTATTTTAAAATATTAGATGATCAAGAAGGGCTGCAGAAAGGAGGAAACAGAAACAAACAGCACACCTCTTGGTTTATTTTTATTCATTTCATCAGTGTCAAGGAAAATGTGTTGGGAGTTCCTGGCATAGAGAATGTCACAAAGACATGTTTTCAATAGTGGTGCTATCCCTAGGGCAGAGAAGACCCAGAGAAAGCCCAAGTGGCTGCTGGAACAAAGTCAGACACCGTGCCACCTGTCCACACTTCTTGGCTCTGCCATCATGCTGAAGATCGGTTGAAAGGACTCCCTTCCCTACCCCCAAAATTAAAAGAGCACAAACTGAGAAACTGAATGTAGGAGACAGCAGTGGATTATGCTGTTCTCAGGGGTCATCTCAGGTTTGGAAGCATTCTTTCAAACTAACCCATCTCAGGCCATCTGCAGAAAAGAAACGTGGTACCTAACTTTTTTTCTTGTCAGCATTTGGTAAGGGTGTTTTATTGACCAAATATGTTCCCACAACCTAGTTTTTTGTAACTAACTGAATATAGTAGATTTTTAAATTTTATCATCAAAATCTATAGACAATTTTTTATTAAAATAGACTCCACATCTATGTCCTGCTTTTCTTCTTCTTATTAATTACAGTGCTGTATAAAAGAACAAGACTTCAGAATCAAGAATATCTTGTCTCTTGGCATTGAATTTATACAAGGTGCTCTTTCTTTAATGCTGTCTCAAAGGACACATTTTTACTCATTAAAAAGGAAGATCGGAATCTAGTTGTATGCACTGCTCCAACATATTAATAATTAAAATTAGGAGGTAAATGTGGTCAAAGCTATAGAAAGACTTGAGATGTCATTTATATTGATTACTGTATAGCACTCTACAAACAGAAATTGTTAAATAATAGTTTATATAAATATTTTGTAGCATTTCAAATATTTTAGTGCCTGAAGTTTCTCCTCTTATATAGTTCAGATTATCAATTTGGAGACTTACTCCGCTAGTTAAAATGTTTTTAGTCTCGTTTGAGTATTATATAAAAGCAATTTTCAGTTAAATGTGTTCCGCTTACATAAAACATTACAAATTAGTGAGGATTTAATTACATTTTCATGTTCCTGTAATGTCTTTAGAAGATTTTCATATTATTACCTATCAATATATGTATGCTTTGTCAAAGAAAAGTCAAACATATATATCATTGAAATCGAAAATTTTTAAAAGTACTTATTAATTCTATTGAAAAACCACATCCATAGCAACAATTACAATATAGTGAACATGTAAATATATATCCTATGTCTATTTTATATATAAGCATATATGATTAAAAATATAGTTAATAATTTTTAAACCTAGTTTTATAAAGTAAAAATTAGTTAACTTCTGATGATTATTTGTTAATGAAGATATAATTATTTTGATTTGGGTGATTTTAAATAAAAATATTAAATTACGTGACAAAGTTTTTTATAAAATGTTTATGATTTTTACATTGGTTTTATCACTTTATTCCACTATTTTATTTTAAGATGACCTGCCTTGTTTAAAACAATCTTAATTAAATTAAATTCCATTTTGTAAAAAAATTAACAAATGATTTGCTCTATTATACATTGCGTTTATAAACTGAGTCAGTATCTCAAGATTTGATCCCCATTATCATCATCTGTGGCCCTATTTGTTTTATAAATGTATTGTCTTTTTCCATGCCTGTCACGTCTCTATTGCTCATTCATTTTCTCTTTGTCCCTTATAGGGAGTTGCATCTTAAAAAAGCACAATAACCTCCTCATTCTTTTTCACACAGAGAAATGTTTGTTAAGTAATTAAAGTGTAGATGATGATACAAAGAGCTTGATTAAATTAGATGTCAAAGTACCCTTGTGATTCACAATATGAATGGTATTTAATTTCTTTGAAATCAATAATTGCTGAGTGACATTAATTAATGCCAGTATTTCAGAAGTTGTTCTAGTTAGTGAAATGTATACAACATGCAAAAGTTTCAGAACTCTGAAGGGCAACATTATTCTATAATTAAGAATTCACATTAATTATTGGGGAGAAATTATTAAGAATTAATGACTGAGAAAATGATTTTATTTAGAAAATTATTTTGTGCATGAGCATTACTGCAAGTTTTGCAAGAAACATAAATTTAAAGAAACAATTATGTCCACAAGGTGAATTTAATAACATCTGATATTTTCCATGATTACAGTTTTATTTGGTAAATCTTTAAATGCACATCATCTAAAGATAATAAATGAATCTTGGAAATCTTGTAGGTAAGGGTAAATGTTAGGATGCAATTGGTAACCTAAATGTTACCAATTACATTTACAACACATACAATTACATTTTCACACACATGCACACACTCACTGATACACGTGTGTATATATATACATGAATTTACTAATTGGTTTTAACTAATTATTATAAGAGCCAGTAGGATTGATATATATTGTTGAACCTGAAAAATATTTATTATATACATGTTTAAAATACACAAAGAAATAAATAGTAATTAAACTAGGCATTTGAAACTCTACTAAAATATAAGCTGTGAACATTTTGTGATCATTACAAATTCTTACACTGAATAAATTATTTTTATACTATTAATATGTTGGATACATGTGTACATTTTTTACAATGTATTATTTTATTTTTGTCATAGAGTCATGTCATGCATAATAACATTTCAGTCAAAGATGGATTACATATACAAAAGTGGTCCCATGAGATTATAATATATATTTTTACATACTTTTCTATGTTTAAGTATGTTTAGATACATAAACTCTTACCACTGCGTTCTTATTGCCTGCAGTATTCTGTACAGTAATGTAGTACACAGGTTTGTAGCCTAGGAGAGAGAGGCTATACCATTTAACCTAGACGTGGTAGGCTGTACAATCTAGGTGTTTGTAATACTCTCTGTGATGTTTGCAAAATGATGAAATTGCCTATGGATGCATCTCTTAGAACGTATCCCTATCATTCAGTGATGTGTGACTCTACTAAAATGCTCAATGTAAGTTTCAATGCCCTCCATAAAATTGTTGTACTGTGAAATACAAATCTCTCACCCATGGCCTGAATATGTTTACAAACTAAGCAGATCATGGGAAGGAGAATGTGCTGGCATCGCTGGGATGATTTTTCTCACACTACATGAATAATATCTCCAGACTTTGCGAATATGAGCCACTTGCATAGAGTTAAAGTAGGCATCTCTTTGCTGGGAAATTTATCAAATGGCAGTATGAAGGGTTCTTAAAAGATACTTGTTTGTTTGTAGCAGGTAGGCCTACACTGGCTCATGGCAATGGTTGAGGTTGCTAAGATTTGGTGGAAGGAGGCAAAATGAAATGGCCACTTATATGGTATATGGATCACTTGTTTCTGTTGAGTTACAGATTCAGCTGACTCTTTCTCCCAATGTTAGTTATTCAGAGAAAAAAAACATGATAGTAATTTTGGGGTGACAAATACAATATTTGATGAAAGCAAATTTATTGAGGGTTAGACAAACTACAAGATACTTTAGGCTGCAAAGTCAACACAAGACTTCTGGCCCAAATTGTGCAGAGTTTGGGTCCAGCTGCAAAGTTCAAAAGAAGAGGCCACGTAAGACTATTCTCACTTCTGACACCAACTGCCAGTTCAGGGGTTTCCCCAGAACACCCTCAGTTTCAAGAATTTACTAGAAAGACTCACGGAACTCATTGAATGCTATTGTACTCATGGTTTATAATAGAGAAAGGGTAGAAATTAGGACCAATCAATGGAAGAGACATATCATATAAGGTGGAATCTAGGAGGATTTTGAATGTTAAGTTTCCATTGTCTTCAGGACATATTACCTGTCATTGTTGTACAGCAATAAACATGGCGTACTACCAACCTGGGGAGCTCACCTGATGCTAAAAAGATACTATTTAGTTAATGAAAAGGCAAATGAAAGGATGAGATAAGATGACCTTCCACATTAAGGCACTGGAAAAAATAGCAAACTAAACCTAAAGCAAGCAGAAGGAAGAAAATAAAAATTAGAGAAATTAATAATTTATAATAATATTTGTTAGTATAATTGATATTAATTCTTGACTTTTTTTAAAAAGAGAAATATTCACTTCCCAATTTATTCTGTGGGGCCAGTGTTACCTTGATACAAAAGTTAGTCCAAATAGCATAGAAAAATAAAACTACTATAAGTATAAATGCAAAATCCCTTAAAAAAATACTAACAAATAAAATCTAGCAACATATAAAAGAATTATACACTATGACAAAGTGAAATTTATACTAGTAATCCCAGGTTAGTTTAACAGCCCAAAATCCATGAAGGTAATACATCTTATCCATAGAATAAGAAACAAGAATTGCATGATCATCTCGATAGATTCAGAAAAGACATTTAACAAAATCTAAATGCTTTAATGATTAAAAATAAAAATAAAAACTCAATGAACCAGGAATAGAGAACTTTCTACACCAGATACATGGCACCTGTGAAAAGCCAACAGCAAACATTCAACTTAGTGGTGAAAGAAAGGATAATTTCCCGCTATGGTCGGAGATAAGAATAAGATATATACTTTGACCTCTTCTAGTCGACACTGTGCTAAAGATTTTATGCACGGCAAATCGGCCAGTAAAGAAATAAGAGTCACCCATATTGAACAGGAGGAAATAAAACTTTATTTGCAAATAACATTCTTGTATATAGAAAATTTTAAGGAATCCACTGAATGATAGAACTAGTAAATTATTTCAGCAATATTACAGCATACAAGATAAATATACAAAAATCAATTGCACACATCTACAATGAAAACCCCAAAATGAAATTAAGAAAACACTTCAATTTACAATAGCATCAAAAAAAGAAATAATAATTAATTTGGAAAGTGTGATACAATATTTTACTCTGAAATTTAAAAATTATTGTCTAAAGAAGATCTAAATAATTAGCAAATATCTTACAGCCATGAATTGGAAGACTTAATATTGTAGTACTTTACAATTTGAACTACAGATCTGATGAAATCCCTGCAAGTATCCCAACAGACTTCTGTCTAGAAACTGACAAGCTGATTCTAAAATACACATGGAATTGTAAGGGACTCAAAATAGCCAAAATAATCTTGAAAAAAGAAAACATGTTAGGATAATTCACACCCCCATTCTCCAAACTTTACTGCAAAGCATCAGTAATCAAGACAACACAATACCGATGAAGGAAAAATATATAGATTGATGATTCTACACATAAATGAGATCACACAACATTTGTCTTTCTTCGTCTGGCTTATTCCACTTAGAATAATGTTCTCTATGTGTTGTTGCAAATGTAAGAATTTCCTTGTTTTTAAAGGCTGAATAATTTCACTTTTATGTAGGTATAAGCCACATTTTATCTGTTCATTCATAGATGGATATGGACTTCTTTCCCAAGTCTAGGCTATTAGGAATAATCTCACAATGAACATATAGTTGACACACTCACTTTATTTTCTCTAGATGTATGCTCAGAAGTGGGTATACTCTATGTTCAATTCACTGAGTAATCTCCATGTCGTTTTTCATAATGGCTGTACTAATTTACATTTTTTTCCAAACCATACATGGATAACTTTGTACCACATATTCAGGTATTTGTTTAAGTCTTGAATCCATTTTTAGCTGATTTCTGTGTATCATGTGAGGTAAGGTTCATTTTTTTTCTTCTGCATATGGATGCCCAGTTTTCACACCACTTCTTGAAGAGACTGTCCTCTCTCTATTGTCTGTCCTTGGCAATTTGTCAAAGATCAGTTTATTGGGAAGGAATGGGTTGATTTCCAGGTTGTCTATAATGTTCCATTGGACTCTATGTCTGTTTACATGTCAGCATTATACTGTTTTGATTTATATTGATTTGATTTTGAAATTATAGAATATGATATATTCAGCTTTGTTAAATTGTGCCCAAAATTACTTTGGCTATTTAAAGGCCTTTGTATTTGATATAACTGGAGAAAATTTTAATATTTTTGTAAAAACATGCCATGGAGATTATTTATTTTATTGGCATATAATAGATATACATATTTTATGGGAACATGTAATATATTGATACATTTATAAATGTGTAAAGAGCAGATCAGGATTGGTATATCTGATTGGTATATCTATCACATTAAACATGTATATTCTCTTTATGCTAGGCACATTTGAACGACTCTTCTAGCTATTTTAATGTGTACATTAGATTATAGTTAACTATAGTCACCTTACTCATCTATGAAATATTTAGATTTTATTTCTTCTATATAACTATATATCTGTATTCAGTAATCAACCTCTCTTTATTCTCTTCTCCCTTGTATCTATCCAGGCTTCTGGTAAAAACCAATCTACTCTCTGTCTTCAGGAAATCCAATTTTTTAGTTTTGACATAAAAGTAAGAAGATGCAGTATTTGTCTTTCTGTGCTTGGTTTATTTAACTTAACATTAGGGCTTCCACTTCCATTCATATTGTTGCAAATGACAAGATATCAACATTGATGGCTGAATAATATTCTATTGCATACCTAGATCATATTTTTTTATCCATTTGTCCACCTGCAGACCCTGAGGTGCTTTCATATCTGGGCTATTGTGAATAGAGCTGCAAAGAACATGGAGTGCACATGCCTTTATGAGGTGGTGATTTTATCTTCTTTAGAACATACCCAGAATAGGATTTGCCACGTCATCAGGTATTTCTATTTTTCTTTTATTTCGGAGTCTTCATACTACTTTGCACAATAGTGGAAATACAAATGGAATAACCATTATAAAAAGCAGTTTCAGTTTTGAGGTATGATCCAAAACCAAATAATGTTTCCTCATGATTCTCATTGGGAGTCTCTAATGAATCTGGTGGAAATGTAGGAAGTTTTCTAACCTCGTTAAGAAAATTATGAGTTTGCACCTTTTTTCTTTTTGAGGCTGGAAATTGGCATGATTCAAGTTGCATACTCTTGGCAGGTTTCAGAATGGTACAGCAGAAATCATAATGAGAGGGCAAGAGAGAGAATGAGGGAAAGTCAGGCAAACAAAGAAAAAAAATAAATTTCACAAGAGGAGAAACTGCTGGATATCAGTGTTGGGTTTTGGTCACAGACACATCTGTACTGAGTGAGGAACCATGAAGTCAAGGGAGGAGTCTAGAACTTGTTCACCTGAAGCATCAGCATATTTCTCCGAGGCACCTAATTGCCACCACATCACAAGGGTGATGAATATTTGGATGCCATTAAACATGAGCTCCCAGGAAGTAATCATGTTTCCATGAAATTCAGTTAAAATGCCAAGGGTGTGTCCAGATCATTCATGCAAAAACACAAAATTTGCCTTTGCATTTATGGTTATCTAGAGACAAAGTGCATTGAGACTTCAGCAGGTTTCAGAGATCTGTTAAGTTTGGGGTTCCCATAGGAGAGCACCTTTTAGTAAAGGCTGGTCTATTTATTAAGTAGGTACAAATCCCCTCTATGGGAGTAGTGTTCCAATTGTGTGGAATTTTTAATTCCTTATTGAGTTGTAAAAAAAAAAATCCCAAGGATTGACTCCATGGAGTTTTACTTCTGTGATGATAAAAATATTTAATAAGATTCCTTCCAGTGTTTCAAGGAAAGTTTTTCTCTAATTTTTTTCCAATATATAAATTTTCCTGGCTAAAGGTTATAAGAGGCTGTTGTTAAAAAGACATACTGGAATGGCAACTTTAATCTGTTGGTGATAGGAGTGAGCATAATACATGAATCTCTTTGAGGGTTCTGCCTCATCCAAATACAGTATGGCAAAGGAGTATTGGGGGTAAAATCTCTAAATGTATTTTTTCCAGCAATCAAGTCATGAGGCAATAACAGATTCATCCTTAAGGCAGAGGACCATAATGCCACAGTGCTAGTAGGAGTACATGTGGCCAAGGGAGTTCAAGGGTTCCTTAATATTGTGACAATTTTGATATAAGTATACATTAGTAGAGACAGGGTTTCAACATGTTGGTCAGGCTGGTCTCAAACTCCTGACCACATGAACCGCCTGCCTCAGCCTCCCAAAGTGCTGAGATTACAGGCATGAGACACCATGTCCAGCTGGTCCATTTATTTTCTTCTGCATGTGCATACCCATAAACTTATGTGGAAGATTGTAGGAGGTTATAACAGTGTCGTACTTTAGTATCAGCCGTGTCTTACAGAGTCATTTTATAATAGTTCCTTTCATGGGTGTGCTTCACTCAGTTCATGCAAAACCTGGCAGGTCACAGGCTAAAAACACAAAATGCAGAAGCTTTTAATCAACTGAAAGGGCTGTAGCCTTTTGTCAAAGAATTATTTCAAGACACAGAGATCACAGATAGATGATAAATAAAATATATTCACATCCCCTTAAGGGTGGGAACTGAGGAAAGTTTACCTAAATATGTCCAAAGGGCCCTGTGGCTCAATTCTGTCTAGGTCCCAATGTAAGGATTCTCCCAGGATTTTGTGGCTAGCTTGTCACACCTCATCAATAATTAACCTCTGCTGATTCCTCAAGGTGTTTATTTAATTGGATAACCAATTTGTCTATAAATTGTAGAGTTGAAATAAAAAAATTCATTTGTAATAATCTGGCACAAATTATCTAAGCAAAGTCGATAACTAGATATTTTTCATTCATTTTTATTTAAAACCAGGGGCTAACCATTGATATTTTTAAATAACATCTGTGACTCTCTCAGCAGTTTTCTCTTCTGAGGATATAACCTGGTGTGGCAGTTTTCTTAGCTTCAGTGTTACTTACCTCTTTTTGCATTGAATTCCACCTTTATATTTGCCAGGAATCTGGGATAAAGGAGTGCTTCTAAGAACTCCCTACCTTGCCCATGTTGGGGGCTGTTCCAGAATATGTGAGATGCTCTATTGTTTACAAAGCATCCCAGAGCCATGCACTGCTCTAAAACATGTTTATTTCCTGGTTTGACAAATTGGAATTTCTAATAAATGCAATCACTTCTGCCATCTGGGCTGATTTTACATCAGGTAGAAGACTGTATTCTAAGGAAACACATTAGTAACAGCAATTTTAGTCAAAAACCTAGAGTTTTATTATTGAGGCATGATTCATAAAATTATATTAGGCTGAGGTTCTCAGTGGCGGTGTCTAAACCTCTTGGGTGTACAGGGTCTTCCCTACTAACATGAAGCATTTATGAGCACGGTCATAGTTTCCAGCCATGCTTCTCCCTGTCTCCCTATCACCACAAACTAACTATGACCTCACCTGCAACCTGGGTTAATTTCCAAATAAGTTATTTTTTAATCTTTATGCCTCTAGATGATTATGTGAGGCTATTTCAGTAGAAAGTTAAAAATAACATTTGAACTGACTAACCAACACAGAAAATCACTGATAAAATGCAAAGCCTGGACGTCAGAGGCTCCAGGCCGATAATGCAACAGTATGCAGGCAGTTTCTTCACCCAGTTCTGCACTGACACACCCAGCATGTCAGCTTCATGCCTCATTTGACTCCAATTATGTAGAGACATGGCAAGGACATTCTCAAGGGTCACACACAGATATGAAAATTGGTGGGAGCAGGGGATGAGACGACTCTGCAATTCTCCTCTGAAGGACCAAAACAGCCTGGACAGACCTGGGCGTGGTGGTTCACGCCTGTCGTCCCAGCACTTTGGGAGGCCGAGGGGGGCGGATCACCTGAGGACAGGAGTTTGACACCAGCCTGACCAACATAGAGAAACCCCGTCTCTACTAAAAATACAAAAATTACCCAGGCGTGGTGGCAGCGCCTGTAGTCCCAGCTACTCGGGAGGCTGAGGCAGGAAAATGGCGCGAACCCAGGAGGCGGAGTTTGCAGTGAGTGGAGATGGCGCCACTGCACTCCAGCCTGGGCGACAGAGCGAAACTCCCTCTCAAAAAAAAAAAAAAAAAAAAGAAAGAAAGAAAGAGAAAAAAAAAGAAATTACAAAAAATTAGCTGGACGTGGTGGTGGGCGACTGTGTTCCCAGCTACTTGGGAGGCTGAGGCAGGAGAATCGCTTGAACCCGGGAGGCGGTGGTAGAAGTGAGCCGAGATCGCGTCTTTGCACTGCAGCCCGGGTGACAGAGCAAGACTCCCGTCAAAAAAAAAAAAAAAGAGACATGCAAAGGGCAATAGATCATACATAGATAGATAGATAGCTATATGAGTATATACATACACATATTGCTAGAAATCACTAATATTCAGGAAAATGCGAATTCACAATGAGGTGTCTTTTCACCCTTCATCTCTGCTAGAAAGGCTGTTGTCTGAAAGACAAGTAAATAAATAAATAAATATCAAAAGCTGGCCAGGATGCCTAGAAAGGAAAACTCCTATAGACCACTGGAGGAAATGTGAATTAGTACAGCCATCAAGGGAAAAAAAATGGAACTACCATATAATCCAGCAATCCAACTGCTGAGTATATATCTATTTAAATAATTAAAAGAAAAAACTAATATTGAAGAGATACATATACACCCATGTTTACTGCAGCACTAATCACAATAGCTAAGATATGAAATCAACGTATGCGTCCATCAACAGTTGAATGGATAAATAAAATGTGGTATATTTACACAATGGAATATTATTCAGATTTATCAATGAAATTCTGTCACTTGAAGCAACATGCATGGAACTGGACACCATTTTGTTGAGTGAAACAAGCCAGACACAGACAAATAAATACGGCATTTCTCAGTGTTCTATGGAAATTTTTAAAAAGTTGATCTTCCAGAAGTAAATAGTAGAGTAGTGGTTATGAGAGGCTGGGAATGGGTGGAGACTGAGAGATAAGAAGAGGTTTGTTAACAATGCACAATTACAAGTAGACAGGAGGGATGTGCTGTAGTGTCCTACAGTGCAGTAGGGTGACTACAGTTAACAATATATTGTACATTTTCTGTTTACAAGTAACCAGAAGACAGAAGTTTGTATGCTACTAACAAGTTAATGTTAGTGTCTGAGCTGATTAATTTGCTCACTGTTCTGATTTTGGTCATACCTCACGGCACACATGTATTGAAATGTCACAATGTACTCCATAAGTATAAACAGTTATTATGTGCCAACTTTAAAAAATCCTTTAATTAAAAAGAATTATATTGGTGTACATTACAAATGATTCAACACAGAGACAGGAATAAATACCATTTTTCTTTGAAATAGTGAATTAACTAACAATGCAGTTACATTCATTTGCACCAAACTGTGTATTTGATCATGGTAAGCATAGACAGAATTATGCATAGAATAATATGTTTTAATTTTAGACTAGTACTTATTACTATAAATGTAAATAATTTTAAAACAGCTAAGTAAAAATAATAAAGTTGAGGAAATGTGTGTGTGGTGTATGATGTGTGAGCTTTTTCTTGTGCACCACTGTGTCCAGGGTGGATGTGTGGTGTGTGTCTGTGTCTGTTTGTGTTTACTCTGCTTGGGGTTCTCTGTGATTCTAGGATCTGGACTTCAGTGTCTTTCACAAAATGGGGAAAATTCTTAGCCATTATTTTTTCAATTACTTTCCCTGTATTTATAATTTCTCCTCAGATTTAAAATATAAATATACTATAATTTTGATATTAATGTTTAATTTCTTTCTTCACTTCCTTTTCTTTGCAATTTACTTTGTGAAATTTCTAGTGACATTTTAAGCACATGGTTTCATTTAAAAGCTGAGCCAGCTCTACTGAGGGGTGTGCCCAAAGCTTGATCAATGTTTATACTGCAGTGCTTTTGATTTCTTATGCATTTCCATTTGATTTCTTCTTAGTATTTTCATATTTCAGTTACCTATTTAGTCCTGCATTATGTCCACAGTTGCTTCAAGAGATTGTTGCATATGAATTAGAGTTACTTTACATATCTTGTTTAATTAGTTATAATATCTGTATCATTTACAAATCTCATGCTGATCTCTTTTATTATGACTTTGATATTTCTCATTAATTTATGTAATAATTGTGGATAGTCACACATGTTGGGAGGGACAGTTGGTATTGGTTTATTATTTCTTTCTTTTTTTTTTTTTTGAAACGGAGTCTTGCTCTGTCGCCGAGGCTGGAGTGCAGTGGTGCGATCTCAGCTCACTGCAAGCTCCGCATCCCAGGTTCACGCCATTCTCCTGCCGCAGCCTCCGGAGTAGCTGGGACTACAGGTGCCTGCCACCATGCCCAGCTAAGTTGTTGTATTTTTCGTAGAGACGGGGTTTCACCATGTTAGCCAAGATGGTCTCAATCTCCTGACCTCGTGATCCACCCGCCTCGGCCTCCCAGTGTGCTGGGATTACAGACGTGAGCCACTGCGCCCGGCCTATTATTTCATTTTATGCATTTTCTGCCTGTATTTGATCATACTTTACCTTTGCCAGGCCTTTATTGTGGAAGTGTCTGTGAATCTTCTCAAAGCTACATTTGACATTTACTTTTGCAGTGGACTTCATAGTTGAAGTCTGTTCTTCTGTGTCCACCAGAGACTTCAGATCCTCCAGTGATACCTTGTTTTTCTTTCCTGCTTGGCTTTGTCTCTTCACCTGTTCCCTCCTCCAGAGAATCATGTTCAGCTCCCTCAGGTGGATTAAAATGTTATTTAACTGAAAATTCTGAAATTGGTGGAAAGCAATAGAATAAAGGGAGATTATCTGACCTTCCCTGGGTTCATATTGTGAACATGAGTCTGGGTGTGACCTTTCCAATGTTTCTGAACTTCCTCCAAATGAGATGTTGGTCTGTGTGTTCTTGCTCTTTTCCCTGCTGTGGAGTCCTCTTGTTTTCCCCAGTTGTTCCCTCCCACAGCTCCAATGTTCTCTTTTGGTGTTATCACCTTCCAGATTTGCTGACTTGAACTGCAGATTAAGGCTGTGATTAAATAAGAAAGAGAGGGGAGGTAGTTCTCAATGGAACTTAGAAGAAGACCTCTTTTCCCATCTCAGTTCCTAAGAGGTTGCCCTGGTGCCTCTATGATACTGGTTTTAGTGGCTTTCCCTGCAGAGTAATTTCTTAATTCTCCAATGGGGATACAGAAGGTGGATCTGAATGCTTTTCAGAAGTGTGGGCACTTTTTCTCTCCTAGACAGACACATTGGGACTGAAAGATTTTTGTGACTGTCCCCATTCTGGGGAAAAGGCATTCAACAGGATAGGAAAGCTCTTCAGTATGTGGTCTCTTGGAAATTCACACTACAACACATTTACCACACTTGACTTCAAAGCAATCCAATATATAAGTGTGTTTTTATCTTATAACAGCCTACATTTTATGACATATGCTGCCTCAGTTCAACTCATACCCCAGCTTTGTTATTCTCAACAAAAACTTGCCTGTCCCTAGATTTCACATTTGATGTTTACCTTAAAACTTCAAGTATCTAAAGTTTTATAAGAATAAATTGGCCGGTTGCAGTGGTTCACACCTGTAATCCCAAAGCTTTGGGAGGCCGAGGTGAGTGGATCACCTGAGGTTATGAGTTTGAGACCAGCCTGGCCAACATGGTAAAACCTTTCTCTACTAAAAATACAAAAATATTAGCCAAGCATGGTGGCAGGAACCTGTAATCCCAGCTACTAAGGAGGCTGAGACTGGAGAATCACTTGAACCCAGGAGGCAGAGTTTGCAAGTCGTGCCATTGTACTCCAGCCTGGGTGACAGAGTGAGACTCAGTCTCAAAAAAAATTGCAAAATTCCAGCTTCTTTATGTGTTATTGTTGATATTGTTGTTGAAAAAAATAAGTAAAATATATTACTCATCTATGTCCATTTCCAAGCTGTGCAGAAGATTTTTTAGTAAGACCCAGAGTAATAAAAGAAAGCAAATATTGTTAAGCTGTTCAACAGAAAAACAAATTATGTGTTCGGTGGAATACTATCCATCATTTATAATAAATTAATGCCTGATACACAGAACAACAAGGTAAAAAATCTAAGTATTTATGTTGAGTAAAATAAGCCAAATAAAAATATATACTCTGTTATTTCATTTTTATAAATTTTGATAAAAATGCATCTAAAGTAATATAATGAAGATCAGTACTTGCCTGGGGAAATGGTAGAAGAAGGGAAGGGGAGAGGAGGAGGAATATAGCAGAACAGGAGGAAATGTTGAGAAAAATTCACTAGTCCACTTTCTTGATAATGATGAGAGTTACATCATGTTTATTAATTGTACATTTTAAATGTGTGAAGTATATTACCTTTCAATTAAGCCTCATAAAATGTATTACAAGCAAACAAACAGAAACTTAGACAAGGAAGGAGTAAAACTTTGACAAGAAAGATAGAAAAAATAAGTTAAATGTCAGAAGTACCTGAAAATTAATGTGTCTGGACCCTAGTTCTCTCCATATTTTCAGGCGAGTGCTGGAGTGCAGCAAAACCACATGTGCTCTTATTACGGAAAGCGGGTTCTAATAAAAACACTAGACACATCCAGCTTTGTCCTGGAGTTGGTTTAGGGAGCAATCAGGACCTGTGATGAGGAACACAGGGCGAGTTACTGGGGTTCACTCATCCCAGACATGAGCTCCTAGATGTACGCAGAGCCCCCTTCACATGTGGGTTTACTTCTGCATCCATAAATGAGAAAATATTGACTCTACAGAACATAGCTTACACGAATATTTAAAAATGAAATAGGGTGATCCTGGCAAAGTGTTTATCACAGCACAATTTCATAAGACAGCGTATTTTCCAAATACCATCATTCTCAGCAAACTTCTGCAGGGCACCATTGCCTTATCTGGGTACAGCCTACTCCTCAAGGGTCCCACCCTAGATCTTGTTATATAGTAGGAGACATGCAAATAGGGCCCTCCAGGGCAGGTGCAGGTGCTGCTAAGGGTTTTCAATTCTGTACTAACATCTGATGTCTCTAAATGCAAACCTTTTCTTCCTTTTTGTTTCGGTTTTTTTGTTTGTTTGTTTGTTTACAGTAGGACACATCCTCACCTCCACAGAACCCGCAGTGTCACTTTGGGGGCAGAAATAATTATTTCGTGGTCAACAGGATGAAAGTCCTGAGGATGCTCAGGGGAACCTGGAGAGTGTTTTCCAGTTAGACTCAGGGCAGAGACCTCCATGGGAATCTCTGATTAGAACAGGCTTTGAGTTCTGATAGGAGCTAAGAGAGAGGCTCACCCAGGGTCAGGGTCCTTAAAACCACATGGTTTTCACAGCTATCCCCCCTCGTCTTGTAAAACTGGGCACGTCTGACTCAGACTGATTCAGTTGACCCTCTTTCTGCTAATCCATTTTCCTTCCCTGTAGACTTGATTCTCACAATTCCCTTTCTTCTTCTCTGCCCTGAAAACTGAGTATGTGTTATCTGTAGTCAAAATCCCAGGGCTCAGGTCTGCAGGACCTGGGTAGTCTGAGGGGACTTTCTCACTCACCCTTGCCTGGACTCTCCTGCTGTCCTCTGTCAACGGAGATGTTTGGAAAACGAAACGGACCTTAATCACAAAGGGAATAATCCTAGTTTTCTCCAATGGGATATTGATGTAGAGCTGATCTTATGCTTTTCACACTGTCACAGAGTTTGGACTGTCACCTGTGACTTTGAGGAGAGCTGATGATGGACACTCCATCGTGCTGTGAGCTCTGGATAGTAGTAATTGTAGGGTCTGGCTAGGCAGCCTAAGATCAATACTGCTGGCCTTCAGGAAAGACAGGCTGGAATTCCTGGGAAGACCTGCATCTGCCGTACAGCTTGGAGTCCCATCGTCTTCTGTTATGCTCTGATTGAATCAGCCCCACCTCGATTATTTAGAACAATCTTCGTGACTTAGGAAAAGATAATGGCAGGCTCTACTAACGCCTGTATTATGCCATGGGAGCAACACCTAGGTTAGTGTGTGATTTAGTAGATGAGACAGTGGTCTAGTCAAGGTGACAAATAAAATTGATTGTTGCCATTATGATATTTTATTTTGGCAATATTATGATATTTGGCAATATAATGATGTTCATATTATAAATATTTCACTACATTATTTGTGTCAGAGGCTTTGGAACCAGAACAACTTCATCTTGAATAAAGGCTAAGAAAAATAAGACTGAGACCTGCTGGGCTACATTACCAGTAAGCTAAGGCGTTCTTAGTCACAGGATGAGAAAGGAGGTCTGCACAACATCCAGGTCATAAAGACCTTGCTGATGAAGTTTACAGTAAAGATGCGGCCAAAGCCCACCAAAACCAAGACAGTGACAAAAGTGACCGCTGTTTGTCCTCACTGCTAATTTTATGCTAATTATAATAATATGCTAAAAGACACTCCCCCCAGCGCCATGACAGTTTACAAATGCCATGGCAACATCAGGAAGTTTCCCTAGTTGGTCTAAAAGGGAGAAATACTCAGCTTTGGTAACTTCTGGGGGATTCATGAATAATCCATCCCTTGTTTAACATATAATCAAGAAATAACCATGAAAATGGACAACCAGCAGCCCATATTGCTGCTGTGCCTGTGGAGTAGCCATTCTTTATTCTTTTACTTTCCTAATAAACTCGCTTTCATTTTACTCTGTGGATTTGTCCCAAATTGGGATCCCTTTCCAGTAACATTTGTGTTATTATTCATTTTCTAAGCAGAAAACTCCAAGACGGTATGAAGTTTCCCTGAATTTTTATAAGAAGTACATCCACCCCTTTGAGAGAAAATGCACAGAGAGTAGAATGAGGCTGGGAAGCTGATCGTATATGATGGAAGCATGTCCCTAAGTGAAAGAGAGAGGGAGGGTGGATTGGGTGGAAGGTTCCTATATTTCTGTGCTGTGCAAGGAATCTGCAAAATATAATTGAGTCTTGTGCAAGTCAGTGCTACCTCTCAGAGGAAACCCATGACTCCCAGAAATGGCTCTGCTTATGAATCATTACAAATGTAATTGCCAATGCGGAAAGTGGTGTCTGGTGAGAGGTATTGGGTACGTGAAGTCATGAATGACTTTATGCAACACACTTGGTGACAATTGAGTTTGTGCTAACTTACTTCAAGTTAAATCTAGTTCTTTAAAATACTTTAGGACTTTCCTCATCTCTTCTCTTGTACCTGCTCTAACTATGTAATATATCTGCTGCCCCTTTGCCTTCTTCCATGATTGTAAGCTTTCTGAGGTCCTCACCAAGAGCAGATGCTGGCATCATGCTTCCTGCATAGCATGACCATTTGGAGTTTGATGGCCTGAGGGTGAGAAGAGACAAACCGGGTTATTAGAAGACATGTATCAAAACCAAACAAGGTGGCGAGGACAGCTTGAAAACAAATTCCAAGGCTGCTGACATGCCCAGATAACTGTGGCTGTAGTTATGCCTGCTAAGATTTGGGTGCATGGGGCTTGGCTTTTGTAGCTCCCATGGACTTATTTTCTCAAACAAAGAAACCTCTGGATTAGGGGCACCCTATTTATTCCAGTCACCTGGCATGATTTGCAGGATAATTGCTCAGAACTAAAATGTTGATGCAGATGTCTATATTCCCCCTCCCTTTGTTTCTTCTGAGCTGCAGCCAGAGATCATTGGTTGGTTCACAGGAATAAGCAGAGTTAGTCTAAAATGGAGGCAAATACTTAAAACAATTGAAGAGATTAGAATTTAAAGACAAGTGTATGATATGTTTTGAAACATAATTTTTCTCTCTCCAGTTCTGATTTTTGTCAGAATGTAATCATTATACGTCTGAATTGTTTGCAAAATAAACTTTGCTCTCATGGTTGGCCTGATAATTAGCATAAAGTTCAGAAAGAATAATTAATAATAATTCTGTAGGAAAAGCCTGCAAGCACTAGGAGCTTCACAGTCTAACAGTATGAGCACATGCATCCTCCAGCAACTTACTCAATATTTCCAAGTCAGCCTGCTCCTATCTTGAATACCATCCAGTAATATCTGCCTCAGGTACACTAATATATGGTTCTCTCTGCAGGCTCCTCTCTCCTCAGATTTCAGGGGTTTTTTTCCTCTATGATATCAACTCAGATATGTTGAATGTTTTTTCTTTATTTTCAGTTTTGTACGTTTGTTGTTAATGGGGTCAGGATAGTATCTTTTTTTTTTTGAGACGGAGTCTCACTCTGTCACCCAGGCTGGAGTGCAGTGGCGCAATCTCGGCTCACTGCAAGCCCCGCCTCCTGGGTTCACGCCATTCTCCCGCCTCAGTCTCCTGAGTAGCTGGGACTACAGGCGACTGCCACCACGTCCGGCGAATTTTTTGTATTTTTAGTGGAGATGGGGTTTCACCATTCACAGGATGGTCTCGATCTCGAGGTCAGGATAGTATCACAGTTTACTCATTTTTTGCATTCCCTTGCCGAGTAGCTGCTTTTCTCTATAAAATCCATTAACTGAGATAACAAATCACCTTTTGTTACTGGTGAACAATTAGTTTGGCATATATTTATGTACTGGAATATAATGCAGCTTGAAATCAAGGCATGCCTCACTCATAAAAAAGCGTGGCTAAATTCTCAAGTTATTGTGCAGAGTGAAAGAAGCTAAGGAATTAAGAGTAAATTTTATATAATTCATATGTAGAAACTTTAGAAGATGCCACTATTAAAAATTAACATGAATAACATTTAAATTTTTCTGAGAATATGGTTTTGTGAATAATGAGGATGTGAGTTAAATTTGAGAGGAATAAGAAAAGATTTAGGGATTATTCAAGACGATTGAAGTGCTGAGTGAATGGTTGCAAACATAGGTCTACATTTTTCAAATCATTCACTATAAATTTGAATTAACTATTTATTTATTATACTTGAATAAATCAATAACATAAATAAATGAATATTTTTGTTAAAATGGAGCAATAAAAAGACTGATATTGGCAGAAGAAACATGACTGACTTCTGAAAATACACACACATGAACCTTGGTTCTCTCTGCATATTTGGGTAAATTACAGAAAGTTGTCATAACAGATAGGGAATCCTGCAGACTTCACTAGGCATGGGCCACACTGCCCTGGAGTTGTCTCAGGGGAGCTGCCTCCTCCAGTGTTTAGAGCACAGGCCCAGATAATAGGACTAAATTTGTTTAGATGTATAAACTTAGATGCACTGCACAACTGCTGTATTCTCTATGTAAATTATATTCTGTAAAATATAACATTGAAAGCTGCATTAAATATATTGTGTAAATATGTAAAAATAAAATCAGATTATGAGAGCTAAATGTTAATCAAGGCACAATCACATAATATAAAATTATATTTTCCTGAATGATGGAATTACTACCAATCTCCCCCAGGACACTTCATCTGCACGGAGCCTGGCCCTCTCTTCAGATGTCCCACCCCAGAGCTTGCTATATAGTGGGGGACATGGAAATAGGGGCCTCCCTCTGCTGATGAAAACCAGCCCAGCCCTGACCCTGCAGCTCTGGGAGAGGAGCCCCAGCACTGGGATTCCGAGGCTTTCTATTCGGTGATCAGCACTGAACACAGAGGACTCACCATGGAGTTTGAGCTCAGCTGGGTTTTCCTTGTTGCTATTTTACAAGGTGATTCATGGAGAACTAAAGAGATTGAGTGTGAGTGAACATGAGTGAGAGAAACACTGGATATGTGTGGGAGTTTCTGACCAGTGTCTCTGTGTTTGCAGGTGTCCACTGTGAGGTGCAGCTGGTAGAGTCTGGGAGAGGCTTGGCCCAGCCTGGGGGGTACCTAAAACTCTCCGGTGCAGCCTCTGGATTCACCGTCGGTAGCTGGTACATGAGCTGGATCCACCAGGCTCCAGGGAAGGGTCTGGAGTGGGTCTCATACATTAGTAGTAGTGGTTGTAGCACAAACTACGCAGACTCTGTGAAGGGCAGATTCACCATCTCCACAGACAACTCAAAGAACACGCTCTACCTGCAAATGAACAGCCTGAGAGTGGAGGACACGGCCGTGTATTACTGTGCAAGAGACACAGTGAGGGGAGGTCATTGTGCGCCCAGACACAAATCTCCCTGCAGGAACACAGGGTGGAATCAGCTGCAGGGGGCGCTCAGGAGCCACTAATCAGAGTCAGCCCCGGAGGCAGGTGCAGATGGAGGCTGATTTCCTGTCAGGATGTGGGACTTTCTCTACTTCTTAGTTTCGCCAGGGAACCTCTCTAAGTTTAGAATTCTTTGCCTAACAATGTCTTCGCTAAGTATTTGAAGGAGATTATTTTAATATGAAGAGCTATTTTCACATGCACAAAATGCAGATTGATGCTTACAGGGATGAAAAGTCCATCAATGATAGACTGGATTAAGAAAATGTGGCACATATACACCATGGAATACTATGCAGTCATAAAAATTGATGAGTTCGTGTCCTTTGTAGGGACATGGATAAAGCTGGAAACCATCATTCTCAGCAAACTATCACAAGGACAAAAAACCAAACACCGCATGTTCTCACTCACAGGTAGGAATTGAACAATGAGAACACATGGACACAGGAAGGGGAACACACCAGGGCCTGTTGTGGGGTGTGGGGAGAGGGGAGGGATAGCGTTAGGAGATATACCTAATGTAAATGATGAGTTAATGGGTGCAGCACACCAACATGGCACATGTATACATATGTAACAAACCTGCACATTGTGCACATGTACACTAGAACTTAAAGTATAATAAAATATATATATATTATATATATATATATATATATATATATATATATATAAAGTCCTCAAACATGGTCACCACGATCAGAGCCCTGAGTAAGCTCAGGGTTTCCTGATGAGTCTTCTCCAATCAGACCCAGGACAGGGACCTCAGTGAGCCTCCATGACTGGAACAGTCTTTACAGATCCTGATCACAGACGATAGAGGCTGGGCCAGGGTCAGTGTCATGTAGAACCTCACAGGTTTCACGTCTGATCCTTCTTCTGACACTAAATATGCAAATCAGCATCAACACTGATCTGGTGCTTCTTTTGTTCCTAATCCATTTACTTCCTTTTTCAGTCGTTGTTCTCATTTTTCCGTTTGCTTTTCCTGCTTTCTGGAAAAGGAAGATGTTTCCCTGTGGTCAAAATTCCAGGCCTCAAGCCCTTTCCTGGCGCTCAGGTGGGTCTCAGGCTGTGGCTGCTGCAGTCACGCGGGAGAGGCTGGTGGGACTTTCTTCACTCCTCGTCACTCAGGACCCTCCACTGTGTTGCATGGAGACTTATCTGGAAATGCAAGTTGCCGGTGGGAACTGAAGGGGCCAAGCTTGTTTGGTTAATGTGGGATGTGGATGTGGAGCTAATCCTGTTCTCAGAAACCTTCACAGAGTAACTTTCTTCACTAGCGGTGTGAGGAAGAGGGTGTGAAAGTTGTCAGAATCAAAATAGAACAACTTGAGTTATAAACTTTACAGGTGAAGCTGGAGAAGGTCATGAACAGAGGGTTCTCATGCACACATCCTTGATAACAAGAAGTACCATAAAAATACTCTGCACAGCCGGGTGTGGTGGCTCACACCTGTAATCCCAGCACTTTGGGAGGCCAAGGTGGGCAGATCACCTGAGGTCAGGAGTTGGAGACCAGTCTGGCCAAGACGGTGAAACCCCGTCTCTACTAAAAAATACAAAAAACAAAAAATAGCCTGGCATGGTGGTGTATGCCTGTAGTCCCAGCTACTTGGGAGGCTGAGGCAGGAGAGTCGCTTGAACCCCGGAGGCAGAGGTTGCAGTGAGCCAAGATTGTGCCACTGCAGTCCAGCCTGAGTGACAGAGTGACACTCTCACACACATGCACGCACACACACACACACAAATTATCTGCACAACTACAACCTTGAACAAAGGCTAAGGCTACCACAACAATAAGAGAATTAATACTGTGGGGATATCTGCCCTGCCACTCCCTGTCCAACCTTAAACTTATTCTACCCTTGTTATTGATTCTTCTACCCCCGGATAGTTGTCTCAAAACAGCTCATGTAAGCCTCCTCATTTATCCTTTAAAACACTTGTCTTCCTCTATCTACCTAAATGTGCCCATGCATATTCCCATTACAATGCTCATTTTCAACTAAATATTATTTGATTTTGGAGAATCTCTTTCTCTCTGATATTCAGGTGTGACAAGGTGCAGAGGGACATGCCACTTTCCTGTGAGATGTAGGGGATGACAATTTTGGGGGATGGCTGGAAACCTCCAATATCCTCAGGGCTGGCCATCAGTAAGTGCAGGCTGGAAGTCTCAGAAAGAGCTGAAGCTGCTTAATCACCCTGGAGTTTTACCTTCTCCAGATCTGCTCTGTTGGATTCAGGGCTAAGCTGGTTATCCATGATAATCTACCTAACATAGAGTCAACTGGTTACAGTTTTAATAATGTCTATTGAAAAATTCACACCACCACCCGGATTAGTGTTTTGTCAAATCAATACAAATTATTGTCCAGCCAAGTACACCATATGACAGATCATTAGCCATGGAGGAAAACATTTAACCTGAGTTCTAGGTTCTTATACTGTTAAAGGTGTAAAACCAATTATTTTAAAATCAGGCTATTTTTATTTTTGCTATTGAGTTATGGAAGTTTTATTTATATATTGGATATAAACACTTTTTCAGATACATGGTATATTATCCAATTCTGTAAGTTGGAATTATTTCGTTGCTTTGCAGAATCTTTTGTAAATTCTGGTCCCACTTGTTCAATTCTGCTTTTTTTGTACGTGCTTTGAATGTAAAATCCAGAAAAAGATTGCTAATTTTTTCAGGGGTGGGAGTTTTATAATTACACATATTACATTTAAATATTTAATGCATTTAGAGTTAATTTTTGTGTTTATTCTATCCTAAAATTCTTAATTCTTTGCATGTGAAAATCCAGTTTTCATAACATGCTCTTTGGAAGACACTATAATTTAGACATTGTATATCACTGGTTCTCATGCTGAAAATCAGCTGGCCATCAATATGTGGGTTTATATCTAAGCTCTCTGTATGCATTTATGCCAATACCATTCTGATTTATTACTCTATGTTTATAATAAATTTTCAGGCCTGGAAGTGTAATACCTCAAGCTTTATTCTTGCCTTGTTTCAGATATTAGACCAAAATATTCTAACCTTTTACTATTGAGTATAACAATAGCTGTGACTTTTCTTAATGGCTTTTATTATGTACAAGTTGTTTTGCTGTCTTCCTACTTTGTTCAGAGTTTTTATAATGAAACCCTGAATTTTTTCAAATGTTTTTTCTATGTCTGTTGAAATGCTATTGAGATATTTTTTCTTTAGTTTTTTAATGTGGTGTACCAAATTGATTGATTTGAGGAGACTGAATCATCTGTGCAACTCAGAATAAATTTGAGTTGATCATGGTGTATGGTTTTTAAAAAAACTTTAGAACTTAGTTTACTAAATTTGGAGTGGTTAATTTTTGTCTACCAATGATATTGATCTATAATTTTATTTTATTGTGGTGCCTTTGTCTATTAATGGTAATATTACTGGTAATAGTGTAATGGTAGCCTCAGAAATAGTTTGGAAGGTTGACTTTTCACAAATTTTTGAAAGAGAGAATGGTTAGCATTACTTCTTTAAATGTTAATGCTCATTTTATGATGTAACATATAACCTATCATGGAGAATGTTCAATCTGTGCTCGAGAAGAACGTGTATTACATGGCTCTTGGTTCGAAGGTTCTATAACTGTCTTTCAGGTGAATTTGTCCAATAGTGTTGTTCAAATTCAGAGGCTTAAGAATTTTCTTTCTGGATTTGCTAAACATTATTGTAAGTGAGGTATTAAGGTCTTCTCTTATGTTTATATTGTTTTCTATTTCTCTCTTTATATCTCTTAAAGTTTGCTTAATGCAGTTGTATTTGAATTTGTACACATGTGTGAAAAATAATAATTGCTAAGTGAGTTTCATGGTACAGTCACATTATAAGTAATCATATTTTCCAAGTGCTACTGTTGCCAATGAACTCCTCCAGGTGTCTCACATCTGCTCTGGGCTCTGCCCTCTCCTCAGGCATCCCACATCACAGCTTGCTACAGAAGAGAAGGCAGGAAAACAGGGCCCTCTCTCTCCGAGTGAAAATAAGCACAGACCTGACCCTGCAGCTCTGAGAGAAGACCCACAGCCCTGGGATTCCCAGGGGTTTCCATCTGGTAATCAGGACTGAACACAGAAGACTCAGTATGGGAGAAATACACGAAATATTTGTTCTCAGACATGAGACACCCACAGAGGGCCCCCTGTGTCCTTCCCTGAGAACTGATCAGCTCTTGCATCTGAAGAAATGACCAAAGACCAGGAGAGAACCATACAGAAGCATCGGAGGGACAGCACCTGGGGCTCTCATGGGGTCAGGAATAGCGTCTGTTCCCAATAGATGGACTAAGTAAAAAGTATCATAATTCTCAAGGGTTTAACATAGCACAGAAGAAAAAGTTACCCTATACCAACTGTTGATCTTGTGAACCCAGGAACTCTGAGACAGATCTCAGTTAATTTAGAAAGTTTTCTTTGCCAGGGTTGAGGACACACCTGTGACACAGCCTCAGGAAGTCCTGATGACATGTGCCCCAGGTGGTTGGGCACAGCTGGATTTGCACATTTCAGGGAGACATGAGACATCAATCAATATAAGTAAGAAGGACATTAGTTCCATCCAGAAAGGCTGAGACAACTCAAAACAAGTCCTCCCCACTCAGGGCTTCCAGGTCACAGGTAGGTGACAGACAGATGGTTGCATTCTTTTCAGTTTCTGATAAGTGTTTGCAAAGGAGGCCATGAGAATATGCATCTATCTCTGTGACCAGAGGGACAACTTTTAATAGACTGGAAGGCAGATTTGCCCTGAGTGGTTCCCAGCTTGACGGGGCCCAAGATATTTTCCTTTCACAATCTGGTAACTTCAAACAAAACTTCAAAGCCACAACAAAATGAAACAACAACAAAAAGAATAAGACATGGGTACTTATTAAGAGTAGAAAAATATTCAATCCCCAAGGAAAATATTGGCAGTATCTACCTCCACGTGACGAAGGAGTAAGCAATGTGAGCCACAGAAAGGAGCACTATTAACCCACAGAGTGACCGAGAATAACATGGGTGATGCGAGGGCATTGAACACACATCATTGTATTTTGTAGATTCAGAAAGCAACAGAAAAGATTGACAGTGGTAAAAGAGACAGAGCCCTGCTTCCCTCTCCCTTTTCCCTTCCCGATGAGCCCTCACAGCCATGACCCTCAGCCTCATCCTGCAGTGCAGCAGCTGCCATCCTGTCCAGGCCCGCCCCCTGCCCCGCCCTGGGACTGTTACCTTATTCTCTCCCGGAGTCCAGGTGCCCCAGCGTGTGGTGTGGGAGCCTGGGGAGGCCCTTTGTTCTCTGTCAGGGTCTCCCTGGGAGGGACGCAGCCACCGCAGCTGGTTGGGGCCTGGCTTTGCCGAGGACAGTCCTTTCCTTTCCCATTGTCTTTGGATGACTATCCCTGGGCTGGGACATGAGGCAGGCAGAGGCGCGGGTCACCCTTAGGGCCCCCCTCTTGCTGCTGGGGCTCTGGGTGCTCCTGACTCCAGTCCGGTGTTCTCAAGGCCATCCCTCGTGGCACTACGCATCCTCCAAGGTGGTGATTCCCAGGAAGGAGACGCACCACGGCAAAGACCTTCAGTTTCTGGGCTGGCTGTCCTACAGCCTGCATTTTGGGGGTCAAAGACACATCATTCACATGCGGAGGAAACACCTTCTTTGGCCCAGACATCTGCTGGTGACAACTCAGGATGACCAAGGAGCCTTGCAGATGGATGACCCCTACATCCCTCCAGACTGCTACTATCTCAGCTACCTGGAGGAGGTTCCTCTGTCCATGGTCACCGTGGACATGTGCTGTGGGGGCCTCAGAGGCATCATGAAGCTGGACGACCTTGCCTATGAAATCAAACCCCTCCAGGATTCCCGCAGGCTTGAACATGTTTCTCAGATAGTGGCCGAGCCCAACGCAATGGGGCCCACATTTAGAGATGGTGACAATGAGGAGACAAACCCCCTGTTCTCTGAAGCAAATGACAGCATGAATCCCAGGATATCTAATTGGCTGTATAGTTCTCATAGAGGCAATATAAAAGGCCACGTTCAATGTTCCAATTCATATTGTCGTGTAGATGACAATATTACAACTTGTTCCAAGGAGGTGGTCCAGATGTTCAGTCTCAGTGACAGCATTGTTCAAAATATTGATCTGCGGTACTATATTTATCTTTTGACCATATATAATAATTGTGACCCAGCCCCTGTGAATGACTATCGAGTTCAGAGTGCAATGTTTACCTATTTTAGAACAACCTTTTTTGATACTTTTCGTGTTCATTCACCCACACTACTTATTAAAGAGGCACCACATGAATGTAACTATGAACCACAAAGGTATAGCTTCTGTACACATTTAGGCCTATTACACATTGGTACTCTAGGCAGACATTATTTATTAGTAGCCGTCATAACAACCCAGACACTGATGAGAAGTACTGGTGAGAAGTACTGGTGATGATAACTACTGCACATGTCAGAAAAGGGCCTTCTGCATTATGCAGCAATATCCTGGGATGACAGATGCGTTCAGTAACTGTTCTTATGGACATGCACAAAATTGTTTTGTACATTCAGCCCGGTGTGTTTTCAAAACACTTGCTCCTGTGTATAATGAAACCATGACAATGGTTCGCTGTGGAAACCTCATAGCGGATGGGAGGGAGGAATGTGACTGTGGCTCCTTCAAGTAGTGTTATGCCAGTTATTGCTGCCGAAGTGACTGTCGCTTAACACCGGGGAGCATCTGTCATATAGGAGAGTGCTGTACAAACTGCAGCTACTCCCCACCAGGGACTCTCTGCAGACCTATCCAAAATATATGTGACCTTCCAGAGTACTGTCACGGGACCACCGTGACATGCCCCGCAAACTTTTATATGCAAGATGGAACCCCGTGCACTGAAGAAGGCTACTGCTATCATGGGAACTGCACTGACCGCAATGTGCTCTGCAAGGTAATCTTTGGTGTCAGTGCTGAGGAGGCTCCTGAGGTCTGCTATGACATAAATCTTGAAAGTTACCGATTTGGACATTGTACTCGACGACAAACAGCTCTCAACAACCAGGCTTGTGCAGGAATAGATAAGTTTTGTGGAAGACTGCAGTGTACCAGTGTGACCCATCTTCCCCGGCTGCAGGAACATGTTTCATTCCATCACTCAGTGACAGGAGGATTTCAGTGTTTTGGACTGGATGACCACCGTGCAACAGACACAACTGATGTTGGGTGTGTGATAGATGGCACTCCTTGTGTTCATGGAAACTTCTGTAATAACACCAGGTGCAATGCGACTATCACTTCACTGGGCTATGACTGTCGCCCTGAGAAGTGCAGTCATAGAGGGGTGTGCAACAACAGAAGGAACTGCCATTGCCATATAGGCTGGGATCCTCCACTGTGCCTAAGAAGAGGTGCTGGTGGGAGTGTCGACAGCGGGCCACCTCCAAAAATAACACGTTCGGTCAAACAAAGCCAACAATCAGTGATGTATCTGAGAGTGGTCTTTGGTCGTATTTACACCTTCATAATTGCACTGCTCTTTGGGATGGCCACAAATGTGTGAACTATCAGGACCACCACTGTTAAGGGATGGACAGTTACTAACCCTGAATAAGACTAATTCAGCCTCCTGATCCCTGTAAAGATACAGAGACTATAACAGCAAAATCTATGGAACAGCATCAAAGGAAGGGATGGCAAAGCTCAAGTCCACATTTCTTGAAGTCCACAGGAGGCACAGGGTCCTGTCTCACATCATGGGGGAAACGGGAGGTACTGGCTTCTGTCCAGGTTCTTGTAGGTCACTGATGCTCGCTCTGAAATAAATCTTCAAAAACACATTTTGGTGCCTTCCACATTTTCTTAGACTCCCCTGGGATCCCAAACTTGGCCAGAACCTCTGGCCTGGAGAGACCTGAGTGAGCATCTGGCTCTTGATCTGAGGTTGCTGGTCCCAGAATTAATGGAAGTTGCCACCAGCTCCTTACAGGGCACATTCATGACATTTCTCTAGAAGAGAACTCCAGAGCAATGAGCTTCCTCATTCCCCAGGTAGTCTGTCCTTCTCTAAACCCGAAGTCAGTTTAGGGTGATCCAGGGCTACTCCCTGTTCCCTGTCTGTTCCTCACGGGGGTGCTGTGGGCTTTGCAGTGAGAGGAACTTGGGTTCAAATACCCCACCAAGCAAATCCCCCTACCTGGGGCCAAGCTTCCCGTATGTGGGAAAATGAATCCCTGAAGTTGATTGCTGCATGCAATGAAATTCAACTAGAAAAATAGGTAGATGTGCGGGGCAAGCTCTCTGGCATTTAGTGTGAGCTCCGTGAGTGGCAGCTGCCCCCTTCCTTCCTGCCCCCACAATTCCTTGAACTGAAATGGGAAGGAAAGCTGAGTAAGTCGTGATGAGGAAGAGAAACCAGGCTTGTAGCAGCACAGGCTGGTCCAGGTGTAAAACAGGGCTAGGTGTGTCGCTGAGTTATTGTAAAGGAAAATGGAAGTTAAATGTATAAATAACCGAATGAGATAACATTTTATTTTAAATTAAAATTCACAATAATATTGACTTTTAAAATGCAGTGTAGGTATGTCACAGAGAATTTCAAAGGCAAAGCCCACCAACGGAAGAAATCACCCTTCTCATACCATCCACAGAAAACCGCTCATATTCTAGGGTAGTACTGAGATCTAGCATTTTTCTGAATACATCTGTGGTTCTAGATGTTCTGCTTCCATAGATATTGTTTAGAATTCCCACCCCTTTCTCCAAACACAGCTTGATATCCTTTCTCTGAACCTGCTTAGAAATTTCCTCCATTCAGCTGTCATAAAGATGTGAGCAATCCATTCCTGTGCCTCTCTCAGTGTATTCTATTATTTTGTGGGTGAACGCTAATGGACAGTGAGTGTGAGGTCAGTGAATACAGCCCTCCACCTGTGTGTCCTTCGGGTGTGAGGGGTTTTGCTGATAGAGCAGCAGGCCCCGTCCCACCCTTTATGCATCTCTGCCCCCCACCTCGTGCTCCAGCTGACCTCTCCCCTGTGGCATGGGGGGTTCCCTGGGGGAATGACCTCCCCTCTCTCCAGGGCCCACCCACTCAGTGCCCATGCAAGACCACCGTGCTTGGCACAGCCCCACCTTGTGTCAGGGCCTGTGTCTCCTGCCCCACCCCCTAAACAGATGGGAACCGCTGAGACACTGCTCAGGGCAGGGGGCGGAGGTATGTGCAGAAGGAAGGCAAATGTGCACTCTGTTGGAGAAATATTATAGGTAGTTTGAGCAAAAAATCTAATGCCATGTGAACTTTTAGAATGATACATATTTTAACAAAGATTGCGACCAATAGAGTTCATATTGAAGTCAGGTAAACACTATTTAGAGCAACAACAATATCAAAAACACAAGCCAACAGTTCACCAAGAGAAACCACCATTAACCCCATGGAAATGGTCTTTCAAGAACATCAGCACTTAAATCCTCCAAATCTGCCTGCCTCAGCACCTGTTGTCTTGAACTGTCCTTCTGTGTGTTCTAATCACTCCTAAACATGGGGCCTGCACTGTGGGAGATCCAAGCTGTGCCAGGTGGAGGGAGCAGGACAACTGTTACCAGGTTGTTTGTGTGGATGCCGAGGCCACCCGAGCAGGTGTAAACTCCCACCTGTGGGCCAGAGAAGAGAGCACAGGAGACATGTCCTGGGCATAGGGTGAGGGAGAGCTGTGGGGGCTCTGGGTTCTGAGGAGGGTTCTGGCCTGGCAGGGACAAGACCAACCAGCACGTGAGGCCAGGCTGGAGTCTGGACCTCTGAGGCTGCAAGGGTCATGGGCTGCTTGGCCCAAGGGGCTGTCCTGGTTCTCTAAGGAGTAATTTCAAACATTCCTTCTTCCTCCCATCCCTCTCCTTCTCTCTTTCTGGGGTGGGTCCACTCCCAGAGCCTGCAACTCCCAAATCCTCTTTGATGGGTCCTCGGCTTCACTCTGCATCCGTCCTGAGCATCGATCTTCCAATTCCATCCTCTTCTCCTCTGCTGTGTCTAAGCTGCTGTGAAGCCACCTGCTGTAATTTACTGTTTTATATTTAATATTGTAGCATACATCTGTTCTGTTTCCTTCATCATAAATGCTTCATTTCATGCTCAGCATCTGAGAACACAAGGCCTTGTCAGCTGTCACCTCCTTCCATTCTCTGTTTCCTTCCTCCTATCCCCATGTTTGCTCATCATGTCCAGTCTCCTGCCATCCTGAACGCTTCTGATGGAAGGTCCGAGATGTCTCATGAGCATTGTGAAAATTCTTTGTAATGTGACATTGTTCCAGGCAGGAATTCTCCCTCACCCACCCCGGAAGTCAAGTATAGGCAGATTGCCATGCTCAATCAAAGGCTGAGCTAACTTAACAGTGGCTTTGGTTTTAAGGTTTGTCCAATCCCCAGGGCACAGGATTTCAGGAAGTTCAGGTGACAGTCTGGGTGTTACCCTTCAGGAGGTTGTAAAGTCCATTTCACCTAGTCTATACCACAGACTATGGAAACTATATATATATATATATATATATATATATATATATATATATAGTGCTGTCCCTCTAGAGAACCCTAATATGTATATATAATATATATAACATGCCCTGTCATTAAGATCAATGGGAAACTACAACAGTATATATATATATATATATATATATATATATATAATATATAAAATATATATATAATATAGATAATATATACTATATATAATAGTATATATACTATATATAATATATTATTTATGTATTATATACATTATATTATATTATATATGTATTATATACATTATATTATAATATTATATATGTATTATATAATATATTAATACCTTGCTAATCGTAGGTTATGGAAAGATTGCGTTTCTGTTTTAAGGCTCTGTTAGAAATTACTGGCGCACACACTATATTGTAAATTCTTATCTCTGTGCACTGTACTTCTACATACAAATGTTATGTTAAAGAATTACTTCATCCCCATGTCACCATCTCACCTCATAATCAAATGACCCTAAATCCCTCACTAACCTACCCCCACCCTCACTAAAACTTAATAATAAATGCTGGTACATCCAGTGCATTGTTGGCACTGTGGGACCAGTAGGTGGTGACCCCCCTGGACCCAGCTTTCATTGTCTTGTGTGTGTCTATTATTTCTCAACCTGCCAATCCGCCTGGGAACAAAGAGAGAGCCCCATTGCATTGTGGGCTGCTGGCCAGATCCCGCAATACATAATTTCCTCATTTGCAAAGTTACTTAGGTCAGCAATTTCATTTTCAACTTTCTTCAGTAAAGTCATTTCAATTACACTGTATAATTTCATTTATTTGAAATTCAGTAAAAGCCCAAACTATAGCCAAGTAAACAGATAGAGGATATTCCAGGAATTTAGAGAAGTGGGTATAAAATAAGCAAAAAATATACTGTTTAAGAAGAGTAAAACTGTATTTAGTCATATGCCATGGTTGAGATATGACACAATTAATTTGTCTAAGATCATAATTTTGTGATAAAAATACAAAACCAAATATATACAATTTAAAAAAAATATTTAGCAGTTCATTAAACCTTGGATTAAATGCAGACTGTATAAAATTATCTAACAACATATTTGTGAGTGTGGGGATGTCAGGAGATGCATGAAACTAAGAATGAAATAATTTTCCTCATTTTCATATAAGATGCTTCCATTCACTAAAGATCTTTTATTTTAAAAAATCAATTTTCTACATTAGCCAGGTTTTTTATTAATGACAAGCAAATAACCCAGAAGATTATTTTCTTTCCTTGGTTGAGAAAGATTTTCCCCAAACTTCAGCTCAGTTCAGGCATATGCTGTCCCTGAATGAGCATTTACCCTCAGATGGGTACACACATCTGTCAACATATGGACCCTTCTGTCAGACAAACACACCTTTACTCATGTGGATTCTTCCCTCAGACAAACACACATGTCCTCACATGAACTCTTTCCTCAGACTACCACATATGTCCTTACATTTACTCTTTCCTCAGAAAAAAGACATTTTCTAATGTGGACTCCTGTCTCAAACAATCAGATATGTCTCCATGAGAACTCTTCACTCAGATACGTACATGCATTTCCACATTTTTTCCTTACACAAGTACATATATCTAATGTTGAACTGTTTGCTGCAAAATGATCTCAAGATAATGAAAATTATAAACCCCAACCCTGAAATGCATTTTTTGCATTGTAATTATAATTTTGCATTGTAATTTAACTTTGCCTTATTGTCAAGAACAGTGGTTTGCAGCTCCAAAAGCACTGATTACTGACAGATGTCCATTTTCTCTGGAAATGTATTCCTCATGTTCTTACTGGACTTATTTGTTGATAATGTTTGCAACTATGAAGATTCCTCAGCAGTGCCCACATTAGAGAATAAGAAAGAGTAATGGGCAGATTAACCCTGTGCATCCAGACCCGGGCATACTTTGACCTTGGCCTCCCTAAAATGCAGACCAGAGGATGGATGAGCAATGCTGAGTTGTGCACACATGACCACAAAAAGACGTGGAAATGTGTCTCCTCCCCTCCTCATGAAAGGCAGCTCATCCCCGTTCTTTCAGGCCTGGTGAGGAGCCACCCCATGTATGTTCCCTTCCTCAGTGTCCACACCATGAGGTCTGGATCTGGGATTCCCTTCTCATCACCCTCAATATTATGGTCCCTTGTGAATCAGGTCCAGCTGTGGCTGCTCCTCATGGGCTCTTCTCAGTTGGCTTCCTCTGTGTTTGCAGAAGTCCTGAGTGAAGTTCACTGGTGGAGTCAGAGGGAAAATGGTTTGCCCAGGGTTTCTCTGAGACTCTCCTGCAAAGCCTCTGGATTCACCTTTACTGACTAAAGCATGAGCTTGGTCCAGCAGATTTCATGACAGGGATTGGTGTGGGTGGCAACAGTGAGTGAACAAGTGGGAGTTCTCAGGGTTACTCTCCATGAGTATAAGTAAATTAACAGTCCCAAACAACACCCTTTCAAGTGCAGTCTACCTTAAAATGACCAATCTGAAAGCCAAGGACAAGGCTGTATATTACAGTGAGGGACACAGGAGAGGGAACATCCGTGTGAGCCCAGACACAAAAATCTCTGCAGGGAGAGAGGAGTGAACTGCATGGTAGATGCTGCTCACAACCACCAGGGGGCGCTCAGGACACGAGGGGGCGGTCAGGACAACAAGGGCGGGCTCAGGACAACAAAGGCAAACTCGGGAGCGCAGGAGATGCTCAGAACAGCCGGGAGCATTGAGAACCAGCAGGAGGTGCTCAGGACACCAGGGGGTGCTCCAGACACCAGGGGGTGTTCAGGACACCAGGATGCGCTCAGGAAACAAGGAGGCGCTCCGGACACCAGGGTCCCTCAGAACCACCAGGGGGCGCTGAGGACACCAGGGGGCATTCAGGATCACCAAGGAATGCCCAGGACCATTAGGGGGCGCTCAGGACACCAAACGGTGCTCAGAAACACCAGGTGGCCCTGAGGACACAAAGGGGCACTCAGAACCACCAGGGGACGCTCAGGACACTGGGGGTGCTCAGTTCACGAGGGTTCTCTTAGGAAGCAGCTCCACATCAGGAGGCTGGGAGGCTGTGGTTTCCTTTTAAACTTTGGTGATTCTTGACCTGGTCAAGCAAAAGGCTTTCCCAGGATCTCTCACCATTTCTTCCTTTTAACTCCATGGATTCTTTTACCTGCAAAACATTAACTTAGAACAGGGATTTAATTCAACTTCTAATGTTGCATATTTTCTGAATAACACTAGCAATGATCTCTCAGTACAATTTTTAAAATAGATTCTTTATATATTATATTCATTTGAAATAATACTATCATTAAAAGAGTAAAATTTAAAAAACCACACCTGTAATCCCAGCACTTTGGGAGGCTGAGGCAGGCAGATCACTTGAGCTCAGGAATTTTACAACAGCCTGGCAACATAGTGAGATCCTTTCTATTAAAAAAAAAATAGCTGGGTGTAGTGCTACCTGTGGTCCCAACTACTTGGAAGGTTGAGGCTTGAGGGTCTCCTGAGCCTGGGAGGTTGAGGCTGCAGTGAGCTGTGATTGTGCCACTGCACTCCAGCCTGGGTGACAAAGTGAGACCCAGTCTTAAAAAATGCGAATCCTCAATACAAACTCTGTTTCCCCGAATAAAAGAGTTTTGTGTTCATGTGCTGTAAGAGTCAAACAATCGCATAGGTTTTCTTACTTTAACTCAGCATATGCATGGTGTTTTGTTTCTTTTTGTTTTATCTACTGTTCGTGGAAATTAAACAGCACTTTAAAGACTCTTGTTCTCCACTTTGGTTGGCTTCTAATGTCCTGTTTTGCAGACTGTTTCTTCACCTTCCTTTCTTCTTTGAAAGCCTTTTATCTTCCTAAGTCTCCAGGGAGGAAACAGAAAGTCCCTTTACTTTCTGTCTTCCATGTGTGGTGAATCACTTCTCTTCTCTTCATAATCATTGAAGCCAACCAAGTTTAGGAGGATGACCATTCTTAGAATATACTCATCTACCTGCAGATTATCTGCCCTCCTCACCCTTTTCTAGGGTCCTGCAGACATCACCCCCATCCAATCCCCTCCTTTCCCTAAGTACCACAGAGTGGGCTCCACAGCTACTGCTGCCCTCTGTGTGCTCAGTCCTGGGGCTCACTAGTGCTTTGATGATGAAGCCCAAATCCCCATGTGTTTGCACACTCTCTGACCACCCTCTAGGAAGCTGCCAATGTGAGTGACTCCTGGAAAGCATGAGCTGGGTTCAGTTTCATATTACTGGATGTTCTCTATTATAAAGGATATTGGCAAATAAGGACTAGAGTTTGTATTAAATATTCATGCCATAAAATGTTTTTTCACAACTTTTCAAATAAAAAAAATTTATCCTGCCTAGTTTAAAACCATAATGTTAATTCAACAAATAATGTAATACAATTTAAAAAGTGAAGTTTGTCTTATTATTCTATTCATTAATAACAGACTGATATTTAAAATTAAATACCATTATACATTTAAATAACATATATGCCAATAATTGCATTTACATTCAGTTTTGCCAAAACACGAATTGAAATATGTTTGTATTTTAATATTGGAATAGGCAGACAGACACATAGAAAAATATTATTTTGTACTACAACCTCAAACTGCAAACACAATTTAAATGCAATTAAATAATTAAATAATATGAAACAAATGGGTGTGTTGGTGTGATGTTTAAATATACATGCATTTTTGCATGGGCACATGTATGTGTCTTTGCTGGGCTGTTGTGTATGTATGTGTGTTTGTATGACCATGAACTTTTCAAATACATCATTAAATTACATATTTATATTAATCTTGGCCAGGCATGGTGGCTGAGGCCTGTAATCCTGGCACTTTGGGAGGTGGAGGCAGGCAGATCACCTGAGGTCAAGAGTTCAAGACTGGCATGGCCAACATGGTAAAACCCCATCTCTACTAAAAATACAAAAAGTAGCTGGGTGTTGTGGCACGTGTCTTTATTCCCAGGTACTCAGCAGTTAAGGCAGGAGAATCGCTTGATCCTGGGAGGCAGAGGTGAAGTGAGCTGAGATTATGCCACTGCACTCCAGCTTGGGTGACAGAGTCACACTCCATCTTAGAAATAAATACATAGTTACATTAATCTAAATGTATCATGTTAAAATATTAGAAGAAAACTCTGTATTAGTCAGTTTTCACACTGTTATGAAGTAATATCCAAGACTGAGTAAGTTATTTAGAAAAGAGGCTTAATCGATTCAAAATTATGCATTGCTGGGGAGGCCTCTGGAAACTTTTAATTATGGCAGAAGGGAAAAGGGAAGCGAGGCATCTTCTTCACAAGGCAGCAGGATGGAAAATTGCAAGCTGGGGAAATGCCAAATGCTTATACAACCATCACATGTTGTGAGACACACTCATTATCACACGAACAGCCTGGGGGAACCTACTCCTGCAATTAAATTACCTCCATCGGGTCCCACTATTCGTATGTGAGATTATGGGGATGATAATTCAAGATGAGATTTTGGGTGGGGACACAGAGAAACCATATCATTCTTCTCCTGGCCCCTTCCAAATCTCATGTCCTCACATCTCAAAACACAATCATGCCTTTTCAACAGTCCCTTAAAGTCTTTTTTTTTCTTTTTTTTGTTTTTTGTTGTTGAGACGGAGTCTTGTTCTGTCAACAATCTGGAGTGGAGCAGTCCCCTAAAGTCTTAACTCAATCCAGCACTGACTCAAAAGTCCAAGTCCAAAATCTCATCAGAGACAAGGTAAGTCCCTTCCACCTATGAGCCTGTAAAATCAAAAGCAAGTTAGTTACTTCCTAGATACAATATAAGTATAGATATTGAGGAAAAACACCCATTCCAAATGGGAGAAATTGGCTGAAATGAGGAGCTACAGGCCCATGCAAGATCAAAATCCAATAGGGCAGTCATTAAACCTTAAAGTTCCAAAATAATCTCATTTGACTCCACGTCTCACTTCCAGGTCAGGCTGATGGAAGAGGTGGACTCTAATGGTTTCTGACAGTTCTGCCACCATGGCTTTGCAAAGTACAGCCCCATTCCCAGCTGCTTTCATGGACTGGTGTTGAGTGTTTTCAGCTTTTCCAGGCTCAGAGTGGAAGCTGTGAGTTGATCTCCCATTCTGGTTTCTGGAGGACAGTGGCCCTCTTCTCTCAGCTCCACTAGGCAGAGGCCCAGTGAGGACTCTGTATGGTGGCTTCAACCCCACATTTCTCTTCAGCACTACCCTAACAGAGGTTTTATATGATGGCTACATCACCCCCCAACCAGCAAACTTCTGCCTGGACATGAAGACATTTCCATACATTTTTCTGAAATCTAGGTGGAGGTTCCCAAATCTCTATTCTTAACTTCTGTGCAAACATGACAGGGAAGCTGCCAAGGTTTGGGATTTGCACCATCTGAAGCAGTGGCCTGAGCTGTGCCTTGGCCCCCTTAAGCTACAGCTGGAGCTGAAGTAGCTGGGACTCAAGGCACCATTTCCCAAAACTGCACAGAGCAGGAAAGCCCTGGACCAGGCACATGAAACCATTATTTTCCTTTTGGGGCTCTTGGCCTGTGATTGGAGGTACTGTCGTGAAGACCTCTGACATGTTCTGAAGACATTTTTCCCCACTTTCTTGGTGATTGGCACTTGGTTTCTTGTTACTTATGCAAATTTTTGCAGCATGCTTGAGTTTTTACCCAGAAAATTGGTTTTTCTTTTCTATGGCATCGTCAGCTGAAAATGTTCCATACTTTTATGCTCTTGTTTGTCCTGAACGCTTTGCTGGTTAGAAATTTCTTCTGCCAGATACTCTAAACCACCTCTCTCAAGTTCAAAGTTCCACAGATCTCTAGGGCAGAGACAAAATGCTCCCAGTCTTCATGCTAAAGCATAGCAGAAGTCACCTTTGCTCCAATTCCCCAAAAGTTCCTAATCTCCATCTGGGACCCCCTCATCCTGGATTTTATTGTCCATATTACTATCAGCATTTTGTTCAAGGTCATTCAACAAGTCTCTAGGAAATTACAAACTTTTCAATATCTTCCTGTCTTCTTCTGAGCCCTGCCAACTGTTCCAGCCTCTATCTCTTACCTAGTTCCAATGTTGCTTCCATATTTTCAGGTATCTTTATAGCAGTGCCTTACTCTCGGTGGTACCAAAAGAGTGCATTTTTTTCTTCTCATACTGCTATGAAGAAATACTCAAGACTGGGTAACTTACAAAGAAAAGAGGTTTAACTGACTCACAGTTCTACATGGAAGGCATAGAAACAGAGATTCAAAATAACCTTATATGTAAATAAATAAAACTCCTCAATTAAAAATATACTGTTCACATAGATTTTTTTAAGTCCCAACTCTCTGCTGTTTACAAAAGAGTGACATCATCTGAAAATCTACACAAGGACTAAAAGTGAATGGGGGAAAAAAGATATGCTACAAAAATAGAAACCAATAATGAGCACTTACATCAGACAAAAGAAATTTCAAGTCAAATGCTATAAAGAGAGACCAAAATGGACATTATATAACAAAAAAATGATCAATGGAGCAAGAATAGATAACAATTGTAAATATATATATATATATATATGTACCCACACCTGAGAACTCAAATATATAAGGCAAATATGTTACATAGTAAGGGACAGATTCTAACTTTATACAATTATACTTGGATAATTTAACACATTACTCAGCATTGGATAGATTATCTAGCCAATAATTAACAGAGAAGCATTGGATTTAAACTGCACTATATTCCAAATGGACCTGACATTTACAGAACATTGAGCCAAACAACTTCAGAGCACATATTCTTTTCTTCAGCACATGCAATATTCTTCAGGATTGACCATATGTTAATACAGTACATGTGTCAAAATTTTTATATAAAATGATGCCAACTGTTTATCTGATTAAAGATGAAATGAAACTAAACATCAGTAATTGGAGGAAATTCTCTTTTTTTTTTTTTTTGAGATGAACTCTTGCTCTATTGCCCAGGCTGGAGTGCAGTGGCACAAACTCAGCTCACTGCAACTTCTGCCTTCCAAGTTCAAATGATTTTCGTGCCTCAGCCTCCCAAGTAGCTGAAATTACAGGTGCTTGCCAGCATGCCCAGCTGATTTTTGTGCTCTTAGTAGCGACAGGGTTTCACCAAGTTGGCCAGGCTGGTCTTGACCTCCGGACCTAAAGTCATCCACCAGCCTTGGCCTCCAAAAGTGCTGGGATTACAGGCATGAGCCACTGCCCAGCCTAGAGAAAATTTCAATACTATATAAACACAAAAATTAAACAAAACACTCTTACATGGCCAATGGGTGAAAGAAGACATTAAGAAGAAAATATAAAAATATATGAAACAAATACAATAGAAGCGAAACATACCAAATCTTATGGCACTTATCCAAACCAGTATTATGAGGCAAATTTATAGCAATAAATGCCCACATCAAAGAAGCAGAAATATTTTAAATAACCAACATAACAACGCATCTCAGAGAACTTTAAGAACAAGAAAAGGCTAAACTCAAAATTATTTTAAAAAACAACAAAGAACAGATTAGACATAAACAGAATTAAGACTAAAAATACCAGAAAATATTAAAATAACAAAAAAAGATAAGCAAAGTTGAAAGCCATTAGTAGCTGGCTAACAAAAAAAGAATATATATATATATATATATATATATATATATAGAGAGAGAGAGAGAGAGAGAGAGAGAGAGAAAGAGAGAGAGAGCCATGACCCAAATAAATAAAATAGAAGCAGAAGATGCCTCAACTGATATACCAGAACTAAAATAAATTATGAAGCACTATAATAAACATGTCTATGTGAAAAATTTGAAAACCTAGAGGAATTAGATAAATTCATGGACACATACTACCTAACAAGATTAAAAAAGAAGGAGTAGAAAGCCTGAACAAACCCATAAAAAGCAATCAGATGGACTCCGGTAAAAGATCTATATCCTGTTGAACATAAATTTAAAAATCTAAAAATACTAGCACACCAAATCAAACAGCATTTCAAATAATAATAATCATAATACACCATGACCAAGTGGGATTCAACCCAGGGATTCAATTACCCTTCAACATACACAAGTCAAAAAACATGTTATATCACATCTATAGAATGAAGGATAAAAACTATATTTCTATATTAATAGATGCAGAAGATGAAAATTCAACATCTCTTCATGGAAAACAACTCTCAATTGTGTACAGAAATAAAGTACAACACAATAAGGGCCACATGACAAGTCCACAGCTAACATCATACTTAAGAGAAAGTAATTCTTTTCTTTTGAAAACTGGAAAAGACAAGGATGAGAACTCTTAGCACTTATTCAACACAGTACTGAAAGTACGCAAGGAACAAGGACATCCTCCCACGGGAATGCAAGAAAACAAAACAGACATGGACACCCATGGAGAGAACTCATTAGACCTGGTGAAGAATAGATAAAAATCTCTTCCAAAGCCTCCAGTGTTCCCAGCTAAATATGAATTGTGGTGATAGACTGAAAATAAGGAGGGGAAGGGAGACATGACTCAAGAGAGGAAAAACCCTAAGAGAGCAGAAAGCAGATCTACACAGAACAATCACAGGACAGATGCCAGAGTGGGGCTGAAACAGGAGCTCATTCTATTGGGTACCTAGTGGAGACCCTTTGACATTTCTTGTGAGGTAATTCTAGTAGTGATGAATTTCTTCAGTTTTTCTTTGCCTGGGAAAGTATTTCTCTATCTTCCATTTCATAAGAAGTGTTTTATCAATTTTATGTTCTTGGGTGGCTGTATTTTTCCCCCACAAATTTAAATACAGTTATGCTCTGCATAACAAAGTTTCTGCCACTAACAGATGACACAAACAATGGTGGTTCCACAATAATATGCTTCCCTATTTATCTATACCTTTTTATGTTTAGATACACAAATACTACTGTGTTACCATGGCCTACAGTATTTACCATAGTTGTTTCGGGATCACTGGGGTGTTGCTTTTTCTGGCCAGAACCCTCTGTGGCCAGCGGCGACTTTGCCCAAGTTCGTGTCCTACATCTGGAAAGAATGAGGTATGCAGCCATGTGGTGGGTGAGCAAGGCAAAGACTAGCTTCATGAAGCATTCGAGCATCTCAGAGGAGACCCCCAGTGAGTAGCTCCTCTCTGTAGGCAGGTTGACTGGTTGAGTGTTCAGCTCTAAGCAGAGAAGGTAGCTCCTCCCTGCAGCTAGTCGTCCTGTTGTCTTCCCAGTTCTCAGCAGAGAGGGTAGCTCCTCTCTGCAGCTGGTCATCCTGTCGTCTTCCCAGTTCTCAGGAGAAATGGTAGCTCCTCTCTGCAGCTGGTCATCCTGTCGTCTTCCCAGTTCTCAGGAGAGAGGGTAGCTCCTCCCTGCAGCTGGTCTTCCTGTCGTCTCTCCATCTTCTGTCCTGCTCTGGCTGAGCCCAGGGGTTTTTATGGACCTCCGAGGGAAGGAAGTGCGTGCCCATTGGTCCATGGGTGGTCATGGGTGGGCCGTAGACAGCACCACAAGTCCCCACTGTGGTCTGAGTATCTGGGAGCCCGGGCCCAGCCTTCAGGCCCTTCCTGGGGACCCTCCCCCTCTACACAGGAATCTTCCTGCCTCCTTTTGCAGTTCATGGTCCCTGGGGCTCTGCCCAGACTTTGCTCCAAGATCAGAGCAGGCGCCAAAAGCAGGAAGAAGCCAAGAAGTGGGAGCAGGCATTTCGGAGCATGCAAGAGCAGAGGGCTTTTCCTGGGGACCCCAAGAGTGCAGGGACGCCTGAGGCTGCAGCCCGCGGTTTGCGGGGCAGGGCTTCTGCCGGCTTCATGGAGCGAGAGGCCCGTGTCTTCAGCCGCGGTTTGGGTGGCTGCAGCCACGCCCGGGGAAGGCAGGGCTCCTTCCTGTTCCTTGACCTCCAAGAGCACAGAGTCCGAGCCCACTGCCCTGATTAGAGCAGCTGGAGCCGCCTGAGAGATCAGAGCTGCTGCCTGCTCCTGGCTCCCACCGGCTCCGTGGAGCATCAGCCCTCGCTGCCCCTCCTTGTGCTGCCCTTCGCAGCCTGATCCTCTCTGGGCCCTGACCGGTGTCCAGGGCAGGGGCGACATCTCCACAAGCTCCCCGCATTGCCCTGGTGCTCAGGGAGGTCCGGGCAGAGCTGATCACGACCCCGGCCGGTAGTCGGGAATGGCGGCCTCCGTGGTCACCCTGACATGCGGCCGAACCCTCGAGACGCGGCCTGAGCAGCCTGCACAGAACCTCCCAAGGCCCAGGAACCCCGCACCCTTGGCGGGGTGGGTACAGCGGCTGCTCCACTGCCCGGGTTTTCAAGGCGGTGCCACTTCCACTTCCCTCCCTGGAACCCCGAAGTTTGACATGGGGGCTCCTTTCTGCCTTGCTCTTCAGCTCCCCTTCCCCCGGAGTAGAGCCCCCCGTTTCCCCGGGTGATCCCTTCCACAGCTGCAGTGTTCTTCATCGGTGTCATCACCTTCCAGATCTGCTGCCCTGCTCTGCAGACTAAGGCTGTGATTCCATAAGAGAGGGGAGCTGCTTCCCAGTAGAACCTTGGTGGGGAGCTCTGTTCCCATCTCAATTCCTGAGGGGTTAAACCAGTGCATTTAGGATACTGGTTTTGGTGGTTTGCCCCTGTTGAGTAATTTCTTAGTTCTGTAGTGGGTGTAAGAGACTTGGCTCTGGAAGCATTTCAGGCGTGGGCTCTGATACACCCCAGACAGACACTTTGGGAAGGGAAGATTTTTGTGACTATTCTCGTTATAAGGGAAAGACATTCAAAAGAATAGAAAAACTCTTCAGTATGTGGTTCCTGAGAATTTCTCACTAAAAACATGCTTATCACACTCGACTCAAAACAGTTCAATGTATATCAGTGTATTTTATCTTGTACTAGCCTATATTGCATTTGGTGAACTCTGCCTCAGTTCAGCTCACACCCTAACTTTGATTCTCCCTACAAGAACTTGTCTCTCTCTAGATTTCAGGTTTGTTGATTGTCTTAAAATTTCAATGATCTGAAGTATTAAAGACAATTTGCAAAAGTCCATTTTCTCTGATTAATTGTTATTGTTGATTTTATTCTTGTTGTAAAAAAAGAAATTCTCATCTATATACATTTCAAATCTGAATAACAAAATTTTTATTAACACCAAAAATAATAAAAGAATCCAAATATTTTTCAGCTGCCTAATAGAAAAACAAATTATGGTAACTTTGTTTACTGGAATGCTACCCATCATTCATAATAAAGGAATTACTGATATACACAATAAGAAGATTAAATTATCAAGTATTTAAATAGAGTAAAATAAGCCAAACAGATAAGAGTATATATGATTCTATTTTTAAAAATTCTGGAAAATGAAAACTGATCTAAAGTAATATAAAGAAGATTAGTAGTTGCCTGGGAATGTGTTGGCAGAAGGGAAGGAGAAAGGATAAGGAAATAGAAATAGGAAGTAGAAGGACAGAAAAGAAGTTGAGGGAATTTCACTTGTCCACCTTCTTTATAATGGTAATAGTTATGTCACGATTGTCAATTTTACACTTTAAATATGTAAAGTTTATAATCTGTCAATCAAATCTTATAAAATTTATTATCAGGAAACAAGTTGAAAATTAGACAATGTAGGAGTGACAGAAAGATAGATACAAGTATGTTAAATGTCAGAAATACCTGAAAGTTACCTACCTGAACCCTAGTTCTCTCCATAGTTTAAGGTAAACAGGAGAGTGCAGCAAAATCACCCATATTCTGATTAGGCAGTGACTTCTGCAAACCACACTAGGCATGGCCAGCTCTGTCCTGGAGTTGGCTAAGGGAGGAGTCAGGGCCAGTGGTGAGAAGTGCAGGCCCAGACACCAGCACTCACCCATCCCAGACATGAGCTCTTAGATACACAGAGAGCCCATCCATGTGTGGGTTTACTTTTACATCTGTAAATAGATAACATTGACTCCTACAGAACATAATTTACACACATAGGTAAATCTGAAATAAGGTGATCAGTGCAAAGATTTTATCACAGCACAGTTTCATAATAAGCACAATTACTCAAATCCCATTGTTGTCACCCATCTTCCTCAGGACACTTTCATCTGCCCTGGGTCCTGCTCTCTCTTCAGGTGTCTCACCACAGAGCTTGCTATATAGTAGGAGATATGCAAATAGGGCCCTCACTCTGCTGAAGAAAACCAGCCCAGCCCTGACCCTGCACCTCTGGGAGAAGAGCCCCAGCCCTGGGATTCCCATGTGTTTCTACTTGCTGATCAGGACTGCACACAGAGAACTCACCATGGAGTTTGGGCTGAGCTGGGTTTTCCTTGTTGCTATTTTAAAAGGTGACTGATGGAAAACTAGAGACATGGAGTGTGAATGGACATGAGTGAGATAAGCACTCTGGCAGTTTCTGACCAGGGTGTCTCCGTGTTTGCAGGTGTCCAGTGTGAGGTGCAGCTGGTGGAGTCTGGGGGAGGCTTAGTACAGCCTGGAGGGTCCCTGAGACTCTCCTGTGCAGCCTCTGGATTCACCTTCAGTAGCTACTGGATGCACTGGGTCCGCCAAGCTCCAGGGAAGGGGCTGGTGTGGGTCTCACGTATTAATAGTGATGGGAGTAGCACAAGCTACGCAGACTCCATGAAGGGCCAATTCACCATCTCCAGAGACAATGCTAAGAACACGCTGTATCTGCAAATGAACAGTCTGAGAGCTGAGGACATGGCTGTGTATTACTGTACTAGAGACACAGTGAGGGGAAGTCAATGTGAGCCCAGACAAAAACCTCGCTGCAGGGGCATCTGAGACCACGAGGGGGTGTCCTGGGCCCTATGAACTGGGCTGCTCTCCGTGGCAGGGGCTGGTGGTGCTAAAGGCTGATTTTCTCTCAGCATCTGGGGCTGATTCATCAAGTTTCCTCAGAGAACCTTTCAGATTTACAATTCTGTACTTACATTTAATGTCTCTGAATGTGACACTTTCCTTCCCTGGTGTGTCTTTGTTTTTGTGACAGGAGGACACATTCTCACCTCCACAGAAGCCTGAGTGTCACTTTGGGGACAGAAGTGTCCCTGCCCTGGTCACCAGAATCAGAGTCCTGAGGAAGCCCAGGGGAACCTGGGAAGTGTTTTTCAGTCAGACTCAGGGCAGGAGTCTCTGTGGGAATCTCTGATTGGAACAGGCTTTGGGATTCAGATTGGGACCAAGAGGGAGGCTCGCCCAGGGCCTGGGTCCTTAGAATCCTGACAGTTTTCACAGTAACCCCATCGTCCTTTAAAACTGAACATCTGACTCAGAACTGATCCATTTGGTCCTTTCTCTGCTAATCCATTTTCCTTTTCTCTAGGCTTCAGTCTTACACTTCCCTTTTCACCTTTATTCTGAAAATGGAGGGTGTGCTTCCTGTGGTCTAAACCACAGGTCTCAGATGCATTACCTGGAACTCAGGTGTTGCTGTGGCTGTGGCTCCTAAGGACCTGGCAGGCTGAGGGATCTTTCTCATTTCCTGGTGCCTGGATGCCCCTGCTGTCTTCTATGCACAGATGCATTTGGGAAATGCAAGTGGACACTCATAGTCGTTTCCTCAAATGGGATACTGATGTAGAGCTGATCTTCTGCTTCTCACCCTGTCACAGAGCCACCACCGTCTCTTGTGGACTTTTGGGAGAGCTGAGGATGGACACTTGATTGGGCTGTGAGCTCTGAACGATGGCAATTGTGAGATCTGGCTAGGCACAGCCAGAGCCAATGGAGCTGGCCATCCGGAAAGACAGGATGGAATTCCTGGGAAGTCCTACAGCTGCTGTCCACCATAGAGTTCCATTGTCTTCTCCTCTGCTAGGATTAAATCAGACCGACCAAGTTCATCTAGGACAATCTTCCTGACCTAGAGAAGTGATGACAGGCTTTAATAATACCTGTATTATACATCAGAGCAACACCTAGATTAGTGTTTGATTGAATAACTGAGACTATGTCCCAGTCAAGATGACACACAAAATCAATTATTACCATGATTAACATTTTACATTGATTAATATTTTAACACTAATATTAATCAATGCAATATTGATTTAATATTAATTAATATTTTATATTTGACAATAGAATCAGACTTTGTTATAAATAATTTTGCAAAAATATGAGTATTATTATTGGTCTTCTGAGCAGAAATCTCCAGTAGCCGATTAAGTGTGCATGCATTGGTCGAAGGAGGGCATCCACTCTTTTGAGGGAAAATGCATGGAGGGTAAATGAGCCTGGGGAAGCTGATGGCATATGATGCAAGCCTGTCCCTGAGTGAAGGAGAGAGGGAGACAGGATTGGTTGGAACTTTCTTACATTTCTGTGCTGTGCAAAGAAAGTCCAGATTATCATTGAGTCTCCTGCAAGACAAAGTTGCCCCTCAGGAAACCCCCATCACTCCCAGCAATGACTCTGACCCAGATGAGTGCAAGGCTCACTCTATTCCTGAGAATGGAGCACAGGATATGGGATTTAGCATGAGCCACGTCATGGACGTCAGAGAGCAGCAGCTGGGTGCATGATCCAAGTGTACGGTTCTGCCTGTAGGTGGAGGGAGGAAGGTGCATTCCCAGAGCTAACACACTGTGGATTTTTATACAGAATACATGTTTTCACCTGATTTATTGGAAGGCATATGAAAAAATGGGCAGTCCACAAACAATTGTAATTTCCAGATTTACCACAATTGCATTATTTCTTCATTCTGCACGATGTCCGGGAACAGAGTTGCATTTTTCATGAGTATTGTTTCATGGATTGAGAACATGAATTTCACACCTGCACTTTTAGCCATGTGCAGAGACCTTGAGTAGAGCATGTCTGGACCTCATCTACACTATCTCTCATGCCCCAAGGGAAAGAGTGGAGACTTGACTGACAGCAAACTTTGGGGAATTAATGAACGTTAATATTTTCTTATAGACTAATAAACATATTGGGCTAGAAGATCTACTCAATGGGAAAAGTAAGGTTTTAGTTATCCCTGTTGAAAGTTTTTTTTTTTTTTCATTTATTTTGCTGCATTTGAAAAGCTGGTGATCTTAACATTGCCTATATTTTTAATAATCTTAAGATTTTTTAGTTTTTATGTTTTGTTAGGGATCAGGCAATGGAAGATGCATATTTATAGATGAAACTTACAATATAAGGTAAATATTGACTTACTAATAGTTATGCGAGAATATTTATTTGATCCCAATTTTATATAGTTGAGTGTGTGAAGTTGCAGGTCAAGATAACTTGGAGTTTCAACACCAAGTTTTATTCATGTGTTCATTCATGAACAGGATGCCTCCAATGTGGAGAAATTTACAATGAATAAGCATGAATAGGACCTGGCCAGTGAGCTTTCAGTCTAGCAAGGAATGTAGAACAGGAACATAGCAACTCTAATCCAATGTAGAGAGAGAGACAATTTTAAATCCAATTGAAAAATAAATAGCTGTGTTAGACTGAGGCCATCAAATAAAGCTTCATGCAATAAGTAGCAATAGGTCTTCAAAGATGACAGTTTAGCAAAAGGCACAAAGATGAAAAGTGCAGAGCATTAAGTAGTGTATGGTTTAGTGTGCTGGAAATAACAGGTTGGACAAGAGTTGTGACTAGGATAAACAGCAAAAAGGATTTATGAGAGCCTGATGGCCACTAGTGACTGGGTAAGATGTGTACACTTTCTGTGCAGGAAAAGGGACAAAGCTTTTGAGCAGCAGAGAAACATGATCAGAGGGATGCATGAGGAAGGTCCTGAAAACCCTAATGAGTAATCTTGGTTAAACCATTGCACTATAACTCAAGTTTTGCATGTATATACTATAATAGAAACAACATTTGTGCTCTTCCCATATGTAGAGAGGTCAAAAGAAAATCTGTTCATATAATCTTCCAAGCCAGTCACAAAGACTAAGACAAAACACTTACATAAATAAAATTCATAAGATGAATTTTAAAAGATGAAAGATAGTCAATACATTTTATTTTATAACTTGGAAATTTAAACTCCTGAAAATATACCTTAATTTAAAATACGGAGGAAAGGAACAAAATCAATGTGCAAAAATCACAAGCATTCTTATACACCAATAACAGACGAACAGAGAGCCAAATCATGAGTGAACTCCCATTCACAATTGCTTCAAAGAGAATAAAATACCTAGGAATCCAACTTACAAGGGACGTGAAGGACCTCTTCAAAGAGAACTACAAACCACTGCTCAATGAAATAAAAGAGGACACAAACAAATGGAAGAACATTCCATGCTCATGGGGAGGAAGAATCAATATCGTGAAAATGGCCATACTGCCCAAGGTAATTTATAGATTCCAATGCCAACCCCATCAAGCTACCAATGACTTTCTTCACAGAATTGGAAAAAACTATTTTAAAGTTCATATGGAACAAAAAAGGGCCCGCATTGCCAAGTCACTCCTAAGCCAAAAGAACAAAGCTGGAGGCATCACGCTACCTGACTTCAAGCTGTGCTACAAGACTACAGTAACCAAAACAGCATGGTACTGGTACCAAAACAGAGATATAGACCAATGGAACAGAACAGAGCCCTCAGAAATAATGCCGCATATCTACAACCATCTGATCTTTGACAAATCTGACAAATACAAGAAATGGGGAAATGATTCCGTATTTAATAAATGGTGCTGGAAAAACTATTATAATTGATAAAAAATTCTGTAAATTTGCAGAATACAACACCTACATACAAAAATTGGTGGCATTGCTAAATGCAAACAGCAAAAAATCAATAAAGCATTTTGTTTATAATAGCTAAAAATTATATTTCATATTACCAAATAAGTGAAAGATTTCTAAAAGAAAACCAAAAATGATTGATAATAAAATATAAAGCAAACACACACAAATTGAAAATATATCTGAAATATTCCATGTTCATGGTTCAGAAAAATTAATAGTTATTTTTTTCTTTCTTTTTTTATAATAATTTAAGTTCTAGGGTCCATGTGCACAACGTGTAGGTTTGTTACATATGTATACATGTGCTATGTTGGTGTGCTGCACCCATTAACATTACATTAGGTGTATCACCTAATGCTATCCCTCCCAGCTCCCACGACCCCATGACAGGCCCCGGTGTGTGTGTGATGTTCCCCACCCTTAGTCCAAATGTTCTCATTGTTCAATTCCCACCTATGAGTGAGAACATGCGGTGTTTGGTTTTCTGTCCTTGTGATAGTTTGCTCAGAATGATGGTTTCCATTTTCATCCATGTCCCTACAAAGGACATGAACTCATCCTTTTTAATGGCTGCATAGTATTCCATGGTGTATATGTGCCACATTTTCTTAATCCAGTCTATCACTGATGGACATTTGGGTTGGCTCCAAGTCTTTGCTATTGTCAATAGTGACACAATAAACATAAGTGTGCATGTGTCTTTATAGCAGCATGATTTATAATCCTTTGAGTATATACCAAGTAATGGGATTGCTGGGTCAAATGGTATTTCTAGTTCTAGATCCTTGAGGATCACCAAACTGTCTTCCACAATGGTTGAACTAGTTTACAGTCCCACCAACAGTGTAAAAGTGTTCCTATTTCTCCACATCCTCACCAGCGCCTGTTGTTCCCTGACTTTTTAATGATTGCCGTTCCAACTGGTGTGAGATGGTATCTCGTTGTGGTTTTGATTTGCATTTCTCTGATGGCCAGTGATGATGAGCCTTTTTTCATGTGTCTGTTGGCTGCATAAATGTCTTCTTTTGAGAAGTGTCTGTTCATATCCTTCGCCCAATTTGTGATGGGGTTGTTTGTTTTTTTCTTGTAAATTTGTTTGAGTTCATTGTAGATTCTGGGTATTAGCCCTTTGTCAGATGAGTAGATTGCAAAAATTTTCTCCCATTCTGTTGGTTGCCTGTTCACGCTGATGGTAGTTTCTTTTGCTGTGCAGAAGCTCTGTAGTTTAATTAGATCCCATTGGTCAATTTTGGCTTTTGTTGCCATTGCTTTTGGTGTTTTAGACATGAAGTCCCTGCCCATGCCTATGTTCTGAATGGTATTGCCTAGGTTTTCTTCTAGGGTTTTTACGGTTTTAGGTCTAACATTTAAGTCTTTAATCCATCTTGAATTAAGTTTTGTGTAAGGTGTAAGGAAGGGCTCCAGTTTCAGCTTTCCACAAATGGCTAGCCAGTCTTCCCAGTACCATTTATAAATAGGTAATCCTTTCCCCATTTCTTGTTTTTCTCAGGTTTGTCAAAGATCAGATGGTAGTAGATGTGTGGTATTTTCTGAGGGCTCTGTTCTGTTCCATTGGCCTATACCTCTGTTTTGGTGCCAGTACCATCCTGTTTTGGTTACTATAGGCTTGTAGTATAGTTTGAAGTCAGGTATTGTGATGCCTCCATCTTTGTACTTTTGGCTTAGGATTGACTTGGCAATGTGGGCCCTTTTTTGGTTCCATATGAACTTTAAAGTAGTTTTTTCCAATTCTGTGAAGAAAGTCATTGGTAGCTTGATGGGGATGGCATTGAATCTGTAAATTACCTTGGGCAGTATGGCCATTTTCACGATATTGATTCTTCCTATTCATGAGCATGGAATGTTCTTCCATTTGTTTGTATCCTCTTTTATTTCGTTGAGCAGTGGTTTGCAGTTATCCTTGAAGAGATCCTTCACATCCCTTGTAAGTTGGATTCCTAGGTATTTTATTCTCTTTGAAGCAATTGTGAATGGGAGTTCACTCATGATTTGGCTCTCTGTTTGTCTGTTATTGGTGTATAAGAATGCTTGTGATTTTTGCACACTGATTTTGTATCCTGAGACTTTGCTGAAGTTGCTTATTAGCTTAAGGAGATTTTGGGCTGAGATGATGGGGATTTCTAAATATACAATCATGTCATCTGCAAAGAGGGACAATTTGACTTCCTCTTTTCCTAATTGAATACACTTTATTTCTTTCTTCTGCCTGATTGCCCTGGCCAGAACATCCGACACTATGTTGAATAGGAGTGGTGAGAGAAGTCATCCCTGTCTTGTGCCAGTTTTCAAAGGGAATGCTTCCAGTTTTTGCCCATTCAGTATGATATTGGCTGTGGGTTTGTCCTAAATAGCTTTTATCATTTTGAGATACATACCATCTATACCTAATTTATTGAGAGTTTTTAGCATGAAAGGTTGTTGAATTTTGTCAATGGCCTTTTCTGCATCTGTTGAGATAATCATGTGGTTTTTGTCTTTGGTTCTGTTTATATGCTGGATTACGTTTATTGATTTGTGTATGTTGAATCAGCCTTGCATCCCAGGGATGAAGCCCACTTGATCATGGTGGATAAGCTTTTTGATGTGCTGCTGGATTCGGTTTACCAGTATTTTATTGAGGATTGTTGCATCTATGTTCATCAGAGATATTGGTCTAAAATTCTCTTTTTTTGTTCTGTCTCTGTCAGGCTTTGGTATCAGGATGATGCTGGCCTCATAAAATGAGTTAGGGAGGATTCCCTCTTTTTCTATGGATTGGAATAGTTTCAAAAGGAATGGTACCAGCTCCTCCTTATACCTCTGGTAGAATTCCGCTGTGAATCTGTCTGGTCCTGGACTTTTTTTGGTTGGAGTCTATTAATTATTGCCTCAATTTCAGGGCCTGTTATTGGTCTATTCAGGGATTCAACTTCTTCCTGGTTTAGTCTTGGGAGGGTGTATGCGTCCAGGAATTTATCCATTCCTTCTAGATTTTCTAGTTTATTTGCATAGAGGTGTTTATAGTATTCTCTGAGGGTAGTTTGTATTTCTGTGGGATCGGTGGTGATATCCCCTTTACCATTTTTTATTGCATCTATTTGATTTTTCTCTCTTTTCTTCTTTATTAGTCTTGCTAGTGGTCTATCAATTTTGTAGATCTTTTCAAAAAACCAGCTCCTGGATTCATTGATTTTTTGAAGGGTTTTTTGTGTCTCTGTCTCTTTCAGTTCTGCTCTGATCTTAGTTATTTCTTGCCTTCTGCTAGCTTTTGAATATGTTTGCTCTTGCTTCTCTAGTTCTTTTAATTGTGATGTTAGGGTGTCAATTTTAGATCTTTCCTGCTTTCTCTTGTGGGCATTTAGTGCTATAAATTTCCCTCTACACACTGCTTAAATGTGTCCCAGAGATTCTGGTATGTTGTGTCTTTGTCCTCATTGGTTTCAAAGAACATCTTTATTTCTGGCTTCATTTCATTATGTACCCAGTAGTCAGTCATTCAGGAGCAGGTTGTTCAGTTTCCATGTCGTTCTTTCCTTCCTTCCTTCTTTCCTTTCTTCCTTCTTTCCTTCCTTCCTTCCCTCCTTCTTTACTTCCTTCCTTCCTTCTTTCCTTCCTTCCTTCCTTCTTTCCTTCTTTCTTTTTTGACAGAGTTTCAGTCTTGTCACCCAGGCTGGAGTGCAGAGGCACAATCTCAGCTCACTGCAACCTCCACCTCCTGGGTTCAAGTGATTCTCCTGCCTCAGCTTTGCGAGTAGCTGGGAATACAGCCACCTGCCATCATGCCCGGCTAATTTTTGTATTTTTAGTAGAGACAGGGTTTCGTCATGTTGGCCAAGCCCGTCTCGAAGTCCTAACCTCAAGCAATCCACCCAGCTCGGCCTCCCAAAGTGCTGGGATTACAGGTGTGAGCCACTGCACCCGGCCTTTTTTTTTTTTATTTTTTGATAAAAGTCATCTTAACTGAGGTGAGATGGTACCTTCTACCATTCTGTAGGCTGTTTGTGAACCATGTTGATTATTTCTTTTTTCTGTGCAGAAGATCTTTAGTTCAGCTAAATCCCATTTGTCTATTTTTGTTTTCATTGCATTTGCTTTTGCAGTCTTAGTCATATTTTATTTGCCTAGGGCAATGCCCCGAGAATTTTCCTTACATTTTCTTCAAGTATTTTTATAGTTTCAGTTTATACTTATAAATATTGAATCTATATTCAGTTAATGTTTGCCTCTGGTGAGATAGAAGTCTGGTTTTATTCTTCTACGTAAGGCTGTCTAATTCTCCCAGCACCACTTATTGAATAGAGGGTTGTTTCTCCAGTGAATATTTTTGTCAGTGTTGTCAAAGAAAAGTTGGTTGTAGATATTTGGCTTTATTTCTGGGCTCTCTATTCTCTTACATTAATTTTTTTTTAGATAGGATTTTTCTGTCATTGTCCAGCCTGCAGAGTAATGGCACGATCTCGGCTCACTGCAACCTCTGCCTCCTGTGTTCAAGTGATTCTCCACATCTTTGGCACTGCCTTAGTAGAGGCTGTCCGTGGTGGCTCCACTCCTGCATCAGGCTTCTTCCTGGGCACATAGTTCTCTATATACATCTTCTGATATCTAAGTAGAAGCTGCCCAGCCTCCTTCACTCTTCCATTCTGTATATCTGCCATAATCCAGTTGTCCCAACACCATTTACTGAATACAGAGATTTTTCCTCATTGCTTGTTTTTGTCAGCCTTATCAAATATAAGATGGTTGTATATGTGCAGCTTTATTTCTTTATTTCTGTTTTCTATTTTGTCCCATTTTTCCTGCATGTCTTCTCATGTACCAGTACCAAGCTGTTTTTGTTACTGTGACTTTATGGTGTAGTTTAAAGTCGGGTATCATGATGCCTCTGGCATTGCTCTTTCTGCTTAGGATTGCTTTGGCTATTCAGGCTGTTTTTGGTTCCATACAAATTTAGAATATATAAAATTTTTCTAATTCTGTGAAGAATGATGGTGATAGTTTTATGTAAATTGTATTGAATCTGTAAATTGCTTTGGGCAGTATGACAATTTTTACAATACTGATTCTTCCAACAATGAGCATGAAATATTTTCCCATTTGTTTGTGTCATTTGTGATTTCTTTCTGCTGTGTTTTGTAGTTCTCCTTGTAGAGATCTTTCACCTTGTTTGTTACCTGTATTTCCAGGCATTTCATATTTTGTGTGTGTGAATATTGTAAGTGGGATAGGATTGTGTTCTTGATTTCAGTCTCAGCTTGGACGTAGTTGGGGTATAGAAATGCTAGATTTTTGTACATTGATTTTGTATCCCAACACTTTACCAAAGTTGTTTATCTATTCTATAATTATTTTGGCAGGGTCTTTAGAATTTTGTAGGTATAGAATTATATCATCAGTTTGGAGAGATACATTGACTTCTTCTTTTCCTATTTGGATTCTGTATTAGTCCATTCACACACTATAAAGAAACACCTGAGACTGTGTAATTTATAAAGATTTTTAATTGTTTCATGGTTCTTCAGGCTGTACAGGAAGCATGGCTGGGGAGGCCTCAGGATCCTGACAATCAGTACAGAAAGGGAAGCATCATGTCCTACATGGCTGGAGCAGGAGGAAGAGAGACAAGGGAGGTGCCACATACTTTGAAACCAGATCTCCTGAGGACTCTATCATGGGATCAGCACAAGAGAGAGAGAGACTCATCCCCATGATCTAATCGCCTTTCACCAGGCCCCACCCTCAACACTGGGAATTACAATTTGACATTTAATTTGAGTGGGGACACAAATTCAAACCATATCAGCTGCCTTTTATTTTGATATTGCTCGGTTGCTCTGACTAGGATTTCTAGTACTATGTTCAATAGCAGTGGTGAGAGGGCATCTTGGTCTTCTTTCACTTCTAAAGGGTTTTGAGCTTTTGCTCACTCAGTATAATGTTGACTGTGGGTTGGTCATAGATGGCTCTTATTATTTCGAGGTATATTTTTTTGATGCCTAGTCTGTTAAGGGTTTTTATTATGAGTGGATGTTGGATCCTATCAAAAGCTTTCTCAGCATCTATTGAGATAATCATACAGTTTTTGCTATTATTCTGCTTACATGGTGAATCACAGTTACTGAATTGTCGATGTTGAATGAACCTCGCCTTCCAGGGGTAAAGCCTACTTGATCATGATGTATTATATTTTAAAGTGCTTCTGGATTCTATTTGCTAGTATTTTGTTGAGAACTTTTAGGTCCATATTCACCAGGAATATTCATCTGATGTTTTCTTTTTTAATTATGCATCTTCCTGATTTTGTATCCCAAGAACACACAGTGAAGGATGGACAGTCTCCTCAATATATGATGTAAAAACTGGACATCCATATGCAAAAGAAATAAAATTAGACCTTCTCTAACACCATATTCAAAAATAAACTAAAAATGAACATAACCTGAAGCCACAAACTCATAGACCACATGGAAAAAAACTTCCTGTCATTGATTCAGAAATGATTTCTTTGAATTTAATAGAAAAAAGCACAGGAAAAAAACTATGTGCAATTATATATCTGACATAAGTTCTATCCAAAAGTATAAATAACTCATGCAACTCAATAGCAAATAACAAATGATCTGATAAAAAGGGCAAAAACTGGATAGGTTTTTCTTCAGAAAACACACACATGGAAAACAGAGCCTAAAAGGGTTCTCAACATTACTAATTATCAGAGGAATTCAAATCAAAATCATGATGAGATATCACCTCCCACCACTTAAAATGGCTGTTATCAGCAAGACATATAACACATATTGGCAAGAATGTGCTGAAAAGGGAATCCTTTTAGGGTGTGGTAGGATTGGTTACTCAATAAATTGAAAAATAAAGCTATCATATCATCTGGTGATCCCACTTCTTGTTATTTATTCAAAGAAGTAAAATTACTATGTTAAACACATGCTGATTGTAAGATTATTTATAATAGTGTAGATTTGTAAAAGAATTTAATGACCATAGATTGATGAATGTATAAAGAAAATGTGTATACATAAAACTGAATTTTATTCAGCTTTGAAAAGAAGGAAATTCTGACATTTGCAACAACATGGATGGGCCTGGAGGACATGATGCTAAGTGGGATAAGCCAGATGCAGAAAGACAAATGCTGCATGATCTCATTTACATGTGGGATCTAAAATACCCAAGCTCTTGAAAGCAGAGAGTAAAATAATGGGTCCCAGGATGCGGGAGGAGAGGGAAATTGGGTGATGTTTAAAGTGTACAGAATTTCAGGTGTGCAGGTTGAATGAGTTCTGGAGATCTAATGTACAGCAATGTTCCTGTATTTAATACTGTGTTATAAAAGTGATTTTTGCTGAAAGGGTAGATCTTAGATATTCTCATCTCACACACACACACACTCCATTTAAAAAAAAATGTATGTGAGATGATAGATACACAAATTACCTTGATCATGATGAGCATTTTACAATGTGTATCTGATATGGTTTGCAACTTGTCCTGGCCTGAATCTCGTGTTGTATTATAATCCTCAATCCTGAAGCTGGGACCCAGTGGGAGAGGCTTGGGTCAGGGGGTGGGTCTTTCATGAATGGTTTAGCACCGACTCTTGGTGCTGTTCTCATAATATTGTGTGAGTTATCATAAGATCTGTTTGTCTAACTGTGTAGACCTCCCTCTCTTCCTGTGGCCCCTGCTCTGGCCATGTGACGTGTCTACTACTATTTGTCTTCTGCTATGGTTCTAACTTTCCTGAGTATCACCAGAAGGAGAAGCCACTACACTTCCTGTACAGTCTGCAGAAAAATGAGCCAATTAAGCATCTATTTTTTTGTTTCAAATTACTCAGTCTCAGGCATTTCTTTATAGCAGTGTGAGACTGGACTAACACAATATCAAAACATGAAGTGGTGCACCTTAAACATATACATTTAAAAATATTTCAGTTGTACCTCAGTAAAACTGAAAAAATTAAAGTTACTTTTATAATAAATAAATACCATGCTCATGGATAGGAAGAATCAATATTGTTAAAATGGCCATACTGCCCAAAGCAATTTATACAGTCAATGCTATTCCCATCAAGCTACCATTGACTTTCTTCACAGAGCTAGAAAAAACTACCTTAAACTTCATGTGAAACTAAAAACAGCCCGTATAGCCAAGACAGTCCTAAGCAAAAAGAACAAAGCTGAAGGCATTATGCTACCTGACTTCAAATTATACTATAAGGCTACAGTAACAAAAACAGCATGGTACTGGTACCAAAACAGTTATATAGACCAATGGAACAGAACAGAGGCCTCAGAAATAACACCACACATCTACAACCATCTGATCTTCAACAAACCTGACAAAAACAAGCGATGGGGAAATGATCCCTATTTAATAAATGGTGCTGGGAAAACTGGGTAGCCATATGGAGAAAACTGAAACTGGATCCTTTCCTTACACCTTATACAAAAATTAACTCTAGATGCATTAAAGACTTAAATGTAAAACCTAAAACCACAAAAACCCTAGAAGAAAACATAGGCAGTATCATTCAGGACATAGGCATGGGCAAAGGCTTCATGACTAAAACACCAAAAGCAATTACAACAAAAGCCAAAATTGACAAGCAGGATCTAATTAAACTAAAGAGCTTCTGCACAGCAAAAGAAACTATCATCAGAATGAACAGGCAACCTACAGAATGGGAGAAAATTTTTGCAATCTATCCATCGACAAAGTTCTAATATCCAGAATCTACAAGGAACTTGAACAAATTTACAAGAAATAAAACCAAACAACCCCATCAAAAAGTGGGTGAAGGACATGAACAGACACTTCTCAGAAAAAGACATTTATGCAGCTAACAAACATATGAAAAAAAAAGCTCATTATCACTGGTCATTAGGGAAATGCAAATCAAAATCACAATGAGACACCATCTCATGCCAGTTAGAATGTTGATCATTAAAAAGTCTGGAAACAACAGATGCTGGTGAGAATGTGGAGAAATAGGAACACTTTTACACTGTTGGGGGGAGTGTAAATCAGTTCAACCATTGTGGAAGACAGTGTGGAAATTCCTCAAGGATCTAGAACGAGAAATACCATTTGACCCAGCAGTCCTATTACCGGGTATATACCCAAAGGGTTATAAATCATTCTACTATAAAGACACATGCACATGTATGTTTATTGCAGCACTATTTACAATAGCAAAGATGTGGAACCAACTCAAATGTCCATCAGTGATAGACTGGATGAAAAAATATGGCATATGTACACCATGAACTACTATTCAGCCATAAAAAAGAATGATTTCAGGTCCTTTGCAGGGACATGGATGAAGCTGGAAGCCATCATCCTCAGCAAACTAACACAGAAACAGAAAACCAAACACCACATGTTCTCACTCATAGGTGGGAGTTGAACAATGAGAACACATAGACACAAGGAGGGGAACATGACACACTGGGATATGTCGGGGAGAAAAAGCATTAGGAAAGGGGAGGGAGAGCATTAGGACAAATAACTAATGCACGAGGTACATCAAACTTAGATGACAGATTGATAGGTGCAGCAAACCACTATGGCACATGTATACTTATGTAAGAAACCTACATGTTCAGCACATGTATCCCAGAACTTAAAGTAAAATTTAAAATAGAAATAAATAGTAATCAAAAATAAAAAAAGAAATACATACTTCATATTTTCTTAACAAAAATGAAACAATATAGGAAAACCTACACTAATATATTTGAAACAGCTTTGCCTATAATATTCATAAAATGGAAACAAATTTAAAGTACATCAACAGGAAAATAAATCAAAATATTCTCATTTATTTACTTAATGGACTGACTCAGATATAAAATCTTTCTCCTTCCTCTCTCTCTCTCCATACGTACGTGAAAACTTTGAGGTTTCATATCAGAGTCAGTCTACGAATTGAATAAATGACAATATGTTGATCTAATTTTATACATTAAATAGTATGAATTAATCTCAAAAATATCAAAGCCCCTTTCAAAAAAAAGGTCTATAATGTTTGATTCCATTTATATAAAGTTCAAAACAGAAAAAAAATGGATCTGTAGTGTCAGAAATCAAAACATTTCCCCTTGCAGGAGTTGACCGCAAGAACAGGGAAAACCCGCGATGTGGGGATGGACTTGTTCTTCAGCTACCTTAGGTATTGAGAACAAGGGTATTCACATTTGCCAGAAACTCTCTAGTGATACATTTCAGATCTATGCATATTTTATTATATGTAAATTTTATCTCATAAAAACAAAAAATAAAAAACTGTAGAATAGTTTAAAATTCAGTAAATAATAAAATTAATATTAAAACCCTATCCAAAATATGAACATTATTATATGAATTAATAAAATGCATTCAAGTATATGTACTAAAATTAAATCCCAGAAATCAAAAAGACAAAGGTAACATCTTAAACTTAATAATTAATATGCATGCATTTCATAGAGAAGAAAAAAAGTCAAGACATGAGGAACATATATTCCTTTTTTCCAATCAAATGTAATTAAATTATTTATACAATATTTTAACCTGTGTCATTAGTATAAATTACTAATATTTTGTGTGATATTACAACTGATAACAACTTTTAAAGAAAAAAAAGATGCTTGAGAGCACGTGAACTAAATTGAATGTATTCTCAAAGTTGGTCCAACTATTACACTTCAAAGTTCTAATAATACCCTGGTTTGAGTGGGACTTTCAAAAAATTAATTTTAAGAGATAAATTTAAAAAATAAACTGATAATCTGTAATAAAGAGAAATCAGCATTCCATATCAGAGAAAAATGAAAATTTGCAATACATGTAAAGTCCTGAGAAGAAACCTTGAAGCACGGAAAGGGTCTCATGTATAGTAGGTTGTAATACGTCTATTGTTAAAATTATCACCTTTATGTTGTTTTGAAAAATTAAAGCTAAGCATAATGAAATTAATGTTTTTGTGCTCATCTGGTATAACAGCATGTTGAGAAAATGGAAGAGCCCTGTAACCCTGAGGAGGTGGCTTAATCCAAGGAGAGGCATCAGATTTAAAAATATATAATTAAAATTTCATTGAAAATGGAGAAAGTTTGGTTGTATATATTTATGGGGCACAAAGCTATGTTATGGTTTGTGAATGCAATATGGAATAATTGAATCGAGTTAATTCACATATATATTACCTCAAATCGTCAAATCCTTATCTTTTATGTGACAAGAACATTTGTAATTTTTTCTTGACTATTTTAAAATGACGAATACACTATGTTAAAGCTTAGAAATAGACATCCATTTATGTAAACTATAGAGAACTGTTGAAATCAATTATAGATTACTCTAATTTATATTTAGCTCATCATTAAGTTTAATTCTTTAGAAAATATTTTAGAATTATTTTGTTATAATGTTAAATATAAATGACTACACATGTATGTATAGGCTTGTGTATTTACACATATGTCTGCAGATGTAAATTAATGTCCCCATAGGTATGTAGTTGCTGGTATGGACAGACATTAATAAAACTAGGCCGGGCGTGGTGGCTCATGCCTGTAATCCCAGCACTTTGGGAGGCCGAGGTGTGCAGATCACGAAGTCAGGAAATCGAGACCACACTGGCCAACATGGTGAAACCTCGTCGATACTAAAAATACAAAAATTAGCCAGGCATGATGACGCGCACCTGTAATCCCAGCTTCTCGGGAGGCTGAGGCAGGAGAATTGCTTGAACCTGGGAGGTGGAAGACGTTGCAGTGAGCTGAGATCGTGCCACTGCACTCTCCAGCCTGGCGACAGAGCAAGACTCCGTCTCAAAAAATATTTATAATATGAGCATGATTATATTGCCAAATATAAAATAAAATATCATAATGGCAACAATCAATTTTACCTGTCACCTTGACTAGACCGTAGTCTCATCTATTCAATCACACAGTAGCCTAGGTGTTGCTCCCATGGCATAATACAGGTGTTAGTGGAGCCTGCCATTATTTTTTCCTAAGTCACGAAGAGTGTTCTAGATAATCTAGTTGGGACTGATTCAAAGACAGCATAACAGAAGACGATGGGGCTCCGTGGTGGACGGCAGATGCAGATCTTCCCAGGAATTCCAGCCTGTCTTTCCCGAAGGCCAGTAGTATTGACCTTAAACTGCCTAGCCAGATTCTACAATTATTGTTACCCAGAGCTCACAGCACAATGGAGTGCCCATCCTCAGCTCTTCTCAAAGTCACAGGTGAGAGTCCAAACTCAGATAGTGTGAGAAGCACAAGATCAGCTCTACATCAATATCCCATTGGAGAAAACTAGTATTATTCTCTTCATGGCTAATGTCCACTACATTTTCCAAATGCCTCCATGCACAGAAGACAACAGGAGTGTCCAGACAATGGTGAGTGAGAAAGTCCCCTCAGCCTACCCAGGTCCTGCAGACCCAAGCCCTGGAATTTTGACTACAGAAAACACATCTTCTGTTTTCAGGGAAGAGAAGAAGAAAGGGAACTGTGAGAATCAAGTCTACAGAGATGGAAAATGGATCAGCAGAAAGAGGGTCAGCTGAATCAGTCTGAGTCAGATGGGCACAGTTTTACAAGTTGAGAGGGGACAGCTGTGAAAACCATCAGGTTTTAAGGACCCTGACCCTGGGTGAGCCTCTCTCTTGGCTCCCATCAGAGCTCAAGGCCTGTTCTAATCAGAGATTCCCATGGAGGTCTCTGCTCTGAGTCTAATTGGAAAACACTCTCCAGGTTTCCCTGAGATTCCTCAGGACTCTCATCCTGACCATGAAAGGATTATTTCTGCCCCCAAAGTGACACCCTGGCTTCTGTGGAGGTGAGGGTGTTTCCTCTTGTTACAAAAACAAAGGAACAAAAAAAAACGTTTTACATTTAGAGACATCAAATGTTAATATAGAATTGTAAATCTGGAGAAGTTCCCTGGGGAAATTTGACGATGAGGCTGCCCCAGGCCATGACAGAAAGCCAGCCCTCAGCAGCACCTGCACCTGCCCTGGAGACAGCCCCGTGCACAGTGTCCTGGCGCCCCCTGGTGGTCTCTGGGACCCTTTCAGGGAGGTTTGTGCCTGGGCTCTCACTGACTTCCCCTCGCTGTGTGTTTCACACAGTAATACACAGCCGTGTCCTCAGCTCTCAAGCTGTTCATTTGCAGATACGGTGAGTTATTGGCGTTGTCCCTGGAGATGGTGAATCGGCCCTTCACAGAGTCTGCGTAGTTTGTGTAACCACTATCACCACTAATGTATGAAATCCACTCCAGTCCCTTCCCTGGAGCCTGGCGGACCCAGCTCATGTAGTGGTTACTGAAGGTGAATCCAGAGTCTGGACAGGACAGTCTCAGGGACCCCCCAGGCTGTACCAAGCCTCCCCCAGACTCCACCAGCTGCACCTCACACTGGGCACCTGCAAACACAGAGACAACCTGGTCAGAAACTGCCACATATATTCACTGCTTATCTCACTCACGTCCTCTCAGTGTCTCTAGTTCGCCATAAATCACCTTTTATAATAGCAACAAGGAAAACCCAGTTCAGCCCAAACTCCATGGTGAGTCCTCTGTGTTCAGTGCTGATCACCAGATGGAAATTCCTGGGAATTCTGGGGCTGGGGCTCTTCTCCCAGAGTTGCAGGGTCAGGGCTGGGCTGGTTTTTATCAGCAGACGGAGGGCCCTATTTGCATGTCTCCTACTATATAGCAAGCTCTGTGGTGGGACAGCTGAGGAGAGGGCAGTGCCCAGAGAAGATGAGAGCATCCCAGAAAACATTGGAGGTAATCCTATCTCTCAGGAAAATATAACTTCAGATTATGTGATTGTGCCTTGATGATCAATTAGCAGTCATCATCTTATTTAATGTTTACACATTTGCAGAATATATTCAGTGCAAGTGTCAATGTTACATTTGTAGAGAAGATGAATTACATACATAACAGAGCAGTTGTGCAATGTGTCCAATATCACACATCTGGCCAGAGTTAGCCCTATTACCTGTGTCTGTGCCTCTAAACACTGGAGGAGACTGCTCCCCTGAGACAGCTCCAGGGCGATGTGGGACATGCCTAGTGAGGTTTTCAGGATGTCCCACCTGTCATAACAACTTTATGTGACTTTGCTTTTTCTAGTGTTTACCTGAAATATGCAATCAGTGTTCACATGTGTGTATTTTCAGGAGTCCGTGATTATTCAAGTGTCAATATTCATCTCTTTCTTCCTCTTCCTCAGCCAATATACTCATTTTTTGTTACTGCTTTATTCAAAAATTCAATCCATAGTGAATTCAAATTTATAGTGTACAATTTGGAAAATGTTGGTATATGTGTACAGCCTTTGAATCAGCACTTCAATCATGCTATTAGCAATTAAATTAACCTCTAATTTTTTCTCTCACTTCTCTGTAATTTTATTTCACCATCTTGTTACTCTCACCACACTTTTCTCAGAAAAATTCAGATCTTCTCCATGTTAATTTAGAATAGTTGCATTTTCTACAATTTATACAAATGAAATCACAGGAGATTTACTGTGAATTCTTTAGCTTCCTACACTCAGCACAATTATTTGATAATGTCCTCACATTCTTATGTGACTGAGGCATGCCTTGATTTCAATTGTTCATTGTATTTCAGTATATGAATATTTCTCAAATTGTTTAACAATGCACCAAATAGTGGATATTTGATATTTTGTCTTCGTTTCTGAATTTTATTTAGAAAGCAAATACTAAGCATGGGAATGTAAAAAAAATGAGAAAATGATCTTCTTCTGACCTCATTAATAAGAAACTTGAACAACTACGAAAAATGAACGCTTCAACATATCTGAGTTGATGTCACAGAGAAAAAAACCCTGAAATCTGAGAAATAAGGGCCTGCAGAGAGAACTAGGGTCCATTTATTAGAGTACCTGGAGCAGGTGCCACTCGTTGTATAGTATTGAAGATAGGAAAAAGCTAACCTGGAAATGTTTCATGAGTTGTTGAGGATGTGTGTGCTAAGGGTGTGAGAGTGTGAAACTCCCGGCACTTGCAGGCTTTTCCTACAGAATTGGGGAAATACCCAGACAAGTCACCCACCTGCTGTACTGTGGTGTTGACTGGGGAGGAAGAATAGCAGCTGTGTTCAATGCTGAATCCCCCTTCATGATATGTGGGAGACATTTATTAAATCTTGTGTCCTTCAGGCACTGGTAGAATCAACTAGAACACAAGGAAACAGAGGACACCAAGGAAACTCTACCCAGAATCACCTCCCATCTCTTTCCTGAGGAATGAAGTCCTGAGTCTGTGGGGTAAGGACAGTGGGTCAGAAGCTGAGGACACTGATGAAAAACCACTGTGGCTGGGAAGAGACACTCTGACTTGGAGAAGGGAAGGAACAGGAACACTTGGAAGACCATGCTTCAGAGCCACTCTCACCACCCATAGCTAAGAAGGAGGCTCGGTCAGAAGGTTGGAGAACATCCCCCTGTGTCCAAGCCCCTTCACCCCACAAACAATCACCAAGTAAAAGTGTCAGCAGGATGCACCTGCCACAGATGAAAGAGACAGGCTCTCTCTGGGGAGAGAAATGGGAAGAGCCAAACCGGGACACAAAAGTGGGTATCACTGGAGGAACCTGAACTTTTTGTGAACAGGAGAAGCTGACTTCAACTCTGATAGCCGTGGCAACCATACACTTGAAATCCAACCCTGACTAGATTCATAGAAATGTGGTTAATAAAGGCCCAGCAGAATGTAATGTGTGATCGTCTCCATGAATAAAATAATAAACACAAGAAAATAAGTTACAAGTGAAATGCAAACTGGAATTCTACATGCATTATATTTTCATTAAAAGTGAAAGGCAAATAAAATTCTGTCATTAAAAAAAGATCTTGAGACAATTTATTGTCAGCACATTCATGCTTCAGTGCACATTTTAACAAACTTTCTCTGCTAGTAGCCATGTGATATACATTCAAAACATAAATCTATACGAAGAAATTAAGACTGTACAAAATGAGAAAATCAAGATGAAGTACAGTTTTTATCTTTGTAATTGCTATATTATATAACTGTAAAAGGAATAAAAAATTACATATTATATTTTATAGCATATGTAAGTGCAAACTGGGAATAAACAAGAAAGAGTGGTGAGAAGGAGGAATTCAAAGCACACAGTTACACTGTCTCTGTTCTTCATATCAAGGCCATCACAGTATCTGCATTAGAATCTAATTATATACAATTCTTATAGAATCTAATTGTATACACTTCTTATACAATCTAATTATATACAATTCTTATTGTAAACCTTATGGTAAACAATATAATATTTATAAAAGTGAATTAGATTATATGTTAATAGAGAAATAAACGTCATTGTGAAGTGCTAATTTAAACAAGATAACAGAAAAATAATATTAGTTTAAAAATAGAACTTACTATAGTTGATTTAAAAAAACAAGCCCCAACTAGAAGCTATGTATTAGAAAATTACAGTACATATTCACAAATGTAAAAACTAAAGATGAGAAAACATGGATTATGAAAATGTTAACCAAAATAAATCTATAGTAGCTGTGTAAAGTTAAGAAAAAATAGACATCAAAAAAGACTTTTAGGACTTAACAGGGATATTACATAGGATAAAGTTACCAGTTTTTTAAAAGATGCCAAAAATACTTAACAAGTATAGAATAGATGAAGAATGCACCATTCTTTGTGATTTACAAAACAAACATGATAAAAGAAGTAAAGATGTCAGTGAGACCGTGCACGTAAGGGTGCATGTAAAAACTTCCTCTTGAATTTCTCCCTGTTGCCACCCACACCAACCCCAGGCCTGGAGTCTGCTGGCCCAAGCTGATGCTGCAATCTGTGAAGGTGAATCCAGAGTCTTTGCAGGAGGGGCTCAGTGAACCGCTGGGCTGTACAATTTTTCCCCCTCAGACTCCACCAGTGAACTTCACATAGGACTTCTGCAAACACAGAGAGAATGGACTGAGAACAGCCGCATGTGGAGCAGCCCCAGCTGGACCTGATTCACAAGGGCCACTAATACTGAGGGTGATGAGAAGGGAAGCCCAGATCAGTGCAGATCCCACGGTGTGGACACTGAGGAAGGGCACACACATGGGATGGCTCCTCACCGGGGCCTGAAGGAACAGGGGATGAGCTGCCTTTCATGAGGAGGGGAGGGGACATATTTCCATGTCTTTCTTTTTGTGGTCCTGGGTGCACCGCCCGGCATTGCTCATCTGTCCTCTGTGTCTCCATTTCAGGGAGGGCAGGGTCAAAGGATTCCCGGGTCTGGAGGCACAGGGTTAATCTGCCAATTACTCTTTCTTATTCTCCAGTGTGGACACTATTCAGGTATCTTCATAGTAGAAAACATTATCATCAAATACATCCAGTAAGAACATAAAAATACATTTCCAGAGAAAACAGACATCTCTCTGTAATCAGTACACTTAGAGCTGGAAACCACTGTTCCTGACCATGTGGCAAAGTTGAGTTACAATGAAAATAATGCAGATCTACACCTTGTTAGGGAGGGGGTTTATAATTATCATTATCTGGAGATCACTTTTCACAACATATTTCAACATCAGATATATGGACTTGTGTCAGGAAACAGTCAATGTGGACATATGTGTACTTATCTGAGTGAAGAGTTCACATGGGGACGTGTTTGCTTGTCTGAGACAAGAGTAAACGTGAGGAAATGTCTGTTTTCTGAGGAAAGAGTAAATGTAAGGACATATGTGGTAGTCTGAGGAAAGAGTCCATGTGGGGACATGTGTGTTTGTCTGATGGAAGAATCCACATGAGTAAAGGTGTGTTTGTCTGACAGAAGAGCCCACATGTTGACAGGTGTGTGTACCCATTTGAGGGTAAATGAGCATTCAGGGACAGGGTATGCCTGAACTCAGCTGACGTTTGGGAAAAATCTTTCTCAATCTAGGAAAGAAAAGGAATCCTCTGGGTTACTTGCTTGTCAGGAAGAGAAAACCTGGGTCAAGTAGAAAATTGATTTTTTTCAAAAAAATATCTTTAGTAAATGGAAACATCTTATATGTAAATGAGGAAAATTACTTCCTTCTTTGTTGCATGCATCTCATAATATCCCCACACTCCCAAATATGTTATTAGATAATTTTGTACAGTCTGCATTTTATCCAGGGGTTAATGAATTCCTAAATATATTTTTAATTGTGTATATTTAGGTTTATATTGTCCATCACAAAATTATGAGCTGGGACAAATTAATTGTGTCTTGTCTCAACCATTGCATATCACTAAAATAGTCTTAACTCTTCTTAAACAAGGCCTGTTTTACTTATTTCACACCCACTCTCTAAATTCCTGGAATATCCTCTCTGTTTACCTGAGTATAGTTTTGACTTTTACAGAATTTCAAATAAATGAAACTATACAGTGCAATTGAAATGACTTCACTGAAGAAAGTGGAAAATGAGGTTCCTGAAGTAAGCAACTTTGAAAATGAGGTGGTTCTCTAAGTTTAAATTGTAAAGAAATCACACATAAGTACTCTATCTAGTAGATAAACATGTTTCCTACAAGGGTACAGCTTCTCATTTCTGAAACCGCTATGTATGTGTCCTGAAATCGTGCAACTAAGTAATCAAATGGCATGTGGTTAGATGGGATTCCTCACTTTGTAGTGGATGGTTATGGACAGTCAAGAAAGGAAGGTTATAAAGGTCCATGTGGCAGCATAGTTGGGTGGAGAGACCAGTGTGTGCTCATTTTTAATGTAATCAAGTTACAGAAGATTAGGTACATAGTTTCAATGGGTCCATAAACATGATTCATATAAACATGCTCATTTACTAGAACAGAAGGTTGAGAGGTCCCAGAAGTACTTATACCACATTAGCAACACACATACCCATTATCACAATATTTTATTTTAACACTATTCTTTAAAATCAGAAACAAGCAATCTTTATATACATGGCTAATTCTATGTATGAAAAAGGTGATAAAGAGACAAGCTTAGAATCCATTTTAATATCAGGAAACAGGGAAGTGTTCAAAAACAAAAGGATCAGCTTTGCTGTAAGGATGCAGGATCCAAACTAAATGAGCTCCCAGCACCTAATAAAGCTGTGGAGATTTGAACAAGAAAATGAATAATGTAGCATGGATCTTCTTCAGAGTATGAAACAGACATCCATAAACCAATATGGATGTTAATAGATGATTAAACAAAGAAACGATGGGAAGAAGAACACGTCTTCTTGTAGAAGTATTCCAAATATCTCAGGCAGATATTCCTCCAATCAATAGGTGAAGGCTAAACATTCATGAGTTGATTGTGTCCTGAGATTAGAGACATGGAATAAATAATCACTATTAGTGTATTTTATAATGAGACTTCAGATATAATGCCAAATACATGATCTATGAATGAATAATTTTTTATGTTTTTTGTCTAAATTTGTGCACACACACACACACACACACACACACACACATATTTTTTGAAATACCCACTGATAAGAGAGAAAAAGGCAACCACAGACTGGGAGAAAATACTTCCAAGTCATATATTTGTTAAATCAATTCTTTCAATTTGTTAAATGACTTTTATAATCAATATGCAAGTAAACTTACAACTAATGAAAAGAAAACAATGGAGATAAAAATGAACCAAATATCAGGAAAGGCATCTCAGCAAAAATTATATAAAAATTGTTTAATATAAATTTTTTTATTTGGGACATGTGCATTTAAATAAATATTAGATGCCATTACTCACCTATCAGCATGGCTAAAACTCACAATACTCATGATGATAAATGGTAACATGAATGTGGAAAAACAAGAAATGTCATGCATTGATGGTGGGGATTCAAAACGTTACATGCACAAAATGAGATTTTTTGGCATTATTTAAATAGAGATAAAAGTAGAGTTAAAATGTGAACTTGTGCTTGTGTTCCGAAGTATTTACAACGTTGATTCAGAAATTGATGTTTACAAAGATTGATTCAGAGGAAGTTCTGTATCAGATTTGTTAATGTGATTCATTCTACAATCCCTGAAATTTGCTTGCAGAATAAATGTTGTATGAAAAATATCTCAAATAACTAAAATCCTGTCCACTCAAGCCCTTGTCCAGGGGCCCATCGCACCCAGTGCAAGTAGCAGTAGGTGAAGGTGTATCCAGAAGCCTGGCAGGAGAACACTGAGGCCCCAGGCTTCTTCACCTCAGCCCCAGACTGCACCAGCTGCACCAGGAAGTGGGCACCTGTGGGGAGGACACAGGATGGATGAAAGCCCCCTTGACTGGACTCAATCCCCTCCTCATTACTGGGACCTGGGAACCCCTTACCTGTGGCTGCTGCCACCAAGAAGAGGATCTTGCAGGTCCAGCCAATGGTGAGATGTACTCTCAGGGGATTCTCTCAGGTGATTCTCTCAGGGCACAGAACATATTTACCTCAGTGGATATCAGTATATTTGCATATTCATAAGACAAAGCCTTTCTTAACTCAAAGCCCAATCCGTGATAAGAAAGGGAAGATAAATGACACATCAGCCTTACAAGAGTGAGATGAAGATGGTCGAAGTCCTAATCCTGCTTGAGGAAATGCATGCCCTGCTCCATTTACAAACATTTGTGGACAGACATCCTTTCACTGAAGAATAAGCCCGTATAGAACAGGCTCCTCACTGTAAGCCTATATTTGATTAGCATAGAGACCACCTAGATCATTTTTGGAACCATCACTCTCCATCACACTGAGCAGGTGCCTTGGTCTTTTCCTGGACCCATCAGGCACCAGCACAGCTCATTGGTGACTCTGAGAAAGTGACGCTTATGTCCCACATGAGTGTCCAGGAGGGACCTCTGAGATCTACTGGGTGCTCCTGAGACACTGTCTCCAGCACCTGACTCATGTCCTGATCCCCCAGGATCTTCAATTCTATTGAACACTGTTGGTTTACAGATTTGCCCTGTGATGCATAATTAGAGCTGATTTTCTCATCTCACAGACAATGGGAATCAGAAGAAGATAAAGCAGGAGTTTGGAGTCCATTATGAACTCTCTACTCCCAAAGTAATTGTCAAGGAATTTGTGTTTAGAACAATTTTGGGTTATTTTTGAACTCCACTTATTAGTATTTTGTCAAGTATTTACATACTTTCAGTTCATATCCACAGACCCTCACCTTTCCATATTGATTTCTGACTCACTTGGTCTGTGCACCTGCCACACTCTCAGATCCACTACTGCCCTGTCACTCATACAATGTAAGCAACATTACTTAACACTGAAATCTGAATTTCTTATTCATAGGAATGAAGTTTCTTCAACTAATCTGTACCCATAGAATTAGTAAAAACATGCCCATCCTTCATATTCTCACTACTAAGATATTATAGTTCTAGAAACCCACTTCAAAAAATAGTTCTCAGTGCCTTAAGTTATATGAATGGTTTTGATGTGATAGAATATTTAAAGCACGTCAGCGACTTTTTGAACAGTTATTTTAGATGTTTTTTCCTGACAAAGGAAAACCCAGGCCCTGAGAGGAAACTTCCACCCCAGCTGTGCACCTGCTCCAGGGCTGGAACCTGTGCTTGGTGGCTCCCAAGTGCCCCCTTTCACCCAGGCTCTTGCCTTGCAATGAGGTTTCTGTCGGGGCTCACAGATATTTTCCTTCAGAGTCTCTAGCCCAGCATGAAGTGGCTGTGTCCTGATTTAGAATTCTCTGCCAGTGACACCATATGCTGCCGACACCATGTCTTTTAACAATTGATTAGCCTCACTAAACCTACTGAGGGATACCCACAGAAAAGATTCTATGACTCAGAAGGGAGTCCCTTTTCTGAAGCTTCACATTTCCTGAATCAGTGGACACATAATGAATACAAAAACTTGTAGGATTTGGGGAATGCCTAGTTTCTTCGTTGGGCTCCTGCAGTTGAATGTTGCATCTGAGAATATCTGCAGGTACAGATACATTCAGAATAAAGACACCTTTGTATATGCTATTCCAATAACACATATTCTCCTTTCTTACTATTTTCTAGCCTATAAAAGCGCCTCCTACACAGACACTAGGCCTAGGTTTATGGCTTTTTTCTCTTAGCGATCTAAGGCAAACAGAATACAAGTGGAGACTTGGGAAGTGCATGAATATTTTTTCTCAGCTAGGAACCCTGAAAATGCCCCATGATAAAAGAATCTGAGGTCAATGGATTTGCCAAGACCTTGTCTTCAAAAAATTTATGTCAGAGGCTTCAGATTTTCCTACTGTCCTTGTCTTTTTCTCTGCCATTGTCTTTCAGTTTCCCTATGTTCTCCTCCTCAGATAGAGTCTGTGCACTGCCACACTTTCATCTTTAACCCAGATTATACTGGTGAGAAAACAAAGTGTGCATCCTGGAAGTATTATATGTTCTTACAATTGATTCTTAATAATTCAATCATCCTTTTTTTCTCTGGGCTGTGACCTATATGCAGAGTCTCCAGAAATGAAACTGATGCTTTCCCTTTTCTGGCTATAATATTATAGGATTATTTCAGTATCGGCTAATTTTATCCACTTTCATGATAAAGGAAGGCTGCTGGGAGGGTCTGTAATGGAGATGGACTACCTTACCCAATACAGATAAGGTTCTAGATATGTCTTTCCCCTGGATGGTCTATCTGGAGAAATGTACGTGTGTATTTCTCAGAGATTAGGTCTTTGGATGATTTATCCAGGAAAGGATCTATGTCGATTTTCACTCGAAGAACCTGGAGGTTCCTGGAGCAAATAAGCACAAGAGTGTGAGGTGTGGGCCCTCTAAGATCTCTCACCCTCACACTAGTTCAGACATGCCCTTTATGTTTACATAGTTCAGATTTACATATAACATACCACACAGCCAGGCCCATCTAAATTGCCACATGCTCATTTAAACTCATCGGAGCAGCAGCTGAGTGTAATCATCACATTGAACTCAGAGAAACCTGGGTCCAATACACTGTTTATTATAGCTCAGAGAAGCATCACTGAGTCCCTTGAGTGGATGTTTCTTCCCTGAAAGAGCTTCACTACCAAGTATACTAAAGAGTTGCTATGGAGCCACTGTGGGGTTGGATTTCTTTCTGTCAGCCTGTCATGCAGGGTGTTTTGAGTGATGCAGACCTTTATACTTAGATGTTAATCATTCCCAGTATTGTTGAAATGGCTGGCCACCCCCTGTCCTCTTTCTCCCCTCCACTCACCTGAATGTCTCCAAAAACCCCATGAACCTAAGGATTCTCTTTTCCATGGATGACTCTGAGGATTCTCAATCTGGTCAGTGCCACAGTCAGAGGCAGCTAATGGAGGATTCTCAGTCCGCTAATATGTTGAGCCCATAATTTAGGATACATATCCAAGAGTGGCCAATTCATGTCAGTGCCAATCCACATTTAATTCAAGGGGCATGATTTTCAGTGCATTGAAGTTTAAAAGCTTCATCATTCTTAATAGAGGCACAAACTGAATGGTTTGCTGAAGAAGTGAGTTCATGGTTAGAAGAAAGCTGACTGCACCCAGGCAGAGTCTCTTTAAGTAAAACACCTGAAATGTGATGTCCTGAAACCTTGTGAAAATTCATTTCCTTGAGTAAAAAAACAGGAAAGCTATTCTCAAATCATTGGGAGAAAACTTATCAGAAATTTTATGAACACACCAGTTGAATTACAGTAAGTCAATCCTTGGGTTTATGTTTCACAACTCAAGAAGCAATAAAGAAATCTACATAATTGGAAGGCTGCTCCAACAGAGAGAATTTTGAACTATTTAATCAATAGACCAGTATTCGTTCAAAGACACTCTCCTATGGAATCTGCAACTTAAACAGATCTCTGCAACCTGGAAAAATTTTCTCACTTATTTTTCTCTAGACATCCATAAATGCAAAAACACATTTTGTGTGTATATGCATGAGTGATCTATAGAAATACTTTGCATATTAATGAAAGTTTGGAAAAATGATAACTTCATCACTTATTGTGAACTCACACTTCACTGGTTTCCAAAATTCTCCACCTGTGTCATGGGGCAATGGGTGCCTCTGAGTATATGCTGATTTTCAGACTGAACATGTTCTCCACTCCTCACTTGACTTCTTGGTTTCTCACTCACACTGATGTCTCTGTGAATGAAAACCCAACACTGATATCCAGCAGATTTTCCTCTTACAAGATTCATATTCTCTCTATCTCTTTCTTTCTCTGCATGTCTCTAACTCCCTATTTTTCTGTGCCATTACTATTTATTACTGAATCATCCTGAATCCTGTCAACAGACTCCATCTCACATTCTGCAAATATTCTGCCTTAAAGATAATTAGGGGCAAACTCATCCTTGCCCAAGGTGGGAAAACTTTCTGGACTTCCACTAGGTTTATTAGAGCCTCATATGAGAACCATGATCAAACACTATGTGTTTTTGGATTATACCTCAAATCTAAAACTGTTCTTCATAGTGGCTATGACATTCTACATTCCCATCATTACCATTATGCAAAACAGTGTGGTGGCTTCTAAATAAATTAAAACAGACATACCATATGACCAGCGATCCAGCTTATGGAAATATACCCAAATGGGATGAAATTACCACCTTGTGAAGATACCTGCTCTCCTGTGATTATTGTAGCATTATTCACAACAGCCAAGATATGGAAACTAAGTGTCTGTCGATGGACAAATGGATAAAGACAATGTGGTATGTGTACACAATATAACATGATTCTGCCTTATAAAATAAAGAGATGCTGCCATTTTCCACAAGATGAATGGATTCCCACCACCTCTAGCAATGCATTTTACCCATTTCAGCCCCTCCCTGGGAGCTGGCAGATCCAGGCCCAGTAGTAAGGACTGGTTGTGATGGAGTGGCCAGAAACAGTGCAGGTGATGCAGAGGGGCAGTGCAGGCTCTTCAGGTCCAGGGCTGACTCCTGCAGCTGCTCCTGGGACAGGGCATGTGAGTACATGGGGAATCAGTCCCTGTCAGTCACATGTACCTACACTCACCCCATAGACCCACATCTGAGACACTCACCCTGGGGGAGCCGTCACCAGGCACAGGAGAAGACAGACATAATGCCATCTTCTTCGTGAACACAACTCTGCATTCCCCAGATACCTTAGCCCTGCCTGAGGGGAGAGCTGTTAGCTTCCACAGTCCAAAAGCATTTTATACCCTGGAGCCTAAAGGATAGTTTGGATGTGGCAAGGCCTTGTACTTATACGAGAGAAGGACATAGGTCTGACTCCCTGTGGGTTTGAATATGTTTTATTGTTGTCTGTCTGTTTTCAGGTTGACATGAAGCACTTCCTTGCCAAAAACTACAGTCATGACATTTAATAAAATTTGCTTTATTCCTATTTTCCCACCTGTGACATTTGACCTTCTGTATCGAGTGAGCAATGTGCATACCTTACAGGAGAAATTACAAAATAATTCTCTAAGTCATCAGTATCACACGAATGCTACCCTGTCCTTACTGCCAAATATCTTCTGGAAAAATTTAAGTAAAAATAAATGACAAGTTGCATTCTTAAATTGAAAGTAGCATAACATTCAGAAACTCATGAAATCCCTTTGCCAAAGGTACTCCCACTAGAACTTAACAGCCCATGGTCTGCTTCCTCAAGGGCAAAGACAATATCACCCTATGACTTGATTCATCAAAAGCCCATGTATTTTCCATTTTACCTTCAGCATTATACTCTGATTTATCACATGCCAATACAGCGAAGTATTTTAGGGGATCGATGTGCTATGCAGAAATATTCAACAGGATGTTAAAAATGTCCTAAATAGCTTCTTTACTGCCATCAACTTGTAAATTATTTATTTTCCAAGAGACATCGGAGAAAAACAGTCACAAACATTGTAAAAGGGGCTAATTACAATTAACAACAAATGCAGCAGTGACTCCAGGATGTCAATCCATAGGTTTATGAGTGAAAATGAGGTGGGTTACATAAATTGTTTTGAGAGTATTTTCCTTGCTTGTAGAGTCAATACCAAGGTTGGCATCAATATAGGGTTAAACAGTGATTTTCTGGGAAGATGTCCTTGTAGAAGTGATTTTTATAAGGTCATGGTGGCTTCTATCAAAGGTTGTGGTTAAGCAGAATCCATTCATGGTCGTTCTTGTTATCAGGAGTATGTGCATGGGAAACCTCCTTCATGGTCATTCCTAGTTCCATTTGTCAGGGTTTTAACACAAGTGGATCTATTTTGATTCTGACAACTTTCACAGCCTCTTTCTAACACTACTGGTGAGGAAGGTGACTCACTCTGTGGTACTTTGCACAGCACAGGATAAATTTCACATCCACATCCCATTTTGACCACACAAGCTCATCCTCTTCACTACTGTTGGCCACTTGCATTCCCAGGTGAGTCTCCACATGACACACTGGAGGGTGCTGAGCAATGGGAGAGAGGAAAGTCCTATCAGCCTCTCCCATATGGCTGCAGGAGCCACAGCCTGAGCCCCACCTCAGCTGCAGGGAATGGGCTTGAGACCTCGAGCTTTGGCAGCAAGAACCACATCCCCACTTTACAGGAAGCACAAACAGCACAAGGAAGAGCAAGAACAACAACAACAAATAAAAAGAAATAGAGTGGGCTAAGAGCAAAAGGGGCCCCAGATCAGTGCTGATACTAAGTTGCATACTTTAGTGTCAGGAGAAGGGTCAGGCATGAAAACTGTGAGGTTCTACATGACACTGACCCTGGCCCAGACTCTATTGGCTGTGATCACAATTCCTAAAGACCGTCCTAGTCAGGGAATCTCACTGAGGTTTCTGTTCTGAGTCTGACTGGAGAAGACTCACCAGGTATCCCTGAGTTTCCTCAATACTCTGATCCTGGTGACAATGGTTGAGGGCTTTTCATCTCCGTAAGCATCAATCTGTGTTTTGTGCATAGGAGAATAGGTTTTCATATTAAAATAATCATTTTAAAAATATGTAGAGATGACATTGGTAAGCACAGAATTCTGAACTTAGAGAGATTCCCTAGAGAAACTCTAAAAAGATGAAGTCCCACATCCTGACAGGAAACCAGCCTCCATCTGCAACTTGCCTCTGGGGATGACTCTGATCAGTGGGTTCTGTGCGCCCCCCGCAGCTGATTTCCCCCAAGCATTCTGCAGAGAGGTTTGTGTCTGGGCTCACACTGACTTCCCCTCACTGTGTCTCTTGCACAGTAATACACAGCCATGTCCTCGGCTCTCAGGCTGTTCATTTGAAGATACAAGGAGTTCTTGGCATTGTCTCTGGAGATGGTGAATCGGCCCTTCACGGAGTCTGCATAGTATGTGCCACCACCAGCACCAATAGCTGATACCCACTCCAGACCTTTTCCTGGAGCCTGGCGAACCCAGTGCATAGCATAGCTACTGAAGGTGAATCCAGAGCCTGCACAGGAGAGTCTCAGGGACCCCCAGGCTGTACCAAGCCTCCCCCAGACTGCACCAGCTGAACCTCACACTGGACACCTGCAAACAGAGAGACACAAAGGTCAGAAATTGCCACACATCACATACCCACTGTTTCTCTCATTCATGCCCATTCACACTCAATATCTCTAGTTCTCCATGAATCACCCTTTAATATAGCAACAAGGAAAACCCAGCTCAGCACAAACTCCATGGTGATTCCTGTGTGTTCAGTCCTGATCACTGAATGGAAACACCTGGGAATCCCAAGTGTTTCCCAGGGGCTCCACTCCCAGAGCTGCAGGGTCAGGGCTGGGCTGGTTTTCATCAGGAGAGGGAGGGCTCTATTTGCATGTCACCTACTATATAGCAAGCTATGGGGTGGGACTCCTGAGGAAAGGGCAGGGCCCAGAGTAGATGAGAGCGTCCTGGGGGATTTTGATGACAATGATTGTGTTTGGGAAAATGCTGTCTTAATGTGAAATTGTTGTGCGATAAACATTTAACAACTATCATATTTTTAATTATTTTTACCTATGTGTATAAATGATGTTATTTAGCAGTCAGTGGTTTCTTTGTTTACAGATGTAAAAGTGAACCCACACATGGAGGGGCTATGTATGTGTCTAAGGGCTTATGTCTAGCATGAGTGAGTCCTAGTACCTGGGCCTATGCTCCTCACAGCTGGCCTCAATTGCTCTCTTAACCAACTATTGGACAGAGCTAAATGGGCCTAGTGTGGTTTGCAGAATCCACTTCCTGCCACGAGAACCTGTGTGATTTTGCTGCATTTACCTAAAAATACGGAAACATCTAGGCATCAGGCAGATAAATTTTTGGTGTATCTGATATTTAATGTATTCATTTGTTCCTTCTTATCATCCCTTTTTTGTCTAAAATTTCACTTGTTTACTTGTAATACATTTTATGAGTTTTAATTGACAGATGATAAAATTCACATATTTAACCTGCACAATAGTAAACTTTGATAAAGAAAATCTCTATTTTCAAGAAGGTGACAAGTCAACTCACCTCAGAATTCCTCTTGCTCTTTTACAGACATATTTTTGTTTTTCTCCTCTTTTCTTCTACCATTTCTTTATAAAAGTACTGATGTTTTCATATTTCTTTAGACTAGTTTTTATTCTCTAGAATTTATAAGAATGAAATAATATAGTATGTACTCTTATCTATTTGGCTTATTTTTCTCAGTAGAAATACTGAGAATTAAACCTTTTATGTTGTATTGTTTATTTTTTAATAAATAATAGGTAGCATTTCAGCAAACAAATGTAGCATAATTTGTTTTTCTAAGTTGCTAATTGGTATTCAAACTTTTCATTACTTTGGGTCTTACTAATAAATCTGCTACTCAATTTGGTAATGTACATAGATGATAAATTATATATAAAATATATTATTTTTGCAACAACAATAACACATAAACAAGAGAATGTGCTATTTGGCAAATTTTCTTTAGCATGTCAAATAATTGAAGTTATGAAACAAAAAACAAACCTGTAAACCAAAGAGTATCTGAGACTAATCTCAATAGATTTAGGAAGTTCATTTTCCAAGATTAAGGACATGCCTGTGACACCGCCTCAGGGAGTCCTGATGATGTGTGCCCAAGCTTGTGGGCACAGCTTGGTTTTATACAATTTAGGGAGGCATGAGACATTAATCAATATATGTATATAAGATGTACATTGATTTAGTTCAGAAAGGCAGGACAACTTGAAGTGGGGAGAGGGCTTCTAGATCATAGGTAGGTTTGAGAGAAATGGTTGCATTATTTGAGTTTCTGATTAGCCTTTAACTGAATGCACAATTTACAGGAATAGTCACGTAGGCCTTAATCTGGCTTAGTGAAACAATAGAGCAAAGGGAGCAATCAGATATGCATTTGACTTACATGAGCAGAGAAATGACTCTGTCTGTCTTTGGCCCACAAGGATTTTACTTGTGGTCAAATTTTGAAGGAGGTCTGTAGCTTTTAAAAACCTTAGTAGCTATCATTTTAGTGAAATAATGGAGATGGATTTGCCCTAAACAGTTTTCAGCTTGACTTCCCTTCGGCTTAGTGATTTGGTGGTCCCAAAGGTTTATTTTCCTTTCAGGAACGTGGAAATCTTGAAAGAAATGAGTTCTTGTAGAGAGAAATGAAGCCATAGTGTTAGCTAAACTGAGGCCAAGGCTGCCACATGAAATATAGCCTATTACAAGACAAAGCTACAAACGTGTTGGATTGCTTAAATTCCAGTGTGGTAAACGTGTTGTCATGTAAAATTCTCAGGAACCACATACTGAAGGGCACTGATAAAGTGAATTAAATATGGCCTGAGAAGGACTCCGTACTTCTGTGTTTGAGTCCTTCTGGACAAACTGTAACCTACCTGAATAGGTGGACAAGATTGAAAAGCCAACTTCAGCGCATGAGCCTGTAACAATAGCGGAGTCTTGGCCAATTCCAGCAGCCATACCTCAACCACTCATACACTCTTGAGTGTGCACATTTTGTTTAAATAAGACAAAAGCAACCTGTAACCAATCCAGCTGTTTCTGTACCTCACTTCTGATTTCTGTACATCATTTTTCTAATCTATAAACCTTCTTCCACCACGTGACTGCACTGAAGTCTCTTTGAATCTGCTGCGATTCTGGGGGCTGCCCAATTCATGAATCATCCATTGCTCAATTAATCTCATTAACCTTAATTTGGCTGAAGGTTTTCTATTATCCGCATTCCTATACAATTGAATCCCTTTGTTCTAGAATGAGGACACTCAGAAAAATCTTCCTTTCCCAAAGTGTCTGTCTGAGACAGAAGGAGAGCCCATACTACCGAAATGCGTTCAGACCCACCTCCCTCATCAGCACTACAGAATAAAGGGATTACCTACCATACAGGGGCAAGCCACTGAAACCATGATTCCAGAGGCACTGGTGGAGCCCCAGAGGAAATGGGATAAAAACCAAGGTTCTCACCAAAGTTCCATCGAAATGTACCTCCTCTCTGTCATGGAATCAAATCCTTAATCTCCAGGGCATCGCAGAAGATCAAGAAGACGATGATAATAGTAGAGACTATTGGAGGTGTGGGAGGGAACACCTGGGAAAAACAGGAGAAAATATATGTATTTAACTCAGTAGACTTCAAGCTATTTACATGTTAATTAACTGGAATATTTCATAGCTAAATACCTGATCTAGCATGAGAAATAATAGAGATGACACATGGAGAATGCAACAGTGGGAAGCTGAGGTTCAAGTTCTGATGTTTGTTTACTGATATTTGTCCGCTGGCATGTCCAGAACTTCATCAGTACAGAACTCCTCTAATAGTGAAACAAACACTCACAGGACATGCATTTTTGTTTGAAATAAGTGTAATTCAGATGCTGGTAAATTTTCTCCTCAGACTCCTTTGCACCAGCTCCAGGGCTGACGTCTGTGTTGAGTGGGTTCTGGGCCTGCCCTGCAGCTCTGCCCTCACCCTGCTGGGGAGGATGCTGTTTGGGCTCACAGAGCATATTCTCCCAATGTTGCTCTCCCAGAATGAAAGAGCTGTCCCCTGGTTCACAATCCTCTTTCAGCAGCATCTCATGCTTTTGAAATTGTCTCTTGAAACAGTGATTTGTCATCACTATACCCAGTAAACTGCAGGGAGAGCCCAAGCACAGATTCATGAAACCAGCAGAGAGTCACTTCCCTGGGACTGTCAGATGCAATGACACAGTCAAGATCCATGGTGAGTCCAGAAACTTTCAGATAATTCATAGGAGCCTCTTATTTCTCTTACGATTCTCTATTCAAAGGTCATGCCGAAAAGTATCTTCACAGAGAGAACTACATGGCTTAAAGCCCACAGAAATGAAAACATGCATGTACACACACATATACACCAACCACCCCCCCACACACACACACATGCAGAGTGGTATGGCTGATTTTTACAGTAATTGGCTCCTAATTTGGGATCTTTCCTAGTGTAAACCAAAGGTTTCTGAGACAGATCTCAATCAAATTAAAATTAATTTTCCCAAAGTTAGGACAGCCTGGAAGAAAAATAAAAGTAACCACAGAAACTGTGTGTGGTTAGTGCCATTCCTTAAAGACGATTTTTAGGGCTTTCAATATACACAGAGGAAAAGCTGGGTAGAGGGGAAATTTGGATGGTAAGAAAATTTACATGTGTAATGAAAAAGAAGCACATAGGGAAATATAAAATTACGTAGTTCTCCTGCAGTAAGTCAGCACTTTCCCATGCTGTTCTCATGATAGTGAATAAGTCCCATTAGATCTGATAGTTTTATCAAGGGGAGTTCCCCTGCACAAACTCTCTCTTGTCTGCCACCATGTAAGATGTCCCTTGCTTTCCTGACATGATTGTGAAGCATCCCCAGCCATGTGGAACTATAAGTCCATTAAACCTCATTCCTTTACAAATTACCCAGGCTTGGTTATGTTTTTATTAGTAGCAGGAGAACAGACTAATACATTTATTTTGCCAAAGTTAAGAACCCACCCATGACAAGCCTCAGGAAGTCCTGAGACATGTGCCCAAGGTGATAGAAATACAGCTTGCTTTTATACATTTTAGAGAGACATGAGACATCAATCAATATATGTAAAATGTACATTTTTTTTTCCTTCAAGACAGGACAAATTGAAAGGGGGTTTTGCAGTTTAGAAGTAGATAAGACACAGTAGATTGCATTGTTTTAAGTCCTTTATCAGCCTACCACTGAATCCACAATTTAGTCAGACTTAGTGAATCTTCATTTTTTCATAAATGATACTGAAGAGGAAGCAATCAGATATGTATCTGTCTCATGTGGGCCTCAGAGGAATGACTTTGAATAGAAAGGGAGGCAGGTTTGCCCAAAGCCCTTTCCAGTAAAACACCCTTGTTTTCTGGAATATCACCGAAGGTTCTTTGTGTCGTGGCTATGAAAATCAAGGACACAGACACGCAAAAGGTGAGGTTGGAGCAGAAATTTAATATGTAAAAGGAAAACAAAAAAGCTCTCTGTCACAGAAAGGGGTCCCAAATGGGTTGCTGTGCTGCAGTAAAATGTAAGGATTTTTATAAATGTGCTACTGGGGAGAGGGTATCTTATCAACATAGGGTGCAAAAACAGGACCAGATGTGCCATCTGCATAGAGCGAAGTCTCTGGCAGCCCCATCTCATGCTTTTATTATGCAGGTGGGGACTTAGCTTGGTCTGCTCCACTTTCCTTATCTCCTTCCACCATGCGTGTGCTGAAAAAGGAGGGAGGAGTTTCCATGCCAGGTCCCAGGTACCTCCTTGCAGCTGGGGGCATCCCAAACCCCGTACAAGCTAACAGCTTTCCTAGCTCAGTGTGACCCCAGAAAAGGAAAGGAATGTGCTCATTAAGGCCCAGTGTTTTTATTGGGACCCATCCTATGTATGTGAACTTTGGTGATTACAAACAGAAATACCCTCTCTGCCAGAGTTGTTTATCTATATTTTACAGCCCGATCTTTCAGGCTGCTCTTTGTTAGAAGTGATCTCTTTGAACTGTGTCTGATTAGAAAAGAAGTTATTTTTGAGCTGATTCTTGTTAGAAGAAAAGTTTTTGCCAGAGACTCTTTCATCCTAACTATCTACCTAAATAATTTCTTTCTATCTTCTATTACACCAGCTGGACTCTTCTCTTTAGCTTAGTGATTTTGGGGTCTCAAGATTTATTTTCTCTTCACAATAGGCAGGTACAAAAGGAGACTTCATATGTAATTAAGTTGCTTGTATTAGTCCATGTTCGGGTTGCTATAAGGACATACATGAGGCTGGGTAATTTATAAAGAAAAATAGGTTTAATTAACTCACAGTTCTTCATGGCTGGGGAGGCCACAAAAAACTTACAATCATGATGCAAGGGGTAGCAAACACATGCTATTTCACATGACTGCAGGAGAGAGAAGTGTTAAGTGAAGAGGGAAGCCCCTCATAAAATTATCAAATCTTGTGATAACTCACTCACTAACAGGAGAAAAGCAGGAAGAAAATAGCCCGTATGATTCAATTATTTCCACCTCATTCCACCCTTGCAATGTGTGAATTATTACAATGAAAGGTGAGATTTGGGTAGGGACACAGAGCCAAACCATATCATTGATTTTATTTTCTTTAGAATTTACATTGTCTAGCTGTAAGAAAGCACAGCTTAACTTCTGCTGGTTTCAAGTCAGGAAAAATATTTAAAAAGGGAAATAATTGAAAACGTTATTTTGGAGACTTGTGCAAAGATACGCTTTAAAATTCAGTCCAAATTGTAGAAAATAATATAAATTGAAAAGCAAGTGGACAAGGTTAAAATCTATTAACTGATGCCCTATAGTTTATTTTGAAATAATATTTCTCTCTATAATTCCCCAATTTTATTTGAGATAAAATCATAGTAGGACCAATTTATTTGTAAAATCAGTTTTAGGCTTATGAGACTTGGCCTGGTTTTTTTGTATAAGAGGCAGCAAAATAATCATTTAACATATTAGCTCTCTTTTTTTGTTTTCTATTTTTTGTTTGTACATAGGTAATTTTATTCATAAATTGACTTTGCTAGAAATTTTTTGTAAGGAGTCAAAGGGTAGAATCTTTAAAATCTTCAAGCCCAGTCAATATTTTATCTGTGCCACCAGATAGCTATGTGAATTGGGTTACTTTCTCTTTTTTCAAGTTTCCAAGAAAACTTGGGAGTCCTGGGTCTGTCAGAAATTAAATTGTTTACTTACTACAGTTCAGGGCCCTGTAAAAAAAAAAAAAAGGTACATGCCAGTTTTCCCAAGGGGCTTTATCAGCTCTCCAGGTTAGATTCATTTTATAAAGTAAATATGAAAATATATAATTCAAGTTAAAGACTTAGTAAAATGACCATTGTCTCCAATTGTGCCCTGTTATGGAAGAAAGCAGATTTTTATTGAACCTATGCAAATAACTATTTTGATATAAGAATACTCACAGTTTCCAAATTTTGGAGAAATTATGTATATAAGAAGATATTATGTTTTTATTTTTTTCTTAATAAAGTATACCATACTCAATTGTTAACAACTGTGAATAGCTTAAAAGACAAACTTTTCCTGATTCTGAAAAAACAGAACATAAGTAATTAGCAAATGCTTTAAAGAATAAGCCATAAAAATAATTTCAGTCTTCTGTCAATTCAGTTCATGCAATTAAGTCCTGTCCTGCTTAATATTAGATTAACAATCATCAGAAATCAATCAGGTATCAATGAGAGTCTTGGAAGTTTTAATCTCTATACCAATGGCACAATTTATAAAATTGTCACAATCATATATTTAAGAGTACTCCTCAAAATTCTATAGATTATTATAAGCCACTTGATAAAGAATCAAAGTAAAACACCAACTGTGGATGACTGAAGTTTTCGAATAGCCATGGTTAAAGGCAGAATTGAGGGGAAAATTTGGTTACTTCCGCAATAAACAGAAATTTTACATAATAATCATAAACACTACCGATAAAATATACTAAGACATATCAAATCACTTGGATCTCATACAATTTTGGAAAATATGCTCTTTAATTTATATAAATATGGTCCAATTATATAGTCCACATTTATTTAAATATAGTCCAAAGTTAAAACACTTTTGCAAATTTGACGTAGCTCCCTGCATATTTTAATTATACCAAATAAGCTGAATAAGTTTAATTTTGGCTTTGGGGACCTAATATCAGAAAAGAATAATGAGGTCAAATGACTGCATTTAGAATTTTATTTTGTGAAGTTTGTCAAATATCAAAAGTTTACAATGTTTGATATTACAAAATAGGATTACAGATTGTTGTAATGTAAGTTATTTATTTAGTCCAGTGAGAACTCAGTGATTTTGAAAGAAAGCAAAAACTTTTATTTTTCAAAGAGAAGAATTAATTTTCTAAACAATAACCCCTTATAAGAACAGCATGAGAGAAGTTAAAACTGTCTCTCAATTCCAAAAAATAAATCTATTACATTATAATTACTTTTACCATAAAATTTAATTTCAAATGATCTCTTATAAACTTTTATAAGTTTTTCAAATTAAAAAGTGGATTAATTCTTCAAGAAACCCTTGTCAATTAATGTTTACTGTATAAAGAAACTTTCAAGTAATTTCATCTTTCAAAATTAGCTTTTACAATCTTACAAACCACTTCTTCTGTAACAGTCCCTGGGCCTGGAGTGGTTGAGTAGATTCAATTTCTGGCCTTGTGTCTTAAGTGTGTGATTAATTTTTATTGTCATTTTCTTCCACATGTCTAGATGGGGCTTCAATTGCTGTCAGAGTTTAAAATTTAGCAAGACTCGGTGTCTTTTTTATTTTTATTGTATTTATTTGTTTTTCCTGAGACAGAGTCTCACCCAGACTGGAGTGCAGTGGTGCAATCTCGGCTTACTGTAACCTCTGCCTCCCAGGTTCAAGCAATTCTCCCTGCCTCAGGCTCCCAAGCAGTTGGGATTACATGCGCCCGCCACCACGCCCAGCTAATTTTTGTATTTTTTATTAAAATGGGATTGTGCCGTTTTGGCCAGGCTCGTCTCTAACTCCTGCCCTCAGGAGATCCACCCTCCAAAGCCTCCCAAAGTGTTGTGTATCCTTTTTAGACCTAGGAATCAAAGATCAGTAATGTAGCAGCACAAGGCCTTTAAAAGTTACGCAGATAGTTACATTAACGTAATAACATTAATTTATATTTTCTCAAAATCTCAGTATTCCTAAGTAGTTGAAAAACTTAAAAACAGCTACAGAGGAAGTATTTCAAGAAAATATAAAATTTGTTTTATGCCATTTACCAAATGGGAAAAAAAACACCTTCAGCAGTGTGACTGTGTTTCCCTGTAGGGAAATCAGATAACCTGCAAGTCAACTCTAATGAAACAAAGTATTTGATTAATTAGACATAGGAAGAATGTGTCTTGGATTACAAGTGAAGATTTTGGTTTCATAGACAAATATAGACATTTTAAAAAACCCAAGAGTGCAGAATACTATATTGAAATAAAACATTTTATTAAGAACTTTAATATAAAAGATTTTTAGCATCAGGCAATCATAGCAGTTAGAAGCTAACAACGTTAGAAGTTAACTCTGTTAGAGGCTAACTGCTGTAAGAAAAAAATTGTTAGATGAGCTCATGAAAAATTTGAGATCCTCTCAAGCCTTCTCAAAAGAGAATAAAACTGGCAAGACGCAGTAAGAGTTAAACTTTTGGGTTAAAAAATTAAAATATCTTATAATTTCATTGAGTAAATCAATACTTTAAGACAATTTTTCATTCTAACCAATCTTTAGTATATTTATATATTTTTATATGAAAGCCAGATCTCTACAAATCTATAAGGACTATTATAAATACTTCCCTTTTAATTATAGTCAACTTCATAATATGAAGTTATTTTAATAAATTAACTTTTACAAACCTTAGTTTGACTTACAAAAAACGCTTATGGCATACTTGAACATATAGTTTTATTCTAAACATCACTCTTTCTTAAATAAAGTCATTTTTATTTTAGGATAAAAAGTTGCCATACAAGATTCTTTCTCATATAAAATTATTTTTATTTTTTTATTTTAACCTTTCATACCAAAAGTACTCCTCTATGTCTAAAAATTTCTTTTTTTTTTTTTTTTTTGAGACAGAATCTTGCTCTTTCACCCAGGCTGGAGTGCAGTGGCATCTCTCTTATTTACTGGTTATGTTTAGGATGTTTTATAAGTAACCTCTGAATTAAATAAAATCTTTTTGTAAGAACAAATATTTTACAAAAATATTTTCTTTTAGTATACATTTTTAAAACGATTAGCAATGACCTAAACATTTAGTCAATATCTATTATTTAATTAAACTTTAGATTTTTAAATTGTAGAACAAGTTTATTTAAAAGGTTTATTTTGTTACATTAACTTAATTTATTTTTTAAATAGCTTACCTAGATCATTTATGAAAACTATAATACTCATCCTTTAAAGCTTTTTCCCTGTTATCCATATTATAACCCATGAATTTCAGGTGTTTACCTAAGTAAAATTCTTATTAAATAAATGATTGTATTTCCAATAACTATTTACCTGTTTTTTATTAAAACAATAATATTAAACATCTTATTTGTCAAATTACAAAGATCATTCTGGTTTTAACTTGGTTAATAATTTTATAATCTTCATAGAAATGTTTCACACCATATAACATCCAGTTGCAATTTTAAATATAAAATCACTTGATCAATTGATATAAACCATAAGGTATTCTGATAATTGTTAAAATATTTCTAATTTTATTTTACCAATAATTTTGAAGCCAGCTTATTTATTACATATTTATTTAAGTTACATGTACTTCAGATGCATTAGGGCTCATTGACTTAATTTAAAATAGTTATTTATTTTAAAGTCAATTTTGTACCTTGTAGCCATAACACATAACAAAAATATATATATATATGTACATAATAGATACAAGCACACATTCACACTAATACAAAGATACTAGAGCTTTTACTTTAAAACTCTAGCTATGGAATATCAATACAAACTCAACAGATGTTCAACAAAAAAGGGTTAGATGTAAACAGTGGTTGTCATCTTAAAACCAGTAGAAAGGCCCTGTAAACTGGAAAACAAAATATTTTTAAGCCAAAAACATATCCTCATCTTTCTTTATAAACTTCACCATAAATTGATTATACTCTCTTACTATTCTAATTTTTAGTAACCCTAATTCACAGTGAGAAGCCTAGGATTACTTAATTTAACATGACATGAGTTTAAGATTTTAAATTACTGAAGACAATTATGAGTCTAAATTTACCAAATTAATATTTGTAAAGCAATGTAAAATGTAAAGGTGACTCTAAAAAATAGATGTACATTTTCTTTACAAAGCATTTCACTAAACAGACTTAACTTGATTGGAGGTCTTTGAAACACAGCTTGATTACATTACTGCCCTTAGAGTGGGACCATTTAAGAAAAAGGGCCAAGAAAACATGCAGTTTTTAATTCATAAAGTACAATTGCTTATGCAAATGTGCAAAGAAATGAGTAGCCTTCTATAGTGATGACCATTTCCTGTAAACTGCCCTCAGCCACACCTAACATAGCTTTCAAAGCCACCCCTAAAATTACCGCTTTCATTCACTATTGCACACACCATGAATGAATCCTCTCAAAGTACAATGTAATTCTGGTAGCATCCAAAGCCAAAAACATGACACAATACAAGAAAGCAGAGCTTTATACTTGCTCTGCTTTATACCGAAGAATCTGCCAATGATTGAAACCACAAAGGAAGCAGAAAAACTCCCACCATGTTAGTGGCAAGATACAAGAGGAACCCTCCTCCCTGCTCCCACTCAGGGACCTGATTTGGAGCTGCCTCCTAAGGGAGCAGTGGTGTCCTCAGTGCCCCTTGGTGTCCTCACTGCTCCCTGGTTTCCTGAGCACCCCCTGGTGTCCTGAGTGCCCCCCTGGGGTTCTGAGCACCCCTGGTGGTTCTGAGCACACCCTAGTGGTTCTGAACCACCTGGTGTCCCGATCGTCCCCGGTGGTTCTGAGTGCCTCCTCATGTCCTGAGTGCTCCCTAGTGGTTCTGAGTCCCCTGGTTTCCTGAGTACCCCCTGGTGGTTCTGAGCACCCCCTGGTGTCCTGAGCGCCCCCTGGTGTCCTCAAAACCCCCTAGTGGTTCTGAGCCCCCTGGGGTCCTAAGATCCCCCTAGTGGATCTGAGCATCCCCTGGGGTCCTGAGGGCCCCCTCGTGGTTCTGAGCACACCCTAGTGGTTCTGAGACCCCTGGTGTCCTGAGCACCTCCTGGTGGTTCTGAGATCCCCCTGGTGTCTTGATTGCCCTTTGGTGTTTCTGAGCTCCCCCTAGTGTCCTGAGGGCTCCCTGGTGTCTCCAGTGTCCCCTGGTGGTTCTGAGTGACCCCCACCAAGTGTCCTGAGTGCCCCCTGGTGGTTCTGAGCACCCCTGCTATCCTGAGCTACCCCTCACCACAGTGTCTGGAGTGCCCCCTGGTGGTTCTGAGTGACCCCCCCCCCCCAGTGTCCTGAGCGCTCCCTGGTGGTTCTGAGCACCCGCTGTTTTCCTGAGGCTCCGCACCCCCAGGTGGTTCTGAACATCCTTTCTTGTCATCAGTGCCCCATGGTGGTTCTGAGCACCCTCTGGTGGTTTTGAGTGCCCCCTTGTGTTCTGAGCGCCCCCTGGTGGTTTTGAGTAACCCATGGTGTCCTGAGCACCCCCTGATGTCCTGAGCACCCCCTGGTGGTTCTGAGAAGCATCTACCAGGCAGTCCCCTCCTGTCCCCCTGCAGGGAGGTTGGTGTCTGAGCTCACTCAGATGTCCCCTCACTGTGTCCCTCAAAGTAATACACGGAGTTTTCCTGAGCTCTCAGGTTAATCATCTTAAAAGAGAATCTCCTGAACTGAGTGTATTTGAGGATTGTTAATCATCTTTTTACTCAAGGAGAGTCCCACTGAGAACTTCCATTTGAATTATTGTTATTACCCACACCCACCCCTGTCATGAAGCCTGCTGGATCAAGCTTATGCTGTTTTCAGTGAAAGTGAATCCAGAGGCTTTGCAGAAAAGGCAGAATTCCTGGTCTGTAGTATTTCTCTGTCTGACTCCGTTAGTTAACTTCACAGGGGACTTCTGCAAACACAGAGGCAACAGACTGAGAACAGCCCCACCTTTGAGCAGCCACAGCAGGGCCTGATCCACGGGGAACCTGGATATTGAGAGTGATGACAAGAGAAGCCCAGATCAGCACAGACCCCATGGTGTGGACACTAAGGAAGGGCACAGATGTGGGGTGGCTCCTCACCAGGATCTACAGGAACAGGGGATGAGCTACTTTTCATTTGCAGAGGAGGGGCTTCATTTCCATGTCTTTCTCCCTGGGGACATGAGTGCACTGCTCAGCAGGCCTCTTCCCATCTCTGTCTCTGGATTCCAGGGAGGGCAGGGTCAAAGGATTCCTGGGACTGGATGTTCAGGGTTGATCTGCCCATTACTCTTTTTTTTCTCGTATGTGGACCCCTATAGGGTATCTTTATAGTATCAATATTTATCAACAAATAAGTACAGTAAACAAATAAAAATAAACCTTGCCCAGAGGAAATGGACTCCTGCCTGTAGGCTGTGCAATTAGAGCTGTAAAGGACTGTCTTCTACAATAAAGGAAAGTCTTCAGTTAGAATTTTAAAAATGACAATTTCTACAAACTATCAGAGCTGGAGTCCATAATTACCACTATCCTAAGCTCATCTTGCCACATAACTGTTTGTTGTCAGCTATATGTGCTTGTCTGAGGAAAAAGTCAATGTGGGGACATGTGTGCTTATCTGAGGGAAGAGTTCACATGAAGACAGGGGTGCTTGTCTGAGGGAAGAGTCAACCTGAGGATGCGTTTGTCTGAGGGAAAGGTCCACGTGGGGACAGGTGTGGGCATTGTCTGATGGTAAATGCCCATTCAGAGACGGTGTGTGCCTGGACTGAGCTGAAGTTTGAGGGAAATCTTTCTCAGTCAAAGGAAGATGCGAATCATCTGGATTAATTGCTTGTCAGCAGGGAAACTTGGTTGCACATGAACCTGATAAAAGAAAAGTCTCTTGTGAATGGAAACATCTTATGTGCAAATGGGGAAAGTTACTTCATTCTTTGTTGCCTGCATCTCATGCAATTCCCTGCCCACACGGTGTAAATGTATTTGATATTTTATTTTTGTACACTCTGCATTTTATCCTGGGGTTCATGATGTGCTACATCATTTTATAAGTTGTATATATTTAGATTCATAGTTTACATCATAGAATTATGAGAATTAACAAATTGTGTCATGCGTTCACTACTGCAGATCATAAAAAAGTTTCACTGTTTGCAAACAGTACCTTTTTCTCCTAATGCATACCCTCTCTCTAAATTTCTAGAAAATCCTCATATATTTATGACATCTACAGTTTTGTCTTTTACAGAATGTCAAATAAAATGTATACAACATATTTCAAATAACCTCACTGAAGAAGGTGGCACATAAAGTTTCTCACCTATATAACTTAGAAGTCAGGGTGTTCTGTAAATCTAAAGTATAAAGAAACTGCACTTAAACACTTTTTTCTAGTCAATAAACATACTTCCAACAGGGGTACAAGTTAACAATTCTAATACCACGATGCATATATTCTAAATTGTACAACAAATTGAATGAATGGCAAATGATGGGAGGGGTTCCTCACTTTGCAGTAGGTGGTTATGGACAGGCAAGGAAGGAAAGCTTGAAACATTCATGTATCATCATAGTAGATTGTAGATACCAGTGTTCTAAAGTTTGAGGCAATAAACATACAGAAGATTGGATACATAAATAGATTAGATGGGTCCATTAACATGGGTTAATATATACATACACATTTTCTAGGCCTGTTAGCTTAGAGATTCTAGAAACACTTACAGTACATTAACAACACACACACCCAACATCATAATTTTGTGTGTTGATATAATTCTTTAATATCAAGGACCGGCAATCCTTGGAGAAATAACTGATTCTATGTGTAGAAAAGATAATAGAGATAATGAGCTTAGTATTTCTTGTAACACCAGGAAATAGGGAAGTGATCAAAAACAAAAGGATGGGGCATGCTGTAAAAATACAGAATCCAAACTAAATGAGCTCACAGAACCTAAAAAAAAGCTGTGGTGATTTGAGCGATAAAATAAATAATGTAGCACCAGATCTTCTCCATAGTAAAAAATAAACATTCATGAGCCAACACCGACATTAACAGATTATTGAATAAAGAAAATTAGAAAAAAGGCACCTTCCATTCAGAAGAATTCTAAACATCTTAATAATCTTCTCATTAAATAGGAGAAATTCAAATAATTATGCTGTGATTGTGGCCTGAGATTAGAGACAAGAGAAAAATCCTGTTAGTGGAATTCATAATTAGTTTTTAGATATCATGCCGAAAGTATGAGCTATGAAATAATTATTTTATGTAAGTTTACACATACACACACACACACTATATATATATGCACACACACACATATGTATATAAATATTTTTCTGCCACAGACACTGATATGGGAGTAAAACAACAACTACAATTTGGAGAATACACTTGTAAAACACATATTTGTTAATCAATTTTTTGTTAACTTCGTGAGTGACTTATATAATGGGTATATAAGGAAACTTACAACTGATCAAAAAGAAACAATGCAATAAAAAATAATCCACATACCATACGAGACACTTCATCACAATTATATGAAATAATTAAATACAAAATTTTAATTAGAAATATGTGCGTTTAAACAACAATGAGATATCACTACTAATCTATTAGAATAGTTAAAATACGCAATACTCATAGTGCCAAATGGCAATGAGGATGCGGAAGAACAAGATCTATCATGCATTGCTGGCATGAACACAAAATTATAATTGCACAAAATGGAAAACATTAAAACATTTTGATATTTTATATAATGGAGATAAGTGTAGAGTTAAAATGTGATCTTAGCAGCTGTGCTCCAAAACATTTACAACACCCGTTCCAAAACTTATGCTCGCACTAATATTTTCAGAGGAATTCTATTATTGGTTTTATTAATTTGATTTGTTCTCCACTCCCTGAATTTTGCTTACAGAATAAAAGTTGTATGGAAAATTTCCCACATAATTAGAGTCCATACGCATTTCTATTTTCCTTTTTTCAGCAATGACTTAAACTCGCTTTCTAAAAAAAGTCTTTAAAGCAAATAAAATCCCTGTCATCTCTCAAGCCCAGCACTGCTGCCACCTCCCTCAGGATTGCTGACTGTCTCAGGATGTGGGTTTTCACATTGTGTGTCTCGCACAGTAGTACACATCTATGTCCTCAGATCTCTGACTGCTCAGCTCCATGTAGGCTGTGCTCGTGGACATGTCCCTGGTCATGGTGACTCTGCCCTGAAACTTCTGTGCATAGCCTGTCTTACCATTGCCAGAGTAGATCCCTCCCATCCTTTCAAACCCTTATCCAGGGGCCTGTCGCACACAGTGAATATCGTAGCTGGTGAAGGTGTATCCAGAGCTTTGCGGGACACCTTCACTGAGGCCCCAAGCTTCCTCCTTCAGCCCCAGACTGCACCAGCTGCACCTGGAATTGGGCACCTGTGGAGAGAATACAGGAGTGGATGAAATTCTTTTTGACTGAAAAGAGTCCTCTCATCCTTCGGAGTAGGTGGTCCTTTACCTGTAGCTGCTGCCACCAAAAAAATGATCCTTCAGGTCCAGTCCATGGTGAGGAGCTGTGTTCTCAGCAACTTCTCTAGAGGAGGGATGTGGTTGTTGGGTGATGCTCTCAGGGCACAAGAATAACCATATTTAATCTCAGTGGATCTCATGATATTTGCATATTCATGATTCAGAGAATTTTATAACTCAAGACCTGATTCAGGACAAGAAAGAGAGGATAAATGGCACATCAGCCATACAAAAGTGAGATGGTGATGGTCCAAGTCCTAATCCCACTTGAGGAAATGCATGCCCTGCTCCATTTCCAAACACTTTGTGGACAGAGGTCCTTTCACTGAAGAACCAGCACCCACAGGACGCGTTCCTCACAGTGAACCCATATTTGATTAGCATGGAGACAATCTGGATCATTTCTTGGACCATCACTACGACACTGAGCAGATGCCTTTGCCTCATTCTGGTCTCATCAGCCACCCGCACAGACCACTGGTGACTCTGAGAAAGAGAATGCTGGATGTCCCATGTGAGTGTCCAGCAGGGCCTATGGACAAACTGGGTGCTCCTGAGACAGTGTCTTCAGCATCTGCCTGAGATCCTAAGATCTTTAACAGAAGACTTTTAGTTTACTGATTTGGCCTGTGATGTGTGATTGGCGCTGATTTTCTCATAAGACTGACAATAGCAATGAAGGGTTGGCATAGCAATTAGGAGTTCTTCATGAACTCCCAGCTCTCAGAATAATTTCCAAGGAATCTGTGTTTTGAATAGGCTTGGGTTTTATTTCTCACTCTATTGAAAATAATTTTGTGATGTATTTACATCAGGAAACAAGACACTCTAACAAGAGAGCTGTTTTTAGGTGAGGTGCAAAGTAGTGGAGAGATGGAGGTGTCCTTGAATTCTCAGAATTGCTGGAACTTGAATACCAAGTTCACCTCTGAAAGGCAGTAGTCTATCTGTGAGGATATCAATCAGCTCTGCCTTCAGGAATCTTTGGATGTGGAAAAGATCAGGAGTGTGATTTATTTTTATCCATCGTGGTTAGAGGGAAACTTCCGGTCCCAGGAAGTGGGTGATTTTAACAGAAGCACCTGAGACCTTTCCTTCTGAGTCGTTTTGAATCCTGAGATCTATTGGAGATCGTAGGAGAAAGCAATGGGGCAGATCTCCATTCTCCTTAATGTGTGATCCTGAGGATGTGGCCTGACCTCTGTACACTTCCGTGTTAAAAGATGTAGATTGGGGATTGCAGTGACAATTTCATATGCAAACTCTATAATAGGTCAGCACTGGAGAATAGTCTCATCACCAAGATTACTGCAATTACCTTTCCTGGGAACCAGAGAGAACCTCCGTGACCCCTCTCATCTGAGCACACAAGGAACTCTGCTTCTGCCCTGACAGATCACACCTGTGACACGGGGCAGGACAACGACAATCAAGTCTAGTGTCCTCATTCATATATTGACCAATCTAGCTCGATCCTTCTATCTCTGAAAGGCCCTCTCCTCCACTGAATTGCATGAACATACCTTTGGGTGTGGGGCATTACAGCTTTGTTATTTGATATTAGTTTAGTGAATTACATAATAAATAATCTGCCTCCATGGACGCTGGCAACAGGAGAATCATCAGAAGCTGGGTGAGTCATATAATCAGGACAAAACTGTGCTCTCTTCTTCGGACCTGGAAAGAGTGGGCTGACCTTGTGTGGGGCAACAGAGGGGAGGAGACAGACCAAACATCCAGAACCAGGTGAGCACCTCACTTACCAGGTAGTCTCTGGGCCTTTTGTTTGAACACATGCAGAAGGACCTGTGCTCACCTTCAGGGAAATGGTGAACTTGGAGAAAAGATCACAGTGACCAATAATTTTTTACTTATCGAGAAAAAAGTGTCATAGGTCTCTATGCATCAGTATGCATGTGTACAGGTTGCTACACAAAAAAGAGGAAATTATATTAGCTGGAAAGAAAACCAAAGAGCTTCTGAATGCGTAGATGTTGTTATTCTCAAATATGCTAGCTCCCATTTTAGGATGCTGCTCCCTAGGGGCCAGGACACTGGGGCCGACAGAACATGCTGCTGAGGCTCAGTTCTGGACAAGAGCTACTGAGAACCAGAGACTCACTTCTTCCACACAGCCTCACTGATGGATGAAGGCTCTGCCCTGGGTGCAGCAGCACTGAAGACGTTGGCCCCCTGGTTCCCAACCCTGCTTCTATGGAAGAAGGTCTACCCCAGCAGGAGCTGCATGCTGATAAAGTGGAAAGTTTCTCCCCAACCCTGCACTGAGCACTCAGCTCCTACCTTGAAGAAGAAAAACACTCCTAATCTCCACCTGCAGAATCTTATCTTGGAGCTCTGTCTCAGGAGCGGGGGTGAGGCTGAAATTTGGTCATAAAATAGAGTCCCGAATCTGGTCTTGAAGGACCTGACTTCATTTACAACAGAGTGTGGAGAATTACAAAGCCCAAGAGTTGCTTCAAAAACGGTGGAGGCTGTGGTAAAATGCACTTGGACGGAGATGGGTGAATGCATGGGAGATCCAGGCTAAACTGCAGGGCTGCTGGCCTGCAGGAGAGAACCAAGAAGAAAGAGAGCTGGGAAGAGTTCTCCTGGGATCAGTACAAATGTCAGGCACTGTTTGTTCAAAGGCGCCCATGTTTGTTTGGTTCCATCTGTAGAGCAACTTAGACCTCAGTGCATTGTTGAAAATATAAACTTCCAACTGCAAGTAGTGGAGCTCAACATCTGGTCCTGGTCAGGGAAGAGACAGAGAGAGCCCAGCCCAAACCAATGACATGTGAGGGTGACAGTGAAATCCACAACTGTGTCTCTGGGGATCTTTCAGGCAGGCCTTCTGTCACTCAGAAGAAAGTCTGGAGTTCACCTGTAATGCTTTATGTCAAATTTTCAAAGACATTCATGTTGTTTTTAGTTTCTAACATACACACACCACACACACACACAAACACACACACACACACACACACACACACACACACAATGTTAAACATCTGAATACATGTGTGTGAACATATGATTTTAATCCTTTGTAGGACATACTTAGGAGTGAGAGTTCTAGGTCATGGATTAAGGACATGTTTAATTGTATAGGAAACTGTAAATGATTTTCCCAGAAACTGTTTCATTTTGCATTCCCACTAGCAATATATTAGTCTCTAGGGTGACTGACTTCTTCACCAACGCTGATATTGTCAGTATTTCTTCTTTATTTTTTGTCTTTCTAGGAAGTCTATGGTAGTGTCTCCTTTTGGTCTTGATTTGCAGTTCTCTAGTGGAAAATCACATTCATATGCTGGTGTGTCATCTGTACATCTTCGAGGTTTGCCAGTTCATATTATAATTACATTGGTAGATATATGACTTGCAAATATTTTCTCCTTTGCAGCTTGTCCTTAATTTTCTTGATAGTCACTTGAGTAGAAAATGTTTTAAAATTTGAAGTTCAACTAACGTTATTTTCATTTATTGGTCACAATTTTAATTTTCAGTATTGTTGATCAACTGTTAATAATCATATTTTAATTATATTTGTTTTTATTTTATATGTATAAATTTGTGGGGAGTGACTGCAATTTTGTTACATATATATATTGCATAGTAGTCTTGGCTTTAATGTATCCATGATCCAAATAATGTACATTGTACCCATTAAGTAATTTCTCACCATTCTCCCACCTTCTGCTCTCCCATCTTTCTGAGTCTCCAGTGTCCATCATTCCTTTCTCTATGTCCCTGTGCACATATGAGTTAGCTCTCATTTATAAGTGAGAACATGTGGTGTGTGATGTTCTGTTTCTCAATTATTATACTTAAAATAATGATGAATTCCATCCATGTAGCTGCAAAAGATATGATTGCATTCCTTCATATGGCTGGATAGTATTTAAATGTATATATATGTAACATTTTCTTTATAAAATTATCTGTTGTTAGGCATAGGTTAATTCCTAAGTTTGATGACTGGGCTATTATGAATAGTTCTGCAAGAAAACAAAAGTCGGCTTATCATTCTGATATAATGATTTATTTTTCCTTTAGGTAGTTATTTGTGGTTATCGAATCAAAGTAGTTCTACTTTTACTTCTTTGAAAAATCTCCATACTGTTTTCCATAGAGGCTGTGCTAATCTACATCCTCACCACAAGTGTCCGAGCGTTCCTTTTGCCTTCAATCCTCACCAATACCTGTTATTTTTGGCTCTTTAATAGTAGCCATTCTGACTGGTTTAAGAAATATCATTGCAGTTTTAATTTGCATCTCCCTGATAATTAGTGCTGTTTAGCATTGTTTACTTATTTATCATCCAGCATTTTCCCATGTATATCAATACATCAACTGGTGTACCTTAAATACATACAATTTTATTTGTCAACTTTAGCTCCATAAAGCTGAAAATGTAACTCAGTCTTATAATAAAAAAATGCATACTTATATTTCTACGTATTTTATCAATATGTGAGAATATAAACAGAAAAACTTGTACGAAAATAGTTATAACAGTTTGTTTATAACATTTATGTTGGAAAGAAATTTAAATTTCATCAACAGGAAAACAAATATACATATTGTCATTATTTCACATAATAAACTGATTTATTTACTTAATAAACTGTCATTTACTGATGTTATGGATTGATTCAGATATGAAATATTCATATGTGTATTAGTACATACATATGTATATATATGATGACAAAACCTTGAGACATGAAATTACATAAATAAACCTAAAAAATAGCAAAAATAAGTTCAAAACAGAAAAAATTAACCTATAGTGACAAAAATTAGAACATTTTTCTATTTGCATTTTTCTGATGGTTAGTGATGATGAGAATCTTTTAAAATATTGCTGGCCACCTGTAAGTCTTCTTTTCAGAAGTGTCTGTTCTTGTTATTTGCCCATTTATTAATGGGGTTATTTGTCTTTGGATTCTTGATTTGTTTAAGTTTCCTATACATTCTTGATATGGTTTGATTGTGTCCCCACACAAATCTTATCATGAATTGTTGCTCCCATAATTACCATGTGTTGTGGGAGGGACCCCGTGGGAGATAATTGAATCATGGTGGGGGGGTCTTTCCCATGCTATTCTCATGATAGTGAATTAGTCTCATGAGATCTGGTGATTTGATAAAGGGGAGTTTCCCTGCATGAGTTCTCCTCTCTTGCTGATGATTTTATAAAGGGGAGTTTCCCTGCATGTCCTCTCTTCTCTTGTATGCCACCATGTGATATGTGCCTTTCACATTCTGCCATGATTTCGAGGCTTCCCCAGCAACGTGGAAGTGTGAGTCTATTAAACCTCTTTCTCTTGTAAATGCCCAGTCTCAGGTACGTCTTTATCAGCAGCATGAAAAGCAACTAATACAGTAAATTGGTATCAGTTGAGTGAAGTGCTACTGATAAGATACTCAAAAACATAAAAGCGAATTTGGAACTGGAAAACACACTGAGGATGAAACAGTTTGGAGGGCTCAGAAGAAGACAGAAAAAAATGTGTGAAAGTTTGAAACTCTCTAGAGATTTGTTGAATGGCTTTGGCCAAAATGCTGATAATGATGTGAACAATAAAATCCAGGCTGAGGTGGCCTCAGATGGAGACGAGGAACTTGTTGGGAACTGGAGCAAAGTTGACTCTAGTTAGGCTTTAGCAAAGATACTGGTGGCATTTTGCCTCTGCCTTAGAGATTTGTGGAACTTTGAGCTTGAGAGAGATGATACCAGGTATCTGGCAGTAAAAAATTCTAAGCAACAAAGTATTCAAGGTGTGACTTGGGTGCTGTTAAACACACTCAGTTTTAAAAAGGAGGTAGAACATAAAAGTTCAGAAAATTTGCAGCCCGACAATGCAATAGAAAATAAAATCCCATTTTCTTAGGATAAATTCAAGCCAGCTGCGTAAATTTACATAAGTAATGAGGACCCAAATGTTGGTCACCAAGACAATGCAGAAAATGTTCCAGGGCATGTCAGAGACTTTTGTGGAAGGTTCTCCCATCGTAAGCCAGAGACCTAGGAGGAAAAAATGGTTTCATGGGCTGGGCTCAGGGTCCCTCTGCTATGTGCAGTCTAGGGACCTGGTTCCTTGCATCAGAGCTGCTCCAGCCATGATTAAAAGGGGCCAAGGTACATACAACTCAGGCTGTGGCTTCAAGGGGTGAAAGCCCCAAGCCTTAGCATCTTCCATTTGGTGTTGAGCCTGCAGGTGCACACAAGTCAAGAATTGAGGTTTAATAACCTCTGCCCAGATTTCGGAGGATGTATGTAAATGCCTGGATGTCCAGACAGAAGGTGGCTGCAGGGAGGGGCCCACATGGGAAACTCTGTTAGGGGCAGCGAGGAAAGAAAATGTGGGGTGTGTGCTTTCACACAGAGTCCCCACTGGTGCATTGCCTAGTGAAGCTATGATTAGAAGGCCACAGTTATTCAGACCCCAGAATAGTAGATCCACCAACAGCTTGCACCATGCACCTAGAAAAGCCATGGACACTCAGAGCAAGCCAGTGAAAGCAGCTGGGTGAAAGACTGTACCCTGCAAAGCCAGAGGCATATAGCTGCCCAAGACCATGGGAACCCAACACTTACATCAGCATGACCTGGATGTGAGACATGGAGTCAAAATAGATCTTTTTTGAGCTTTAAGATTTGACTGTCCCACTGGATTTTGGACTTGTACAGGGCCTTTAGCCCCTTTGCTTTGGCCAATTTCTGCCATTTGGAATTGCTCTATTTACCCAATACCTGTACTCCCATTGTGTCTAGGAAGTAACTAACTTACTTTTGATTTTACAGGCTCATAGGCAGAAGGGACTTGCCTTGTCTCAGATGAGGCCTTGGAATGTGGACATTTCAGTTAATGCTGAAATAAGTTAAGAATTTGGGACTGTTGGGAAGGCATGATCCATTTTGAAATGTGTGTACATGAGATTTAGGAGGAGCCAGGGGCAGAATGATATGATTTGACTGTGTCCCCACCCAATTCTCATCTTAATTGGAGCTTCAGTAATTTCCTAATATTGTGGAATAAACCCCCTGTGAGATAATTAAATCGTGGGGGCGGGTCTTTCCCATGCTATTCTCTTGAGAGTGAATGTCTCATAATATCTGATAGTTTTATAAAGGGGGATTTTCCTGCACAAGTTCTCTTTTCTTGTCTGCTGCCATATGGGACGTGCCTTTCACATTCCACCATGACTGTGAGGCCTCTCTAGCCTTGTGGAACTGTGGATCAAACCTCTTCTTCTTCTTTTATGATAAATTGCCTAATATCGGGTATGTCTTTATTAGCAGCATGAAAACCAACTAATACAATTCTGGATATTAGGGCATTGTTGGATGCAACATTTGTGAATAACTTCCCACAATCTGTAGGTTGTCTGCTCACTATGCTGATAGTTTTGTTTGTTTGTTTGTTTGGTTGGTTGGTTAGCTGGTTGGTTTGCTGCATAGTAACTCTTTAGCAAATTAGTCTCTCCTTATCTATTTTTGTTTTTGTTGCAATTGCTTTTGGATACTTAGCCAAAAAGTATTTGTCAAAGCTGGTGTTGAGAAGAGTATTTTCATGTTGTCTTCAAGGATTTTTATAGTTTGATGTCTTACATTTAAATCTTTTATCAATTTTGAGTTAATTTTTATATATGTTGAAAGCAGACATCCAGTTTGAATCTTTGTCATATGGCTAGCTAGTTGTCCCAGTACCATTTATGGAACAGGGAATTCCTTTCTCATTTCTTGCTTTTTTGTCAGCCTTATCAAATATCATATGGTTGTAGGTGTGCAGCCTCACACCACTCAAATTTTTATCACTAAAAAGTCAAAAACCAGTGGATACTGATGGGGCTGTGGTGAAAAGAAAACACTTACACACTGTTAATGGGAATATAAATTAGTCCACCCACTTTGGAAAGCAGACTGGAGATTTCTCAAAGAACTTAAAACGGAGATATTATATGAACCAGCTATCCTTCTACATGGTATACACTACAAGGTAAACAAATAATTCTACCAAAGAGACACATGTGTGTGTATGTTTATTGCTGTGTTATTCACAGTGGCAAAGACAAAGATCAGCCCAGATGCACATCGATGGTAGAGTGGATATATAAAATGTGGTATATGTAAAATGTATAATACTACACAGCCATAAAAAAGAATGAAATCATGTCCTTTGCAGCAAAACAAATGGAGCTGGAGTTCTTAATCCTAAACAAATTAATTCAGGAAAAGAAAACTGAACACCACATATTCTCCTAAGTGGCACCTCAGCATTGAGCACACATGGATAAATATGGGAGCAACAGACACTGTGTACTGCTAGACAGTGGAGGGAGAGGGTGATGAAATCTGTATTCCAAACCTCAGCATCACCCAATAATCCCATGTAACAAATCCACACATGAACCCTCTGTTTCTAAATTATAAAGTTGAAATAAAAAAAATCCTTATGGGAGAACTAACTTGAAGCACTGAAGAGGACACTTTGTGGGGAGATGGACCTGTTCCTCACCCTCACTTAGCTGCTGTAGACAAGTATGTGCACATTTGCCTGGAACCCTCTAACTGTACCTGGAAAATCTGTGCATTTTGTATATGCTAATTTTATCTCACAAAAATGGAAAATAGACAATTGTAGAAAAATATTTTATATTAAAATTAAAATCTTAAAATAAATATGAAAATTCAAATACAAAATGAGAATGTGATTGTTACAATAATTATTAATGTGCATTCAGCTATATCTACTAGAATAAAATCACAGAAATAAGAAAGATAAATGTAACATCTGAAAATAAAAAAATTAATGAACACACCGAAGACACCTGGGACCCACAGGTGGGGTGACTTGACCTTCAGTCATCCTCTTGGTGATTTGAGGGTTTTCCCAGGAAACGATGAGACATAGTTTTTCAATGGGGCTCTGGTGACCCTGGTGAGATGTCTGAAGGTCCCCGAGGCCTGACCATCCAGCCAGCGCCCCTGGCCTCTGGACGCCCTGCCTGCCCTGCAGAGGCGGTTGGCAGTGCCACCTGGCTTTTGGCCGGGTCCTGGGGAGGCAGAGAGAGGCCAATTTTGGTTCTCACTCCTGGCCCCCCAGAGGGCACAGTGAGGAGCCAGTAGGGAGAGGATAGGAGAAGAGGAGGAGGAGCGGTGTCCCCGGCAGCAGGATTCCCACTTGGAGCACAAAGTGAAGCAAGCACAGGGGAGGGGGACTAGAATCAGTCCCCCACAGCAAGCACAGAAAGGAGGAGCTGCGCAGAAGGCAGAGCCCCCCAGCCCCTGGGGCCTGGCTGGGGAAGGTCCGCACTTAGGGAGAGCTGGGAGCTGTTGAAGGTTTGGGGGGAGGGGAAACGGGTTGTGTTTCTTCATTTCTTTTTTTGTTTTTGACTTTGTTGGTTCATCCTTATTTTCTAGCTTTGGATCATTTTTGTACCAAGGCGAGCAAGCCTTTTTGAAAAATAACAAAAGAGGAAAAAAAAAATCCCTCCTGGAAAAAAAAAAAAACCCTGGAAAATAGAAAAAAAAAAAGGACCTCATAAATGATGCAATTACTTTTAATTGCAGGCAACTCTTTACATTTAAGTGAAGTGTCTTAACATTTTATACGGTTTTAAAAATATATTTACATATTCTATATATAATATACGTAATATAAATATATATAAATATTTAAAAAAGAAAAAAGTAAACCACGGCACTCTTCCTGGCCACTGTTTTGGTGGGGGAGGGGGGCTGGGGGGGGCGGGCACGTCTGCCTGGCTTCTGTGGTCCCAGTGAAATGGTCTGGTTTGATTTGGCTGTACAGAGATCCCCTGACTTGGGAGGGGAGGGGGGAGTGGTGCCCCCTCCTCCCTCCACTCCATTACTCTCTGCTTGCTACTTCGCTTGCCCCCAGCTCCCACCCTCAGCCCTGTGACTGGAATGTGTGCCCCACCGTCATTGTCCTGAGTTGAATGTCCCTTTGTTGGGGAGGTGGGGGGGTAGTGTCCATCCACGAAGGAGCAGAAGGAGGGAGCCACGGGCCCTGCCCCAACCGCTCGGGGGAAGCCCAGTGGGATTTGCATCTTTCTTTCCCTTTGGTTCCTGCACATTTATGGGCTGGGAGGCATCCGTGTGGAATTGCGTGCAGCCTGTGTGTGTGCTGGCACAAGCCCATGCACTGTGTGTGCAGACGCATGGCGCCTGCACCCACAGGCATGGCCGAGCACATGTGTGGGGGAAGGTGTGGGCACATAGGTGCATGTAACCTGTTTGCGCATTGGCACGTGCCTACCTGCATGTGAGCGTGAGAGGAGCTTTGTGTGTGAGAACATGTGTAATGTGTGTGCAGACATGCCGAGCGCCAGAGACTTGTGTGTGGGCCACGTACATGTGGACAGAGACGCATACATGGAGGTGCATGTAATCTGTGTCTCCGTGTGTGTGCACGTATGTGTGCTGGTGCAGACCCAGGTGTGTGGGTGTGCCTCTGTGTGCGTGTGTTCCATCATCCCTGCACCACTGGCTCCAGATCTCTTCCTGAGCCCCCGTCCCCACTGGCCCTCTCACAGCCTGCAACACATCAGTGCCCCCAGCTGCATGCGCCTCGCTGCTCTGTCCATCAGTGTGTGCTTGACCAAGAGAAAACTAAGACGTCTCGGGGGGCCCCTGTACCTGGTCCTCTCAGCCCCCGCCCACTGTGCTGTGTTACTCGCATGGGGGATTTCCTGCCCCTTCCACAATATGCTGTTTCCCCCAGGAGGCTCAGGCCTGAGGCTCGGAGTGGGGTCCCCAGGGGGCCCCCTGGGGTGAGCCCCGGCTCCACACCCTGCCCCATCCACCCTGTAGGGCCCATGTTGGTGTAGCGGTGATGGCTTCTGTGGATATTCTATGACCTCTGTCGGTGTAACTTGACAATTTCTAAATGGAAAAGGGTTGCTGCGTTTTCTCTGTCTCTTTTTTTAATGTCCTTTTTTCTTCTCCCCACCTCCCTGCTCTCTTTCCTTTTCAGTTTTTCTAGCCAAGTGTTTGGGGCTTTAATAAAACTTGTTTCTTTTTCCTCTCCTGGATCTCCTTCCTATAGGCTGATGTCTCATTATTTCTCTGCTTCACTCTGGAGGATCTGGAAGGTGCTGGGATGGGTGGGGTGGCAGGTGGGGAATCCCTGGCAGCCACTGGCCTTCAGCTGGCAGAGCATGAAGGGAAGGACAGAACAGGGCCCCTGGGATTAGCCAGGTGGGCTGGTGTAACACCAGTAATCCCAGCTACTCGGGTGGCTGAGGCATGAGAATCGCTTGAACCCAGGAGGTGGAGGTTGCAGTGAGCCGAGATTGCACCACTGAGCTCCAGCCTGGGTGACAGAGCGAGACCCTGTCTCAAAAAACAAAAACAAACAAACAAACAAAAAACAGTTCTCAGCTTGGCATTCCAGGAGGTGTCCTGCCTAACCCTCACAACCATCGGTGAGGTAGCTACCGGTACTACCTACTCAGGCAAGTGACAAAGCTCAGAGATGTTGGGCATCTTACCCAGAGTCATACAATTGGTAGGTTGTAGACAAACCAGTAAGTTTGAATCCAGCTCTGCCTGACACCAAAGCCCATGGTTACCCTAAAACCAAGCAGGGCTGATGACCTCCAGCAGTCCCCTGAATTGGGTCTCAGCCTCCTGCCCTTTGAGTGAGATGACCCTTGGTGGGGGTCCACCAATCTTTTCTTTCTTTTCTTTTTTTTCTTTTTTTTAGACGGGGTCTCCCTCTGTCACCCAGGCTGGAGTGCATGAGTACAGCTCACTATAGCCTCAACTTCCCTGGGCTCAGGTAATCGTCCCATCTCAGCCTCCCAAGTAGCTGGGACTACAGGTGCCTGCCACCACACCTGGCTACATTTTTTTGTATTTTTTATAGAGACGAGGTTTCGCCATGTTGCCCAGGCTGGTCTCGAACTCCTGAGCTCAAGTGATCTGCCCACCTCGGCCTTCCAAAGTGCTGGGATTACAGGCGTGAACCACCGAGCCCGGCCACACCCATCTTTTCTAGATGCAGCAGCTTTCAAACCCGTAAAGTGGTAACAATACAAAATGCATTTGACACCTCTGTGCTTTAGGTATGTACAGACATGTGCACAAACAGCCACAGCAAAGCAGCACCTGCTACACAGAGCACCATGGTGTATGCCACGGGTCCTGATTGGGTTTTACAGGCTTTCCCGGAATTCTGAAGGCTGTGCCACTGTTCCAGCCTGTTCTAAGAGTCCCCGAGTCTGCCTTCCAGCTGTTCTGCATGACTGAGGGCTGGCATGTTACCGAATCTCTTCTCCCCCCTCAGCATCACTTCACTTCCATCCCTGAAGGTAGTGACCGTGTCCTGGAGCCACAATCTTCCAGTCATCACAGGGGCCCCAGTTGCAGTTTCTTCTCCTAAAGACCTCTTTGGAGACAGAGGGCAGCAACCTGCCTACTGTCTGCAGGGAATGCCCCTCCATGAGTCACCCACCCACCAAAGCCCAGCAACCCTTGAGACTCACAGAAAGCCAGTCCCCAGCCTGCCCGTAACCCATCCCTATGTCCTTTTTAGAATGTCAGCAGATCTTGCCTTCTCTCTGCCATCCTATTCCCCAAAAACTGGGAGAGGAGCCAAAAAAAACCCTCTCCCAGAATCACTGCACTCATGACAGTTCAAGATCAAGTAACAAACGGAACCATCCGCTGCACACCTGGAAGGAGGCCAGCACTCATTCAGCCGCCAGATGCCTATCCAGGATGCACTCCCTGTGAGGCACTGCTCATCCACTCCTTGGGGCTGGGGCTCTGTCTGGCAGGGGAGCTGCCAGGACAGCCAGCAGACAGAACACAGACACCCGAGCTCAACCAAGGCAGGTGCTGGGAGCACACAAGGAAAAGGCCAGTGACAGGTGTGGTGGGGAGTAGCAGGGTTGGTCACATTTGAGAGGAGACCTTGTGGGTGGGTGAGGAGTGGGCTTTGGGGGTGCTGGTGGCTGAGGGTCCCAGGCACAAGGCCCTGGGTGGGACGTAACCAGTGGGTTCTGGAAAATGAAGGAAATCCAAGAAGAGTGAGGAGGGGAAAGTGCAGTGTGGTGGGCAGAAGACACCTCATGTGAGGCCTTATGGGCTGTGGTAAGGAAGGTGCCATGGAAAACAATAGGAGGGTTTAAAGTAAGAAAGTGTCATGAACTGACATGTTGTTTCAGAAGTTGTCTCAGAGTGGGCTGGGCGTGGTGGCTCACGCCTGTAATCCCAGCACTTAGGGAGGCCGAGGTGGGCAGATCACAAGGTCAGGAGTTCGAGACCAGCCTGGCCAACATGGTGAAACCCGGTCTCTACTAAAAATACAAAGATTAGCTGGGCGTGGTGGCAGGCACCTGTAATCCCAGCTACTGGGGAGGCTGAGGCAGGAGAATCACTTGAACCTGGGAGGCAGAGGTTGCAGTGAGCCAAGATCATGGCATTTCACTCCAGCCTGGGTGACAAGAATGAGACTCCGTCTCAAAAAAAAAAAAAAAAGAAGTTAATCAGAGTGGCATGCACCTGCAGTTCCAGCTACTGGGGAGGCTGAGGTGGGAGGATTGCTTGAGGCCAGGAGTTCGAAGTTTCAGTGAGCTATGATGGCATCACTGCACTCCAGTGTGGGTGACCGAGGGACACCCTGTCTCAAATACAATACTGCCTACTGTCTGCAGGGAAGGCCCCTCCATGAGTCACCCACCCACCAAAGCCTAGCAAACCTTGAGACTTACAGAAAGCCAGTCCCCAGCCCTGTCTCAAAAATGAAAAATAGGCCTGGCGCGGTGGCTCACACCTGTAATCCCAGCACTTTGGGAGGCAGAGGCGGGCGGATCACGAGGTCAGGAGATCGAGACCATCCTGGCTAACACAGTGAAACCCTCTCTCTACTGAAAATACAAAAAAAATTATCTGGGCATGGTGGCGGGCGCCTGTAGTCCCAGCTACTCGGGAGGCTGAGGCAGGAGAATGGCGTGAACCCGGGAGGCGGAGCTTGCAGTGAGCCGAGATCGCGCCACTGCACTCCAGCCTGGGTGACAGAGTGAGACTCCGTCTCAAAAAAAAAAAAAAAAGAAAAAAAGAAAAACCGGAACTTATCCCTCCCAATAGCCATGCTTTATTAATGTTTTATGATACTAATTGCTACAATTTATGAAGAGTCCGTTAATCTTCTAACAACCCAGACAATAGATATTATTACCTCTGTGCTATCAGTGGGGAAGGCTGACTCTGGCCAAGATTTGAGTGCGATCTGACTGCCTTCAGAGCTCAGGTTCCTGATGGAGAGGAGGCAGGCGCTACTTGACGTGTAGTGGTCGGGGAAGCCCTCAGCTTCTCTCCTTCACTGTATGCACATCCTCTCTGGGCCCCCCTGGGCATTTTCAGACTGATCATTGAGTGGCTTAAGTGGTCCCTGAGCTCAGAGTGACAGAGCACCATCCACAGGATGGGGGCCTGGGGCTAGTGGCATCTGTGCCCCTTAACTGAGAACAGGCTTCCTCGAAGCTCACTGGTGCTGACTGGCTGATACCACTCATAATGGCACACCTGGCAGGGGGATCCCTCCATCCCCTCCCCTTTGTCATTGTTCCAGAAATCTTCACTCAAAATCTCAGCCTGTGCTTTAGTTCAGGGTGACAATCATGCTGCCTCTCTGTGTCCATACTAGAAGGGCAGGAAAAAATCTCTATTCCTTTCACCTAAGCCCTCATAGATTTGGAGTTTTCCCAAAGAAATGTTTCCTGCCGGGCGCAGTGGCTCACGCCTGTAATCCCAGCACTTTGGGAGGCCGAGGCAGGTGGATCACGAGGTCAGGGGTTCGAGACCAGCCTGACCAACATGGTGAAACCCCGTCTCTACTAATAATACAAAAATTAGCCGGGCGTGGTGGCAGTCGTCTGTAATCCCAGCTACTCAGGAGGCTGAGGCAGGAGAATTGCTTGAACCCGGGAGGCGGTGGTTGCAGTGAGCCGAGATTGCACCACTGCACTCCAGCCTGGGTGACAGAGCAAGACTCTGTCTAAAAAAAAGAAATGTTTCCTATGAAATATATCAAACCCCACTGGAGGCCGGGCGCAGTGCCTCATGCCTGTAATCCCAGCACTTTGGGAGGCCAAGGCGGGTGGATCACGAGGTCAAGAGATCGAGACTATCCTGGCCGACATGGTGAAACCCTGTCTCTACTACAAATACAAAAAATTAGCTGGGTGTGGTGGCAAATGCCTGTAGTACCAGCTACTCGGGAGGCTGAGGCAGGAGAATCGCTTGAAACTGGAAGGCGGAGGTTGCAGTGAGCTGAGATCGCGCAACTGCACTCCAATCTGGGCAACAAAAGTGAAACTCCATCTCAAAAAAAAAAAAAACCCACTGGATAGGCAGAGCAAGTTTTACTGTATTTTATTTACCCTATTTTATTTGTTTGAGACAAGGTCTTGCTTTGTCACCCACACTGGAGTGCAGTGGCGCCATCATAACTCACTGCAACCTCAAACTCCTGGGCACAAGCGATCCTCTGGCCTCAGCCTTTTGAGTAGCTGGGACTACAGCTGCAAGTCACAACCCCTGGCTAATTTTTCAATTTTTGCAGAGACAGAGTTACCAAGGCTTATTTTGAACTCCTAGACTCAAGTGATCCTCCTGCCTTGGTCTCCCAGAGTGTTGGGATTACAGGCGTGAGCCAGCAAGCCTGGCCTAGAGCAAGTTTTAGAGTACAGTTTGTTATTGTTTGTATGGCTGCTTTTTTTTTCTTTCTTTCTTTCTTTTTTTTTTTTTTTTCACAGAGTCTCACTCTGTTGCCCAGGCTGGAGTGCAATGGCACAATCTCAGCTCACTGCAACCTCCACCTCCTGGATTCAAGCAATTTTCCCACCTTAGACTCCTGAGTAGCTGGCACTAGAGGCACGTACCACCATGCCCAGCTAATTTTTGTATTTTTAGTAGAGACGAGGTTTCACTATGTCGGCCAGGCTGGTCTTGAACTCCTGACCTCAAGTGATCTGCCCACCTCAGCCTCCCAAAGTGCTGGGATTACAGGCATGAGCTACCACGACCGACCTGTTATGGCTTTTTTAAATTAATTATTTATTTATTTATTTATTTATTTATTTATTTATTTTATTTTATTTTATTTTTTCAAGACAGGGTCTTGTTCTGTCACCACGGTTAGAATGCAGTGGTACTATCTTGGCTCACTGCAGCCTCGACCTCCTGGATTCAAGCAGACTTCCCACTTCAGCCTCCAGAGTAGCTAGGACTACAGGTATGTGCAACCATGCCTGGTCAATTTTAGTTTTTTGTACAGCCAAGGTCTCAGTATATTGCCCAGGCTGGTCTCAAACTACTGGGCTCAAGTGATCCTTCCACTTCCACCTTCCAAAGTGCTGGGATTACAGACGTGAGTCACCATGCTTGGCCTGTTACGACTTTATTGAGATTTATTTCACGTACCACAAAATGCACCCTTTTAAATGCTACAGTTCTGTGATTTTTAGCATATTCACAGATATGTGTGACCATCACCACAATCTAACTTTAGATTATTTCAACTCCCTGAACCCTGACCACTTGACAGTCATTCCCCATTCCTGCACCCTCCTCCCTGCCACCTACCTCCTCACCCCGACCCACAGCCCTAGGGAATTAGTAATTTACTTTCTATCTGTATGGATTTCCCATTGCAGACACTTCCCACAAATGGAATTATGCAACATGTCATCTTTTGTGATAATCTTCTTTCTACATGTTTCCAAAATTCATCTATGTTGTAGCATGTATCAGTACTGATGCAGGGCAGGCAAGCCCCCAAATTGGGGTTTAGCAGAGGAGGATTCTTGGTTTTGTCTGGGAAATAATTCAAGGGTGAGCCGGTGGTGTTAGACAGCAGCTTTTATTGAAGCGACAGTGCACAGCAGCAGAGGTGCTGTTCCTTGTGGAGCGGGGCTACCCCGCAGGCCGTGTGCTCAGAGTAGCAGCTCAGAGGTGGGTCTGCACTCATAGTTACACCCACTTTTAATTGTATGCAAATTAAGGGGTAGATTATGCAGAAATTTGTAGGAAAATTTTGGTAACTTTTGGGTCATTGGGTCGTTGCCATGGAAAGGGGTGGTAATTTCTGGCTATTGCCGTGGCAATGGTAAACTGAAATGCTGCACTGGTAGGCATGTCTTATGGAGAACTGCTTCCACTCCATCTTTGTTTTAGCTAGTTCTCAATTTGGTCCAGTGTCCAAGAGCTGACTCTGGAGTCAAGTCCCACCTCCTACCTCAGTATTTCATTCTTTTTTTTTTCTTTTTTTATTTATTTATTTATTTATTTTTTTGAGACAAGAGTCTCTCTCTGTTGCCTAGGCTGGAGTGCAATGGCGTGATCTCGGCTCACTGCAACCTCTGCCTCCCAGGCTCAAGCGAGTCTCCTATCTCACCCTCCCGAGTAGCTGGGACTACAAGTGTGTGCCAGCATGCCCGGCTAAGTTTTGTATTTTTAGTGGAGAAGGGGTTTCACCATGTTGGTCAGGCTGGTCTTGAACTTTTGACCTCAAGTGATCCACCCACTTTGGCCTTCCAAAGTGCTGGGATTACAGACATGAGTCACTGCGCCCAGACTGAATAATTTTTTCTTGTACGGATATATCATATTTTACTTATCCATTCATCGGTTGATGGATATTTAGGTTGTCAGTACATGAACATTTGTGTACAAGTTTTTTTTGTGTGTTGACATATGTTTCAGCTCTCTTGAGTATATCCTAAGGAATAGAATTGCTGGATTTTACAATAACTCTAGGTTTAACATTTTGAGGAACTGCCAAACTGTTTTCCAAAGTGGCTGCCCCACCAGCCATGTAATAAGCATTCTAATTTCTCCACATTCTTGTCAACACTTGTTATTGTCTGTCTTTTTACTGCAGCCACCCTAATATGTATGAAGACGTAGCTCATGGTTTTGATTTGTATTCCCCTGATGACTACTGATGTTGAAAATCTTGGCCAGGAGCGGTGGCTTATGTCTGTAATCCTAGCACTTTGGGAGGCTGAGGCGGGCGGATCACAAGGTCAGGAGATCGAGACCATCCTGGCTAATGGTGAAACCCCATTTCTACCAAAAATACAAAAAAATTAGCCGGGCATGTTGGTGGGCGCCTGTAGTCCCAGCTACTCGGGAGGCTGAGGCAGGAGAATGGCATGAACCCGGGAGGCAGAGCTTGCAGTGAACCGAGATCGCACCACTGCACTCCAGCCTGGGTGACAGAGCGAGACTCCATCTCAAAAAAAAAAAAAAAAAAGAAAATATTTTCATGTATATAATAGCTATTGGCATATCTTCTTTGGATAAATGTCTTCAGATCCTTTGCTTATTTTTATTTAAATTGGGTTGTCTTTTTATTGTTGAAGTTTTATTGTTCTTTATATATTCTAGATATGAGTCCCTTGTCAAATATGTGATTTGAAAATGTTTTTTCCCGCCAGGTGTGGTGGTGCATGCCTATAATCCCAGCTCAGGAGGATCACTTGAGCCCAGGAGGTCAAGGTTACAGTGAGCCATGATCATATCACTGCATTCCAACTGGAGCCACAGAGTGAGTCCCTGTCTCAGAAAAAAAAAAAACCACACACACACACACACACACACACACACAAGCACACACACACTTTTTCTTCCATCCAATGATTGGTTGTCTTTTCACTTTCCTAATAGTATCCTTTGACACACACAGTTTTTAATTTTTATGAAGTCCAATCTATCAATTTTTTTTCTTTTATAGGTTGTGCTTTTGGTGTCGCAGCTAGAAGATCCTCACACCTCAGCCTCCCAAGTAGCTGGGACTACAGGCATACACCACCATACCTCACTAATTAAAATTTTTTTTTTTGCCTGTGCATGGTGGCTCATGCCTATAATCCTAGCACTTTGGGAGGCTGAGGTGGGCAGACCACTTGAGGTCAGGAGTTTGAGACCAGCCTGGCCAACATGGTGAAACCCCGTCTCTACTAAAAATACAAAAATTAGCAAGGCGTGGTGGTGGGAGCCTGTAATTCCATCTACTCGGGAGGCTGGGGCAGGAGAATCACTCTAGCCCAAGAGGTGAAGGTTTCAAGGAACTGAGATTGTGCCACTGCACTCCAGCCTAGGCAACAGGGTGAGACTCCATCTCAAAAAAGAAAAAAAAAAAAGAGGAAAAAAATTTTTTTGGTAGAGAGGGGGTCCTGCTATATTGCCCAGGGTGGTCTTGAACTCGGTGTCCAAAAGTGCTGGGATTACAGGACCTGCCACCACACCAGGCTAATTTTTGTATTTTTAGTAGAGATGGGGTTTCACCACGTTGGCCAGGCTGGTCTCGAACCCCCCGGGCTCAAGGGATCCGCCTAACTCAGCCTCCCAAAGTGCTGGGATTACAGGCGTGAGCCACCGGCCTGGCCTCTTCTCACATTCTTGATGATGTCTCGTGACGTACAGAAGTTTTAAATTTTTCTGTTTTTTCTTCCATTGTTCAAGCTTTTGGTGCCAAATCTAAGAATCCATTGTCATATTCAAGGACATGAAGATTTACCTTATGTTTTTTTTCTAAGAGTTTTAGATTTTATTTTAGAGTCTGTGATCTATTTTGAGTTAATTTTTGTAGACAGAGTGAAATAGTGGTCCAATTTCATTCCTGTGCATGTGGTTATCCAGTTGTCCCAGCACCATTTTTTTTTTTTTTGAGATGGAGTCTTGCTCTATCGCCCAGGCTGGAGTGCAGTGGTGCAATCTCGGCTCACTAACCTCCGTCTCCCGGGTTCACACCATTCTCCTGCCTCAGCCTCCCGAGTATCTGGGACTACAGGCACCCGCCACCACGCCCGGCTAAGTTTTTATATTTTTAGTAGAGACGGGGTTTCACCATGTTAGCCAGGATGGTCTCGATCTCCTGACCTTGTGATCCGCCCACCTCGGCCTCCCAGCGTGTTGGGATTACAGGTGTGAGCCACTGCACCCGGCCTCCAGCACCATTGTTTTAGAAAAGATTATCATTTGCCCCATCGAATGGTCTTGGTAACATTGTCAAATATCAAATTGACATCCAGTGTGTATCATGGATGTAAAAAATATATGTATCAGTTGACCATAAATATTTGGGTTTATTTCTGGATTCTTAATTCTTTTCCATAGGTCTATTTATCTAGCCTTATGCCAGTACCACACTGTTTAGACTACTGCAGCTTTGTAGTAAGTTTTGATATTGGGAAATGTAAGTACTGCTACTTTGTTTTAAATTTTGTTTTCACTATTTGAGGCCCCTTGGAGTTTCCTATTTAGTGGATTCCTTAGAATTTTCTACATACAATCTCATGTCATCTGCAAATAGAGACAGTTTTACATCTCTATTTGTGGATGGCTTTTATTTCTTTTTCTTGCCTAATTGCCTGGGCTAAAACTCCCAGTAGAATGTTGACTAGAAGTGGTAAGAGTGGACATCTTTTCTGTTTCCTGATCTTAGAGGGAAAGCTCTCAGTCTATTAATTTAATAGCATGAAATACGATATTAGCTGTAGTTTTTTTTTTTTTTTTTAAGACAGTGTCTCCCTCTGTCACCCTGGCTGGAGTGCAGTAGCTCAATCATGGCTCACTGCAGCCTCGATCTCCTGTGCTCAAGCAATCCTCCTACTTCAGCCTCCCAAGTAGCTGGGACTACAGGTATGAACCACCATGCCTGGCTAGTTTTTGTATTTTTTGTAGAGACGGGCTTTCACCATGTTGCCCAGGCTGGTCTTAAACTCCTGGGCTCAAGCAAGCCACACACTTCAACCTCCCAAAGTGCCAGGATTATAGGCATGAGCCACCCTGCCTGGCCTAGCTACAGATTTTTCATAGGTATGTTTATCAGGTTGAAGAAGGTTCCTTCTATTCCTAGTTTATTGAATTTTATAATCATAAAAGAGTGTTGAATTTTGTCTTGCTTTTTCAGCATCTATTGAGATGATCATGTAATTTTTATTCTTTATTCTCTCAATTTTGTGCGTTTCATTGATTGATTTTCAAATATTAAACCAACCTTGTATTCCTGGGTAAATCCCACTTGGTCATGGTGTATAATCCTTTGTATACGTTTCTTGATTTGTTTTGCTGGTGTCTTTTTGTTGTTGTTGTTTTGAGACAGAGTCTCGCTCTCTCTTCCATGCTGGAGTGCAGTGGCGTGATCTCAGCTCACTGCAACCTCCACCTCCTGGGTTCAGGCAATTCTTGTGCCTTAGCCACCAGAGTAGCTGGGATTACAGGTGTGTGCCACCACACCCAGCTAATTTTTGTATTTTTATTAATAGTAGAGATAGGGTTTTGCTATGTTGGCCAGGCTGGTCTCCAACTCCTGGCCACAAGTGATCCGCCTGCCTCGGCCTCCCAAAGTGCTGGGATTACAGGTGTGAGTCATCACACCCAACCGGTTTGCTTGTAGCTTGTGGAGGACTTTTGTTTCTATAGTCACAAGGGATATTAGTCTGAAGTTTTCTTGTGATATCTTTTTCTAGCTTTGGTATCAGGGTAATACTGGCCTCACGGTTCCTTCCTCTTCTTTTTTTGAAAGAGTTTGTGAGGGATTTGTATTAATTTTTCTTTAAATATTCGATAGAAATCACCAGTGAAGCCATCTGGGTCTGGAATTTTCTTTGTTGAAAGTTTTTAAATGACTAATTAAATCTTTTTCCATGTTGTAAGTCTGTTCAGATTATTTATGGGTTCTCCTTCTTATGTCAGTTTTGGTAATTTATGTCTTTCTAGGAATTTTTTCATTTCTTCTATTTATCTAACTTGCTGGCATGCAGTTGTTCACAGTGTTCCCTTATTATCCCTTTACTTTTGTGTGTGTGTGTGTGTGTGTGTGTGTGTGTGTGTGTGGAGATGGACTCTTGTTCTGTCTTCTAGGCAGAGTGCAGTTACACGATCCCAGCTCACTGCAACCCCTGCCTCCCAAGTTCAAGTGATTCTCCTGCCTCAGCCTCCTGAGTAGGTGAGATTACAGGTGCCCGCCACCACACCTGGCTAATTTTTGTATTTTTAGTAGAGACAGGGTTTCACATGTTGGCCAGGCTGGTCTTGAACTCTTGACCTCAAATGATCCACCCGCCTCGGCCTCCCACAGTGCTGGAATTACAGGCGAGAACCACTGCACCCAGCCCCCCTTTACTTTTTATAAGTATTGATAGCTCCCTTTTCATGCCTGAGGTATTAATCTGAGTCTTCTCTTTTTTTTTTTTTTTTTTTCTTGGTCAGTCTAGCTAAACAGTTGTCATTTTGTTGCTCTTTTCTAAGAAAAAACTTTTGGTTTTACTGACTTTCTCTATTTTTTCTATTTTCTATTTCATTTATTTTTACTCATACCTTTATTATTTCCTTCCTTTGGCTTTCTTTTGGTTGAGTTTGCTCTTCTTTTTCTAGTTTCTTAAGGCAGAAGTTTAGGTTATTAATTAGAAATCTTTCTTCTTTTCTAATACTCACATAGTTACAAATGTCTCTCTAAGCACTGCTTTAGCTGCATCCAGTAAGTTATGTTATGTTGTGTGTTAGTTTCCATTCATCTCAAGATATTTTCTAATTTCCCTGTGATTTCATCTTTCACTCATTGATTATTTAGGAGTGTTTTAAAATTTCTACATATTTCTAGCCGGGCATGGTGCCTCACGCCTGTAATCCCAGCACTTTAGGAGGCCAAGGCAGGCAGATCACTGGAGGTCAGGAGTTCGAGACCAGCCTGGCCAACATGGTGAAACCCCGTCTCTATTAAAAATACACAAATTAGCCGGGTGTGGTGATACACTCCTGTGGTCCCAACTACTTGAGAGGCTGAGGCAGGAGAATCACTTGAACCCAGGAGGCGGAGGCTGCAGTGAGCCGAGATAGTGCCACTGCACTCCAGCCTGGAGGACAGAGCAAGACCCACCTCGAAAAAAAAATAAATTCTACATATTTGTTAATTTCCTCGGTTGTCATTTTCTAATTTAATTCCATTGCAGCTGGGGAACAGACTTTATATAATTTCAATCATTTTCCATTTATTGAGGCTTGTTTTAAGGCCTAGTATAAGTCTATCCTGAAGAGTGTGTCATGCGTAGCTGAGAACAATGTGTGTTCTGCTGCTGTGTGGAGTGTTTCGATGTCTTTCAGGTCTTGGCTTACAGTGTTGTTCAAGGCTTCTACTTCCTTGTTGATCTTCAGCCTTGTTGTTTTATCCGTTATTGAAAGTGGGGGCCGGGAGCAGTGGCTCACGCTTGTAGTCCCAGCAGTTTGGGAGGACGAGGTGGGTGGATCACCAGGTCAGGAGATCGAGACCATCCTGGCTAACACGGTGAAACCTCGTCTCTACTAAAAATACAAAAAATTAACCGGGCATGGTGGCGGGCACCTGTAGTCCCAGCTACTCGGGAGGCTGAGGCAGCAGAATGGCGTGAACCCGGGAGGCGGAGCTTGCAGTGAGCAGAGATCGTGCCACTGCACTCCAGACTGGGCAACAGAGTGAGACTCTGCCTCAAAAAAAAAAAAAAAAAAAAAGGAAAAGAAAGCGGGGTATTGAAGTCTCCAACTACTATATTGAATGGTCTAATTCAGTTCAGTTCCCTCCAGTTTTATTAGTTTTTGCTTCATGTATTTTGGGCTCTGTTGTTAGGAGTATATATGTTTACAATCATTTTATCTTCCTCATAAACTGCCTCTTTTATCATTATAAAAGATATTGTATCTTTAGTAACAATTTTTTTTTTTTTTGGAGACAGAGTCTTGTTCTGTCGCCTAGGCTGGAGTGCAGTGGTGCTATCTCGGCTCACTGCAACCTCCGCCTCCCAGGTTCAAGCAATTAGGATCTCCTGTCTCAGCCTCCGGAGTAGCTGGGACTATAGTGCATGCCACCACGCCCAGCTAATTTTTGTAGTTTTAGTAGAGATGGGGGTTTCACCATGTTGGTCAGGCTAGTCTTGAACTCCTGACGTCAGGTGATCCACACATCTTAGCCTCCCAAAGTGCTGGGATTACAGGCGTGAGCCACCTCGCCCAGGCTTCAGTAAGAATTTTTGTCTTAAAGTCTAATTTGTCTCACGCTTATGTAGCCACCCTCTCTTTTAATAACTCCTCACATGGTTTCTTTTTGCATCTTTCTACTTTCAACTCTTGTGTCTTTGACTCTAAAGTAAATCTCTCACAGATCATTTTATTTTATTTTATCCATTCTGGGCTGGGCCCGGTGGCTCACACCTGTAATCCCAGCCCTTTGGGAGGCCCAGGTGGGAGCATCACTTGAGCCCAGGAGGTTGAGACCAACCTGGTTAAGATAGCATGACCTCGTCTCTACAAAAATTTTGTTTTTAAAATTAGCCAAGCGTGGTGGCATGGCCCTGTAGTCCCAGCTATTTGGGAGGCTGAGGTGGGAGGATTGCTTGAGCCCAGGATGTCAAGGCTGCAGTGATCTAGGATCACACCCCTGCATTCCAGCCTGGGCAATTGAGCAAGTCCCAGTCTTATAAAAAGAAAAAAATAATAATCCATTCTGCCAATTTCTGCCTTTTGATTGGGGTGTTAAATTCATTTACATTCAATGTATCACTAATAAGCTAGGATTTATGTCTGCCATTTTGCTAATTGTTTTCATATGTCTTGCCTTTTTTGTTCCTCTACTCCTTGATTCTGCCTTCTTTCTTTCCTCCTTCCTTCCTTCCTTCCTTCCTTCCTTCCTTCCTTCCTCCCTCCCTCCCTCCCTCCCTCTCTCCCTCTCTCTCTCTTTCTTTCTTTTTTTTTTGGAGACACAGTTTCACTCTGTTGCCCAGGCTGGAGTGCAGTGGTGCCATCTTGGCTCACTGCAACCTCCGCCTCCCCAGTTCAAGCAATTCTCCTGCCTCAGCCACCCGAGTAGCTGGGATTACAGGCATGCACCACCACCCCCAGCTAATTTTGTATATTTAGTAGAGACGGGGTTTCACCATATTGGCCAGGCTGGTCTCAAATTCCTGGCCTCAAGTGATCTCCCCACCCTGGCCTCCCAAAGTGCTGGGATTACAGGCATGAGCCACCATGCTTGGCCTTCTCTGATTCTTGAAGGGGCCTGAAGTAGATAGGGAAACCCTGCATTCCAATATCTGTTGTCAATGCAAAAATTTTCACGGCCAGTTCTCTGTCAGGGTCAGGGTCATGGGGAGGTTTCTTATGGGGCAAGGGTTGGGGTCAAGGAATTTGAGGAACTTGAATAGGGCAGGGCCGAGGAAATCAGAGCCTGGTCAGGAGCTAGACTTCTCCCTGTACCAGTGGGGGTGCTCGGGGATTATTGCAGGCCGTAAAGAAAGCTAAGCATTAGGCGAGGGACCACCAGAGAAGACAAAAGTGGTCCCCTTCCTCAAGAACTTAGAATTAAGATGATAAGGAGAGTGGGTGCCGTGGCTCATGCCTGTAATCTCAGCACTTTGGGAGGCTGAGGCAGCAGGATCCATTGAAGCCAGGAGTTCAAGAACATCCTGCACAAAGAAGCAAGACCCCATTTCTACAAAAAGATACAAAAACATTAGGCAGGAGTGGTGGTGTGTGCCTGTAGTCCAGCTAACTCAGGAGGCTGAAGCAGGAGGATCACTTGAGCACAGCAGTTAGAGGCTGCAGTGAGCTGTGTTCAGGCCACTGCACTCCAGCTTGGGTGACAGAGCGAGACCTGTCTCAAAAAAAAAAAAAAAAAGATGATAAGGGAGGCTTCTGAGTAAAGAACAGCTCTACTCCACCTGCCGTGGAGCTGAGAGACCGCCATGTGTGCCTGCCCACACTCCTACCCAGGACAGCCTAAACCATCCACACAGGGAGGCAGGATCAGAATGTGGCTGTAACTTGGGGCACCGACGCCGCCTGGGTGTCCTGGACACAGCCTGGAGAAAGTCTAGAGACAGGGCTGTCACATCTAGAACAATGGTTTCTGATGAGCTTGGGAGCACCCTGTCCAAATTGAATCCTCCCGAGAAACCCAGCAATGTGAGACAGAACCAAGAGTGGCTCAGATGGAGGCCGTGGGAGCTTGGATGCCTGCACACTTGGTCCTCTCATATACCTGTTGGTGGTCACAACCCCATGGTGGCTCCAGGGAACACAGTTTGACCATCACGGACCTGGGTTTTAGAGTCAGGCAAGAGAGACAGAGGCTGGCAGTCGTGAGTGTCCGGCACTTGCAGGATTTGTGCCCACCCTCAGCACTCACAGCCTGGTGGGAGGCCAGGCCCTGGTGCCCAAGGCAGCCCCTTCCCTACAGCTGGGACAGGAGGCCACAGGTTCTCAGACACCTGGTGCCTCCTGCTTCCCTGACTCTGATTCCTGGTCTCCCCAGTAGATGAGACTGAGACCACTGCGGCAAACACAACTCAACGTCCCTGTCCCTGCAACAGTTATTCCTATCGCTGTACTTAATAGACTGGCAGCCTCATCCATGCCTCCGTTTCTTAGAGGCTTGGCCAGCTGGTTTCAGCTCAGGCTCAGGACAGAGCCAGTCCGTGTGCCAGAAAATCAAGAAACACTCAGAGCCTGAGAACAGAGGATCAGAACTCAGATACCAGAGCACCACCAAGGAAGGAGGCCACCTAACCAGCTCCCCTGCCTGAGGCCCAAGAATATGCCCAACCTTCTAGTTACTTAAGTTCTCTGAGCCTTGGTTCCCCCATCTGTAAAATGGGGATGGTACAAAATTCAAGGTTTTCCGTAAAAATGAAATGAAACCGATGTTTGTGAAAAGTTATCTGCATACTGGCTGGCACCTAGTAGGTGCTCAGTAAATGTGCATTCCCTCCTCTTTCATCTCATGCTAGTGATTGTGATGAACTCACTGGGTCACAGTGAGGTCTCTGAGTCAGTTTACAGTAAAGACGTACTCTCTGAAAAGCACGTTCTATTGTTCAAGCCCCTATAATTGAGAAGGCCTCCTGCAGGAGTCAGGCAGGCCCAGACTGGGAAGCAGTAACTGCTAGGGTCTCAGGAGGAAGGAATTTCAAGCCAGGAGGCTTCAGGGAGGCAGTGGCCTGTGAGCTCTGGGGAGGTCAGTTTTGAGTCCACTGGAGACACGGTGGGGTCACAGGAAGCAAATGAGGACATCTTCTGGCCAGAAGGGACTCAGAAGGGGCTCTCCGGGGAGTGTGGAGAAGCCAGGCCCAAAGGGGCAGGGCACGGCTGCTGGGCAAAGTGCTGGCTCTCGAGAAGGGGCCGCAGCCTTCAGAGGCCTCAGCCTGCCCATGATGCTCCTCGGCCCCTTCAGGAAATCTGCCTTGCTTTATGGGACCTATTTCAGACTTCCTTCACTCTGCTCAGACGTTCCCTGCCACCTTCATGCCCAGCAGAGGTCCTCACCTTCCACTTCGCTGAGGAAAGAGCCATCAGCTGGGAACAACCCCAATGACCTGCTGCCAACACTGCCTGCTAGTGTGCCCCTGCCACCTCCCTCTCTTCCTACTACACCTGGGGATGCATCTGCTAGGAGCACAGGCTACTGCTGCTTCATGGGCTCTGGGCCCAGCTCTTCCTCTCTCTCTGTCTCTCACCTGGATCATTCCCATTGGCAAGTAAATATGTGCTTTCATCTTTTTTTGTTTGTTTGTTTGTTTTTGAGACAGGGTCTTGCTCTGTTGCCCAGGCTGGACTGCAGTGGCATGATCATGGCTCATCACTGCAGCCTCAACCTCCCAGGCTCAAATGATCTTCCTGCCTCAGCCTCCCAAGTAGCTGGGACTACAGGCATGCCCCACCATGCCTGGTTATTTTTGCATTTTTTGTAGAGTCGAGGTCTCACTATGTTGTCCAGGCTGGTCTCGGACTCCTGGGCTCAAGGGATCCTCCTGCCTCGGCCTCCAAATGTGTTGGGATTACAGGCATGAGCCACCATGCCTGGCTGCTTTCATCTTTTAATGAAAGTTTCCCTCAAGCCACATATTTTCCCATTTTTGTTCTGTAAATATCTCTTCACAATCGGACTTCTCACAAGAGTGGTCTATGTATGCGCTCTTCCCTCCCTCACTTTATTAGCTCATTCCATCTGGTTTCTGCCTCCACTGTGCCTCCAAACCTGCCAGACAGATAGTCTATTTCTTCATTAGCTTAGTGTCTGTCTCTCAGTAGAAGATAAGCTTTGTGAGGGCAGGAACCTATCTGTTTGGCTCATTATTTATATTTTCAGTACCCAGCACAGTACTGATATAAAGTAGACATTCAACAAATATTTGTGGTATTATCATATGAATTAGCCCTATCTTTTTCAAAAGCATTGTTAGGTTTTGGTATCAGGGTAATGCTGGCCTCATAAATGAGTTGGAAAGTGTTTCTTCCTCTTCTATTTTCCTTCCTTTTTTTTGAGACGGAGTCTCGCTCTGTTGCCCAGGCTGGAGTGTAGTGGCACGACCTCAGCTCACTGCAACCTCCTCTTCCCAGGCTCAAGCAATTATCCTGCCTCAGCCTCCTGAGTAGCTGGGATTACAGGTTCATGCCACCACACCCAGCTAATTTTTTTGTATTTTTAGTAGAGATGGGGTTTCACCACGTTGGCCAGGCTGGTCTTTAACTCTTGATCTCAAGATCCGACCTCAGCCTCCCAAAGTGCTAGGATTACAGGTGTGAGCCATGGTGCCCAGCCATCCTCTTTTATCTTCCAAAAGAGAGAGTGGAGAATTGGTATTATTTCTTAAATAACTATTTAAATATTTAAATAATTCAAATATTTAAATAACTATTTAAATATATCAATATTTAAAATTATACTATTTTCTATTTAGAATATTTTAAAATTATTAAAGTAAATTGTTTAAACATTTAAAAAATTCCTTAAATATTTGGTAGAATTTAACAGTGAAACCATCTGGTCCTGAAGTTTTCATTGTTGGGGGGTTTTAAATTACATATTCAATTTCTTTAGGAGGTATAGGACTATTCAGGTTATCTATTTTTTCTTAAGTGAGTTTTGGCAGTCTGAATCTTTCAAAGAATTGGTCTATTTCATCTAAGTTATTGAATTTATGGGCAACTTTATGCCCATAAATTCAATAACTTAGGGGTCTATAGCCAGGCGTGGTGACTCACGCCTGTAATCCCAGCACTTTGGGAGGCCAAGGGGGGCGGATCACAATGTCAGGAGATCAAGACCATCCTGGCTAACCTGGTGAAACCCCATCTCCACTAAAAATACAAAAAATTAGCTGGACATGATGGTGGGCACCTGTAGTCCCAGCTACTCGGGAGGCTGAGGCAGGAGAATGGTGTGAACCCAGGAGGCGGAGCTTGCAGTGAGCCGAGATGGTGCCACTGCACTCCAGCCTGGGTGACACAGCAAGACTCCATCTCAAAAAAATAAATAAATAAAAAATAAAAAATAACTTAGGGGTCTGTAGTGATGTCCCTCTTTCATCCCTGATACTGATAATCTGTGCCATCTTTCTTTTTATTCTGTTAGTCTGGCTAGAGGTTTATCAATTTCATTGATTTTTTTTCAAAGAACCAGCTTTTGGTTTCATTGCTTTTCTTCAACTGTTTTCAATTTCATGGATTTCTGCTCCTCTCTTTATTTCCTTCTGCTTGCTTTAGGCTCTCCAAAGACCTTAAAGGATATCTGTTTTATTTATTATAGCACCCCACAGATTTACTGATATTCCCATTTTATAGATGAGGAAGCTAAGGATCAGAAAGTGGTTAAGTAATTTGCCCAATGTCCCAAACTACTAAATGGTGGAGCCAGAACTCAAACCCAGGACTGTCTGACTCCAGAGTCTGTGCTTCTAACTACTGAGTGACATTGCCTCCTAGCCACATAACTCCCAGGCCAAGTCCTTCTACTACAGCAGATGCCTCACCAAACACTGCCAAGGTAAGCAACTTCTCAGCTTACCTTGGGCACTCGGTACCTCCTGCCTTCCCTCCCAGGGACCATCAACTTTCCCCACGGTCCAATTGCCATTCCCTCAATTCTCTTGAACAAAAACCAAAGTGGGCTGGCTTGTACAGGGATCAAGCCTTCAGAATTGCCTTCGTACGTACCTTGGACTTGACTGAACTATAGGTGGTAGAATCTGTTGGTGAAAGACAGAAAAAAAAATGAAAGTTGCATCAGGGAAAAAGAAAGTTGAGTCTTATGCACACAATTCCTCTCCTCAAAGGCTTCAGAAACCAGGGAATTCTGAAACATGAGATCTCCCCAGGCCCTAGGAGTATGACGGACTTCTGATGTCCATCTATGGGAAAGGGATGGAGCAGAAAATGATGTTAATTGCCACTTCCTCTAGAGGCAGGAAGTGACATCAGGCTGCCAGCCACTGGCCCCTCATTTACCGAAGGCTAAGGGCAAGGGGGCATTGTCTTTGAGCCTAGTTCCTCTCTCCTTCCCCGCCTGTCCCTTTTACTCTGAAGCACTGGAGAGAAAATGCTAAATATCAGGTGCAGTCCATGGAAACCACCACAGTGAAACACAGCAAATCACAGATGCTCTGGAGAAATGGAGACCACACAGTGCACCTCCAGACCTGGGGTCACCCTGCCTCATGGGCAGGGTCCCCAGTTATCACCCAGTTATGAAGGAGACTAAAAGCATGATTTCTATGGGACTTGGGTCCCACTCCCTTAATATCACTGGGGTGGAGAAGGAACCAGAGACACATCCTTGTGGGTCCTCTCCAAGGCTAGAGAGGGAGCAGGTTGGTCCAAGGGCCTCCTGGGGTCCCACAGGGTAGTGGGCAGGTGTGGTTAATCCACACTCTCTGGCAGGCAAGTTAGATGCCCCCCTCTCCGGACCCCTCCCCCTGCACAAGGTGAGAAAAGCAAGATGGGCGATCACACATGACACACGGGGCGCGGGGGGCGGTGAGTGATTAGAAGAGACATGGGGTCCCTCTCTGCCGTCCCACCCCCATGTCTTCTGGCCCCTCCTGAGCCTGCCTCTGGTGACTAGGGAGCTCCTGTGTGCCTCTGTCAGAGACAAACAGAAATGCTAAAACTAAAGAGAGGGACAACAATGGCGGGGGGAGGAGTCAGTGGCTGCAGCCACAAAGGGAGTGGCCCTCATCTGTCTCTGAGCATGTAAATCATCTGTCCTCTGCCATGAGAGGGCCACAGGCCCTGCAAACAGGACTTAGGGCCCCGGTTTCTTAAGCAGGAGGAGGCGGCCCATTGGGGTGACTGAGGCAGGAGTTAGAGATAAAGAGAAGCTTCTGGGCGTGGCATCGCTGGTCTCCAGAGAGTGTCGGTCCCCAGCCCGGATGACTAGCAGTGGTGAGACTCGGCAAAGAGAGGCCACAAGGTCTGTGGCACTGCAGAAGGGCAGCAATTCGATGCCCCGGTGTCCAGGCAACGGGGAGGGCCCTGGGCCCAGTGAGTGCCTCCTTCCTCCTGAGAAGGGGCTCTAGGATGGGAGGGGCATGGACTGCTGGGGTAAGTGGATAAAAAGCAGGGGTAACTGGCATGTCAGTGTGGGGTCCTCACAGTCCGGGACATTCTGCCTGCCTCTGTGCCCACCCAGCCTTCTTATAATCACCCGCCACTGTTAGTGACCGAGGCCGCGACACTGCACTGTACTCTTTAAATCTCCAACAGGTCTGCTGGAGGAGGGGAGGGGGAGGAGAAGAGAAAGGGGTGGGAGGAGAGCACGGGGAGAGGAGGAGGGAGAGGTGGGGGTGCAAGGAAAAAAGGAAGAAAAATTAAAAAGAGGAACATGCCCAGAGGGACACAGCCAGCCCATGAGAAATTAAAGGCTGAGGAAAGAAACCAGTGAGAGAGGGGGAACAAAGCTCCAACCCTGCCTGGGGCGGGGCAGCTGCACAGACAGGAGGTGGGCACGGGGCAAGCTGGACTTCCCCAGGGAGGTAGAAGGCCCCCAACAGCCCCATCTCCATGGTGGCTGGCAGGGGAGGGCCCCGCTGGGGTGGCACAGGGAAGCTGGGCATCTGGCCAGGTATCTGGGACCCTCAGGAATGCAGTGTCCACCCTCCTGCCTCCCCACTCCCAGGCCCCTGTGCTCACCTGACCCCGGGTCACCAGGGGGCACTGTCCTGCCAATGTTGGGCAGGAGGTACTCAATGTTGGGCACTGCCTGAGGCTCCTTGCTGCCCACAGGGGTCTGCGAACAGGAGGAGGGGTCAACTGGCATGCCCTCGGATGCTGGGCTGCCGACCCCCCAGAGGGGGGTGCCCTGATGACAGAGCCCGTGTCTCCTCCATCAGACTGGGCTCACTGGGGCAGGGACCGTCTCCCTCATCAGCCGGGTGCTCTTAAGGATGATTCCTACATGTCCCCTGTTAGACAGCTTTGTGCCTTCCTCAACATCTCAGAACCACGAAGGCCAGAGCGGCCCCTTCAGCTAGGGGCAGGAGCTGTGTCTCCCGCACTAGACTGGAACTCCTCCAACCTAAGTCCTTCTCAGTAGCCTGGAGGGCAGGAGCTGCCTTTACTCCTGAATTGGGTTACCTCTGAGCAAGGCCTGTATCTCCCCCATTTAGACTGGAGATTCCTGAAGGCAAGCTTTGTGCTTATCTATCAGACTAGGGGCTCCTGAGGAGAGGGTCTGTGTTTCCTCCATCAGACTTGAGGGAAGCCTCAAGGACAGACACCTTCCCCAGCTTAAGTCTCGCTGCCTGCCCCACCCCCAAGGACTGGGGCTCACCCCAGACCAGCCCCCATGCCAGCCCAGCCCACGGCATCACTTACTCTCTCTCTCCCTTGTCCTCTTTGTCACTGAAGAACCAGTCTGACTGCAGAGAAGACAAAAGGAAGGGATGAAATCAGCATGGGAAAGAAGAGTCTCTTCCACCTGCTCATTCCAGAGGACCCACTCAGGCGGCAAGGGGCGCCTCTCTCTCAACAAACCCCAGGCTGGTGGGGCTGCAAAAGAGGGCTCAGAGGGAGCTTGATGGATGCTAAAACCTGACTCCACAGACTATGAAAAACCCTTGGGGAGAGAAAAGGTGGGACCCCAGTGTGGGAGGAGACACGGCAGTGAGTGGGAGCGGCCACGTCAGACGGGAGATAGGCTTAGGGAGAGCTTCGCTTTTACTTGCTTTTCTCTAAACACTGTCCTGGGCACACCCCTATGGTATACTCCCCACAGCGAGCCGGGGGGCAGGGAGGCACCAGTGCCGTTAGTGTTGGCCAGGTCCATGGCTGTGACAGCCGAGCATGCCCCAGGCCACCTGCCACCCATGGGTGCCACACTGACAACAGGGGTGTCACATACTCAGCCCAGAAAAGGAAAATGACAGGAGAAAGGTGTTGGAGGTTTCCTGACGGGCAGGAGGCGAGAGCTTTCTCATAAAGGCCAAACAAGAGACAAAATAAAGACCCCCACAGTTTAATATATTTTGTAAAATTTGAGAATCTTGAAGATAAAATTCTAAGTTTTCTGAAAAAAAAATCCAGATTGCTTATAAATGAACACGTATCACAGGTACTTGGAACTTTCAGCAGCAAGACACAAGAAGACAAGACAAGAAAGTAAGTTTTGATGTGTGGAAGGAACCTAGAATTTTATACCCTGCTAAACTCTCATTTAAAAAAATGAGAATGTAAAATAAAGCTATTCTTTTTTTTTTTTTTCCAACAGAATCTCACTCTGTCACCCAGGCTGGAGTGCAGTGGTGCAATCTTGGCTCTCTGCAACCTCTGCCTCCTGTGTTCAAGTGATTCTCTGGCTTCAGCCTCCCAAGTAGCTGGGATTACAGGTGCATGCCATCACGCCTGGATAATTTTTGTATTTTTAGTAGAGATGGGGTTTCGTCATGTTGGCCAGACTGGTCTCAACTCCTGACCTCAAGTGATCCACCTACCTCCACCTCCCAAAGTGCTGGGATTACAGGCATACCACAGATTGTTTTAATCACCCCTTAAGTGAACCTCCTGCTCTCTGGAGCCACCACACCTGGCCTTGAAATAAAGCTATCCTGAGACAGCAGAAAATTTTTTACACAAAGACTCTCTTAATTGAATACTTGAGCAAGTAAAGAGATGGACTTCGGCAAGCTCCAAGAAATAACTAAGGCACTTTTGGCTTTTATTGTATTTATTAATTTATTTTTGAGATAGGGTCTCTCGCTGTTATCCAGGTTGGAATGCTGTGGCATGATCCTAGCTCACTGTACCCTTGAACACCTGGGCTCAAGAGATTCTCCCACCTCAGCCTCCTGAATAGCTGGGACTACAGGCATGTGCCACCTTGCACAGCTAATTAAAAAAAAATTGTAGATTTTGGGATTACAAGCATGAGCCACTGCACCCACCACTTTTGGCTTTTAGATGTGGTGGAAGGAAGACACAGAAACTGATAAGCATTAGAAATTGACAGTGACAGGCTGGGTGCAGTGACTCACACCTGTAATCCCAGCACTTTGGGAGGCTGAGGTGGGTGGATCACCTGAGGTCAGGAGTTTGAGACCAACCTGGCCAACATGGTGAAACCCCATCTCTACTAAAAATATAAAAATTAGCTGGGCATGGTTGTGCACACCTGTAATCCCAGCTACTCGGGAGGGTGAGGTGGGGGAATCACTTGAACCCGGGAGGCAGAGGTTGCAGTGAGCTGAGGTCGCACCACTGTACTCCAGCCTGGACAACAAGAGTGAAACTCCATTTCAAAAAAAATAAATGAATAAAAATTAAGTCAATTACCCTTTACCCCCCTCAACACCTATGAAAGAACAGGAACAGGCAATTTATAATCTCATTATGTAGACTTAAAACACACAAAGAATATTATATATATTTAAGGATAGCCATGCATTTACAATAAGTGGAAGGTGTCCTGGAAGGACACATATTAGCCTATTAAGAGTGGGCACCTAGGGGAATGAAGAGGGGAAACAAGGGGACTTGCCTGAGCATGCGCCATGAGCCTCAGTTATTATTGCTCATGATCTGACATGTGATTAAATCAAACAGCACAGGAAGGCCAGAAGGGAAACAAGAAAGAGATAGAAGAGAAGAGAGCGAAGGAAGATAAGAAAAATGCAAGCTCTGACTGGGCACAGTGGCTCACACCTGTAGTCCCAGCACTTTGGGAGGCTGAGGCAGGTGCATCAGCTGAGGTCAGGAGTTCAATACCAGCCTGGCCAACAGGGTGAAACCCCAGCTCTACTAAAAATACAAAAATTAGCCTGGCATGGTGGCGTGCGCCCATAATCCCAGCTACTTGGGGGTGCTGAGGTGGATCACTTGAACCCAGGAGCTGGAGGCTGCAGTGAGTGGAGACTGCGCCGTTGCACTCCAGCCTGGGCGACAGAGTGAGACTCTGTCTCAAAAAAAAAAAAAAAGAAAAGAAAAAGAAAAATGGAAGCTCTGGAGTCAGTTATCTTGGTTCGAGTTCACCTTAGCCAAGTTACTTTCCCTCTGTAAGTCTATTTACTTATCTCTAAAATGGGCATGATGTGAGTACCTCCTTCTAGGCCTGAGGAGGATTGAGATGAAATACTGTATGGAAAATGTTGAGTGCAGCACGTTGTTAATGTATAATAGATGTCAGCTACCGTTATTCAAAAGTGCGGCTTCCAGAGACAGGCTGACCAGGGGGAGCCTGAGGATTGGCCCAAAGAAGCCAGCTGTTAACTCGGGTTGGAAGGTGCCCAGAAGTACTCTGCAAGCCACAGCATCTACAGGAAGTGCCCGGGTGGCCACGGCTCTCAAGAGGAATCCACACTAGTTCCTGCCACCCTGTTTCTGCACATGCTGTTCTTTCCGCCTGGGATGCCCTTTCTCCCTGCTCTGCCTGGCTAAGTTCTCATCATGGTCCTCTAAGGCAGTTCAAGAACTCCATGACTACGACCCCAGCCCTGCACCCAGGGCCAGGGTGGGTCCTTTTGTGGGGCTTCCTTGGACATAGCCCAGAGCAAAAAGAGATGCAGCTCTTACTCTGATAAACATTATTAAATGAATAAATGAATGAGAAACATCATTTTATGGATTTTTTTTTGTGTGTGTGTGGCAGGGTCTCACTCTGTCACCCAGGCTGGAGTGCAGTGTCGCAATCTCGGCTCACTGCAGCCTCCCACCTCAGCCCCCCAAGTAGTTGAGACCACAGACACGCACCACCACACCCGCTGGCAATATTCCTTCTGAGCAGGTTCCCATTCACCTCCGTGTTTCCAGCATGGGGATCTGTCTCTGGCGTGGAATAATGACCACGAGGAAGAGGATGACATTCAGTTCTCACACAACACTTAGGACCTGCCAGGCACCACCGTGAGTGCTTTAGCAGACATTCACAACAATGTGAGGTAAACAGTATTGTCATCTCTACTTTACAGGTGTGGAGACTGAGGCACAGCAGGTAAGGAACTTGTCCAAGGCCACACAGCACATAGGAGCAGGCTGGCCCTAGAGCCACTGCCGTCAATCTCCCACCCCAGGGGGCACTTGGCAATGTCTGGAGACATTTTTTATTGTGACAACTAGAGTGATATTCCCAGCATCCAGCAGGTAGAAGCCAGCGATTCTGCTAAATGTCCTATAACACACAGAACAGCCTCCCACAATAAAGACTTATCTGGACCTCAGTGGTCACTAGTGCTGAAGCTGAGAAACATTAGGTGTCACTGCCTTTGCTGAGTGAGTCCCTGAGCAAATGCCCTGGGTGATCTTTGTTTGGGTTCCACTTGACTTTGTAAACATAGGTAGAGGCTCCTGGCAACTTGCCCGCTGCAAGATCAGACATCCAGGTTTGCTCTCCTCTCTGCTCTGCCATTATCTTGCTGCGTGGCCCTGGGCAAGTCGCTGTTCCTCTTTACCCCTCAGTTGCCACCCTCTTTCCGACCTGAAGACTGGTCTGGGTGCCCCAAGTGACAGCAGCACTGCCCTGGCTATGGAGCCTCTGGGCTAGACAGAGCTGGCACGCTTGGGTGGGCAGGCTTTCAGGGCTTGCAGAGTGGGTGGCTCATTCCCTTGACAATCATCCAGGGCTGGTTACGTTCAAATGCCAAGGAGGCAGAGAAGGGAAGGACACTAGCTCAGTTAGCTCTCGGGAATGAATCTCTGAGTAGAAAAGCCCAGCCTGGCCGGGCGTGATGGCTCAAACCTGTAATCCCAGCACTTTGGAAGGCCGAGATGGGAGGATTGCTTGAGTCCAGGAGTTCAAGACTAGCCCTGGCAACATAGTAAGACCTCATCTCTACAAAAGAATACAAAAATTAGCCAGTTGGTGTGGTGGTGGCATCTCTAGTCCCAGCTACTCAGGAGGCTGAGATGGCAGGATCGCCTGAGCCTGGAAGTGGGCCATATTTGCCCACTGCACTCCAGTGTGGGCGACAGACTGACTCTATCAAAAAAAAAAAAAAAAAAAAAAAAAAAAAAAAAACAGAAAGCGAAAAGAAAGAGAGAGAAAGAAAGAGAAAGAAAAGCCCAGCCTGATATAACCTCAATTAGCAATTTACTCATTCATTTATACTCCACAAACACTGAGTATCCAGAGTATCCACTGTGTGCCAGGCGCTAGTGTCAGTGCTAAATGAGACAAACTCCACCTTCTCCACCCTGCCCAGAGCAGGGACTCCCCCTTGGGGCTTTGGCCTCCTTCCTCCCTGAAGACTGCAGTTCCTGACACCTCAGCTGACTTCAGACCTTGGGCTTCCAGGGGCTGCTCCAGGAGCACAGGGCCAGACACCCACTCTTCCCTGCTGCTGCCCCCAAAACACACCCTCCTGGGAGGTTCCGGGGCTCCCTGGTGCCCTGGAGAGCTAAGCTTTCCCAAGGCCTCACCAGGATCCCGGACGCTGCAGGGCAGCTCTGGCCTCCCAGACAGTTCTGGAGTGGTGTTCCCAGTGTCCGGATGCAGCAGGCTGTGATGCTCCCTCCTGTGGCTCGGAGCCCTGAGCATGCAGTGAAGGAGGAGATGGGCAAGCAAGGCTGTTAACATGGCTCAGCTGCCCACCACCTCGCATCCTTACCCTGGCCCCCTCCCTCCGTCCCAAGCCAGCTCAAGGAGGGACCTAGGAGTCTGGCCTTTGGGTTGATAGCAGGAGGAAAACACAGGCTTTGGTCAGTCAGATCTGGCTTGAAATCTTGGGCTGCCACTTATTAGCTGTGTGACCATGAGCAAGTTGCTTTGCCTCTCTGAGCCTGTTTCCTCCTCTGTAAAATGGGGGTGATAGGGCCCAGCTTTCCTTCCCTAAAGTGTCTAGGGTGCTTGGGACTGAGGCTTCCCTTCCTCTGACCAGCTGCCAGTCTTATTTCCCCTGGCAGGAGGGGCTCTGTTCTCATCCTCTGTGGGCTGTAACAAGAATTGGAAATGGAAAATCTATGATTCATAATGACATCTGTGTGTGCCCCAGAAGGCGGCAGTGCTGCCTTAGGGTTGGGCTCTGGAAGACCAAGGCCTCCTGAGCCCTCTGCTGGCCACTCTGGGTTCTCCTCCGCCCATGCACGGTAACAAGAACCTACAGGACCACGGGCTGTTGGCATCCAGGAAGCCATGAGAAGGGAGGTGGCCAGCCCAGTACATGCCAAGCACTGGTGCAGGATCCTGCCTCAGGCCAAGGCCCTGTGCCTTGCCCCATCCACCCCTTGTTACCATGGACATCACCACTACCTCCCCAAAACCTCAGTGGGGCCAGCAGGGAAAGTCACTAGAGCCGGGGCCTCCTGATGTCAGGCCAGACCTTGGCCCCCGTCTGCTCGTGTCTGCCAGGACACCTCTCCAGGGGCCACCTTCTGAAGCTGCCCCTTCTGCCCTCCACCTGTAGCACCTTCCCTGCCCTTCCTCCTCTTCTGCCTTTCCCAGGCATCTTGGACGCTCGGGGGCCTCTTGACTCTCCTGCTGGGGACACAACATCCCAGGGCAGCAAGGATTCCAGGATCCATTCCTGCCTTGCCTTGAAATGCAGCCCATGGCTTTGGAGGAGTATATACCACCCTAGCAGCATGCTCTAAAGCTGCCGAGCCCTTCCTGGGGCACACCCCGCCAGGCTGAGCAAGAGTGAGGGGCTCAGAGGAACATGGCCTGGGCCCCAGGGGCTGCCGGGTGACCCCCGGAACAGGGGCTTACGTGCTGGATCAGTGTCTCCACGATCTTGTAGCGGTCAGGCATGTGGGTCACCATGTCTGTCATGTTGCCCTCAGACGTCCTCACCAGTGTCCGCCCAAAGACCAGGGCCAGGTTCCAGAGTTCCATCTGGGCAGCAGGGAAAGCAGGTCACTGTCAACATCCTGAACTCAGTCCTCCCTCACTCTGGCCCCTAAGGCCTCTGTCCCCAACTACATCCTCACCAGTCCCCAGCTTAGAGGGTGGACACCCCCTTGTATGGGCATGGAGATGCTTGATGAGTAGAGCACAGGCCAGATTTCAGCCCCTTTCATCCCCAGGCCCAGCAGCCATGAGCAGTGCCCAACCTGCACACCTATACAGGGCAGCCCTGAGTGGTCAGTGCCAGCAGTGGGAGACCCTGCAGTAGGAAACATGTTGGAGGTCCCAGGGGTTATTTTAGGCCTGGGAAAAAATCCAATCACTTCCAGGTGCCTGTAATCCCAGCTACTCCGGAGGCTGAGGCAGGAGAATTGCTTGAACCCGGGAGGTGAAGGTTGCAGTGAGCTGAGATCGTGCCAAGGCACTGCAGACTGAGTGGCAGAGTGAGACTTCGTCTCAAAAAAACAAACAAACAAAAAACACAAAAAATCCTATCACTCCCCTCATTTTCTCCACTGCAGAACCAGAAGGCATAAGGGGTTTGATGAGGAAAATGCAATGCGAGGGACTTGAGCTAACTCGGAGGATGGCAATGCATCAGATACGGGGAGCCGGGGTTCCCTGCCTCTGGAAAGCCCTCAGAAACTCAGGAGATGGCTCTCTGGGGGAAAGCACTGACCAGCATGTAGGAGCGGGATGGGGACGGAGCAGTCATAGGAGGAGGGCGTGCCTAGAGGGGCCTGAGTTATTGGACCTGCAGGAGCTCAGTGCGTGCTGAGGGCCCCCACACAGTAAGTCCGTGCTTGCCTCCCCCAGACTCCATGCGGGACTCCTACCCACCTTGTTTTTCTCAGAGTGGTCAGCGATGGTCTTGAGATGGCCCACAAGGAATTTGAGTGTTTCATAGTAGTGTCCTGGGAGATCCCGGATCTGAGCAGGAGAGAGGAGGGGCATGGGGACAGGCTGTAAGGGCCTGCCCCTGTCCCCCGTCACCACCATGCCCCAAAGATCTCCCACTACCATGCCTCAGGGAGTCTGGAACCTATCCTCTAACCCCCCGTTCTCTTGTGTGGATGGGGAAACTGATGCCCTGAGTGGAGCAGGGCAAGGCCACAGGGGTCGTGGGTAACACCGGACTCCCTGCCTCCTGGGACAGAGGTGCTCAGGCAGCTGCCCCACCTCGTGCCTGGCAGCACCTCTCTCTCCTTACCAGCTTCCGCAGCGTCCTCATCCGCTCCCGCGCGTCCTCAATGCAGTTGGCCTCGATGAAGTCGTTGTATTTGTCTAAAACACAGCAGAGACTCTTTAGAGAGGTAGGGGCAGCACCTTACCCTGTTCTCCAGGCCGAGGGCCCTGCTGGGAGGGCTGTGTTTTGAACTCCTCCAGTTCGGGGGCTCCAGCATGGGCGACAGCCTCTTGTGTATGTGAACACACCCACCACAGCTGCACTTACCACAGCTGCACTCACCACAGCTGCACTCACCACAGCTACACTCGGGTGTGCACCTGACCTGGGGTAGCCCAGCTGTGTTCATTTGGGAGGCAATACGACCTGAGGTGCATGCTGATCGCAGGAAAGGGGTCCATGCCCCCGTCTCCAGGACATGGACACCAAGGTTCAGCAGGTCAGAAGAGAAGGGCACCTGGAGAGGAGGAGGGGCTTCAGACACCCTCGACCAAGGATTCCCCCAACTCCCTTCAGAACAATTCCATGGGGACCTTTAAAGAATGGAACATGATAAGCCTATTCTGAAATTCATCTGGATGAGCTAATGCACAAAGACAGCCAGGAATAGTTTTTAAAAAAAGAGTAACGCGGGAGGATCTGCCCTACCAGGGACTGAAACATCCTGAATGGATGGCACAGCTGAAGCCGGCTGGCACGGCAGAAAAGGCAGAGCAATGTTAAGGCTAGAAAGGGGGGAAGTGGGCCATGTGGATATTTATTATATGATAAAGGCAGCACTTCCAATCGGGGGGAGGGATGGGGGCCTCAACAGATGTCCCCGGGACAAATGGCTACCATCGGGGGCGGGGGGGATCATTTCTAGCTCACAATACACAAATGCAATCACACGGCAGAGCCAATTGTGAAAATTATAAAAGCACTGGGGAAAAAATAAGAAAATATTTTTATAATCCTAAGGCCATCCTAAACATGAGATGCAGAATCCATGAAGAAAAGATGAACAGCTTTGGTCACATTTTAAACAATTGTTTTCGGCCAGGCACGGTGGCTCACGTCTGTCATCCCAGCACGTTGGAAGGCTGAGGTGCATCAGCTGATCAATTGAGGTCAGGAGTTCAAGACCAGCCTGGCCAATGTGGCAAAACCTCATCTTTACTAAAAATATAAAAATTAACTGGGCATGGTGGCAGGTGCCTGTAATCCCAGCTACTTGGGAGTCTGAGACAGGAGAATGGCTTGAACCCGAGAGGCCGAGGTTGCAATGAGCTGAGATCGTACCACTGCACTCCAGCTTGGGTGACAGAGTGAGACTCAGTCTCAAAAAAATAAATAAAATTTAATAAAAATAAAATTAAAAATTGTTAGGCAGGGAGCGGTGGCTCACGCCTGTAATCCCAGCACTTTGGGAGGCCAAGGAGGGTGGATCATCTGAGGTCAGGAATTTGAGACCAGCCTGGCCAACATGGTGAAACCCCGTCTCTACCAAAAATACAAAAATTAGCTGGGCATGATGGTGGGCACCTGTAATCCCAGCTGTTCGGGAGACTGAGGCAGAAGAATCGCTTGAACCCAGGAGGCAGAAGTTGCAGTGAGCCGAGATCGCACCATTGCACTCCAGCCTGGGCGACAAGAGTGAAACTCTGTCTCAAAAAACAAAACAAAACAACAACAAACAAAAATTTTGTTTTCAGTTTCTATACTGCAAAGTGAAAAGGCAAATGGCAGGCCAAAGCAAATATTTGCAAAAACTAACAAAGGGTTAATATGTGTAAAACACAAAGAGCTTTTCTCCCACAAATCAACATAAGAAAAAGATAAACAACCCAACAGAAAAATGGGCACATGGTCTGATCAAGTAATTACAGAGAAAATAGAAACAGCCAGTATGCTAATGAAAAAAGATTTAATCTCCCTAGTAATGAGGGCAATGAAAATAAAAACAATAATGAGATACCATTTCTCTTATCTGATTAGCAAAAGTTTAAAATATTAATAATATTTAATGCTGTCTGGGTGAGGTGGCTCAAGCCTAAAATCCCAGCACTTTGAAAGGCCGAGGAGCGATGATCACTTTAGACCAGGAGTTGAAGACCAGCCTGAGCAACGTAGTGAGACCCTGCCTCTACCAGAAAAAAAATTTTTTTTAATTAGATGGGTATAGTGGCACAAACCTGTAGTCCCAGCTACTCAGGAGGCTGAGATGGGAGGATCACTTGAGCCCAGGAGGTTGAGGCTGCAGTGAGCCATGATTGTACCACTGCATTCCAGTCTGGGCAACAGAGCAAGATCCTGTGTCAAATAATAGTATTTTTATTTTTATTTTATTGTATTATTTATTTATTTATTTATTTATTTATTTTGAGATGGAGTCTTGCTCTGTCACCCAGGCTGAAGTGCAGTGGTGCGATCTCAGCTCACTGCAACCTCTGCCTCCTGGGATCAAGCAATTCTCCTGTCTCAGCCTCCCTAGCAGCTGGGACTACGGGCACCTGCCACCACACCCAGCTACTTTTTGTATTTTTAGTAGAGATGGGGTTTCACCACACTCAGGCTGGTCTTGAACTCCTGACCTCAGGTGATCCACCCGCCTCAGCCTTCCAAAGTGCTGGGATCACAGGCATAAGCCACCATGCCTGGCCTTCAAATAACAATAATAGTTGTAATATCCAATGCTGTTGGGGATGTGGAGAGACAGACTCCTACATTGTTAGTGGGAGTCTAAATCAGGGCCTCTTTCTCAGAGTGCAATTGACACTGGTCTCAGAAAGGTTCACCAGGACTTTGACCCGGCAATTCTACATCTAAGAATCCCCTTAGAGAGCACAGATCCAGGCGTTCAAGGACTTATTCAAGGAAAGCCATTGCAACAGGTTGTGTGATAGCAAACATTTGAAGACAAGCTAAATATCCATCAATAGAGGAGTACTTAAAGAAATTATAGTCTATTCAAACCATGAAATTCTATGTGGTTGATTTAAAAGAAGAATGAGGTAGAGCTCTCTGCACTGACACGAATGAATCTCAGAATTACAACTCTGCTTTTGTTAAAAACAACTCAACCAGCGGTGTGCTGGAGTCCGCTCACACCAGCTCCTGAGAGCGACTGTGTGCCTCTCTTCCCAATTCCATGTTGGTGACATCATGTTGGTGGCTTGAAATAAACCACGGTAGGAGTATTTACACCATGGAAGCTGGAAAACGCTAGGCATTAGGGCTTTTTTCTCCCAGAAACAGATGTTAAACATCTGCCAGCACACCCCTGAACCCACCCAACTCCAAACCCCACGCAGGCACGTGTGTATCTCTGCCATGCATATAAGAGGGCCAGGAGAGAAACACAACAGATTGTGAATAAGCAGTTCAGCAAACAGCCAAAGCCCATCGGAGCCCGACGCCTGGGGTGGAATCCTGGCTCTGCCATTTACAACCTGTGTGACCTTGGGCAAGGCATTAAACCTCTCTGAGCCTTGGTTTCCTCATCTGTAGAGGGAAGACAATAGCACCTTCCTCATGGAGTTGCTGTAGGGAGTTGTGCTTGGCACACACTAATGCTCAGAAAGTGTTAGCCACAACCTCCCGTGAAAGGGAGGAGGAGATTCACAGGGTCCTGTGCTGTTTTTATTCACATCTGCACAATCTATGTTTTTTTTTAATAAGATTTTGTGTTAAAAAAAAAAAAAAAAGCCAGCGTGGTGGCTCATGCCTGTAATCCCAGCATTTTGTGGGGCTGGGGCAGGCAGGAGGATTGCTTGAGCCCAAGAGTGCAACACCAGTCTGAGCAACATAGTGAGAAACTCCCCCCATCTCTGAAAAAAACTTTTAAATTAGCTGGGTGTGGTGGTGTTCACCTGCTGTCTCAGCTACTCAGGAGGCTGAGGTGGGAGGATCGCTAGAGCCCAGTAGCTTGAGGCTGCAATGAGCTGTGATTGCACCACTGCACTCCAGCCTGGGCGACAGAGCAAGACTGTCTCCAAAAAAATAAATAAATAAAAGAGTAAAACCAACAAACCAAATGCAAAAGTAGTGGTCAGGGTGCGGCACAGACTGGTGTCCCCTCCCCACCCCCACTTCCACCTCCTACTCACCAGCAGTGAAAAGAGGCTCGAGCAGCTTTCGGAAGAAGGACTTGAGCAGGCTGTTGATCACATTGAGGTCTTGCCAGCGCTGGGGGAGGAGTCAGATGTCAGGCCACAGGCAAGCCTAGCCCAATGCCCATGCCTCCATGATCATTCACCCCAGAGCCCAATCAAGCCCACCAGGCCCTCCCTGGGACCCACTTAGACTAAGCTCTCTACTCATCAGGATGGTGGCAGCAGAACTGAGTCCCCAGAGAGGTCCTGTGCCCACACTCACACTTGGCCCCAGCCCCTCCCTGCTCCTGCCAGCGCGTGGGCTCCAACACCTCCCCATTCACAGAAAGTCCCAGGCACTGTGGGGACACAGTGAGTGGCAGCTGCTGCCTCCACTGGACACAGTTTAAGCATCTGTGACACAGCAGTCATTCGTGCCAGCTCCTTCCTGTCTCAGGTCCTCTGCATGTGCTGGTTCCCTCAACCAGAACTTTCCTCCCCGCCTCCACACAACTGGCTCCTCATCCCCGCCTAAAAGTCGCTCTTCAAAGAGGCCTTCTCTGACCCTCATAGCTAAAGCAGCCACCTTCACCACTGCCCTGTCACCTGCACCCCAGCCCTGACTTTGTTTCCTTCATGGCGCTTAACCCAATTTGTCATTATTTTCTGCTTTTGTTTCTATGTTCATGCCTGTCTCCCTGCAGGACTGTAAGCTCCAGGAGGAGCCAGGATCCCGTCTGTCTCATTTCCCACTGTGCTCCTATCACCTAGCTAGGACAGTTAACCTGATACTTACATGGCCCTAAATCAGTAGTTCTAACAGAAGGAGGCAATTTTGTCCCCCAAACTCCCACTCCACCCCCAGAGGACATTTGACAATGTCTGGAGCCATTTTGATTTTCCCAACTGGGAGGTGACACTTGCATCTAGTGGATCGAGGCCAGGGATGATTCCAAATTTCCTCCAGTGCACAGGGCAACCCCACACAACAAATAATTGTTCTTCCCAAAATGTCCACTGAGGTTGAGAAACCCTACTCTAAAATAAATGGTTGTTGAGTACAAGAACTAACTGCCGGGTCGTTGTCCCTTCTGTCCTCCAGGGGGCAGCATCACCCCACATTGCAACCAAGTCGGGCACAGCCGCCTCGCTGGGAATGGCTCACAATAACTCAGGCCCAGAAAGCGACCTAATACCCCCAACAAAGAGACACAGCACAGCAGTACACACACTCATTACAATGGATCCACAGCTTAATGCCAGACAATCCCATAAACAATACACTCCGCACAGGCTCACCAGGGGTTAGATTCATCCCCCACTACACTTACTCCCAGCACGACCCACAACAAATGACACAATGATATCCAAGACAAAACAACACACCCAATATACCTTGTATGCCCCCAGCTGGCCCTGGCTTGGACCAGTTGCCTGCCAGCACGGCCCCCTCATCTCACACACACCCAGTGCGGCTCCTGCCCACCCGACTCCGTTACCTCCTGGCCCTCAGGTGTGAGCTCCTCTCATCTCCCAGCTGCCAAACCCAATGCCCTGGCCAGTGCTTCCTGGCTCCTCCAGAGTGAAGTGTCTGCCCTCACCCCAGCCTCACCGGCGGTCCTCTCCTTCTGTCCCACTCAGCGCGTGGCCCCTGCTGTTCTGCGGCCCACCCTTGGTCATCCCATGCCCCAGCTGCAGCAGGACCCATGCCACTCTCTAGTCCACGCTCAATCTAGCGCCTGTTTATGCCCTCGCCCCATGCAAGGGACTTTCCATACCCCAAATCCAATGGAGCCACTCCCTGAGACGGCCCCTCCCTTCCACCTCTCCTCACGCTGCCCTACTCCCTGGTTTCTGCCAGGGGAAGATACCACCAGCCCCAGCTCAAACATGCGGCTCTTCCTCGCCCCTCCTTCCTCCTTCTCATGCAGCCAACTCTTAGGGTTGCTCCCATCCTCCCCCTTCCCCCGGGACCACCAAGTCCTCCCAACACTTAGCACTTCCATAGATCAGTGACTTCTCCCCAGACCCCTGCCCTCCGCATTCGTATCCAATGGACATGAGCAGGAGCATTACTCTTTCTTGAACTTTGTACTCACGATGCCTCCCCAGCTTAAGAAGCATCAAAAGCTCCCTACTGTCCATCAGATCAAGGTCGAAGTCTTCAGTGAAGCCATCAAATGCCCTCTCTGTCCCCCTGGGGCCTCACCCTCCCCACCTTCATGCCCAGGAGGTAGATCCACTCTCTGTCCTAACCCTCAAGCCCTCCCTGGCCCTTGCTGGGGTTTTGGAAAATGCCATCGTCTCACACCCCGAAAGGCTTCCTGTCCACCTACCCCCTCCTATTCATTCCTCCAATACTCAAATCCTCCAGCCACCACCTGCTCCAGCCTGAGCACCCTGTCCTTCCTCATCACAGTGTGGTCCCTGATGAGAGATCATCTTTTTCTCCTGTCCACAATTTCACACACACTTGTCTCAGCTCCTCATTCTCCAAGGACAGGAAGACTTGTGTATTCCATGAGCCTTCACGTGTGTGACTCATGGGACATCACTGCCCATGTTCATGGTTTTCCAAAATATCTTTTTTATCAGAGCCCCTTTGGGCAAATAAAATTGTACGTGAAAACCCAGTACAACAGACAGGGCAAAGCAGGGTTGCTCTAGCAAGGACACGGGGTCCTGACCTGACCCTGGCCTCCCAAGGCCCCTCTGGGGAACCCCAGGACTCTGGGGAACACCCTTTGAGAATCGCCGGCCCTACTGGAAACACTTAAGTGTGATTGCAGATTCCTTCACAGGCTGGTCTCATCTCGCCTGATCAGCCACTTCTCTTTCCATGTTGCAGCCACCCAAATGGCTGGCCATTCTAGAAAACATCATATATTCCCCTTTTTCTAAGCCGGCAGTTTGTAAAACTTGATCTGTAGGCAATATCTAGCCAAGCCTTCTTTTGGATGGCCCTTGAGCTAAGTATGATTTTTATGTTGTTAAAGGATTAGGAAGAGAAGGAGGAGGAAGAGAAGGGGGGAATGCAACAGAGAAAACTACAGCAGAAAATATTTACTCTCTGCCTTCTACAGAGAAAGCTGGTTGACTCCTGGCACACTTTTCGCGCCTACACCATTGCGCAGCCCATTCTGCTGCCTGGAATGCCCTCACCTGGCTTTCATCGGCCTTTGGTGAACTCTACTCATCCTAAACACTCGGACAAAACTGCCGTTTGTGAGCCTCTGCCTCAGAGCTCCCCAGGCCATGACTGCATTTACTTGGTCAGCTTCAGCCTGGGGTGATGCCCATCCCCGGGCTGGCCAGCGGGGGCAGGTCCCATCTTGCCCATCTTGGTGTCCTGGACCAATGCCGGACATGTCATAGGGCACAATGCATGCAACACAATAGACTACAGAACTCTCCAAGCGGAGCACCACCCACACACCATCTCAGCCCCCCTTCCACAGACCCCCCAGCTTCACCCACCTCATCCTGCTGGTTGATGTCACCAGGCCCAGGATTGAGCTGCTCCTGTAGGCTGGACACCACTGCATTGTTGCCAGGCACTCGGTAAAAGCCTGTGGACTCCAGCCCTCGTGCCTCCACAATGTGACAGCATGCAGCCACGATTAAGGGGACATGCTGGGGACACAGGGGAGGGGTGTTAGGGGGGACAGGGGCCAGAGGAGCTGGGGAGGCCAAGAAGGGGACAATGCAAGGCCCAGAGCTGCTGCCAGGAACCCTTGGGGGGAACAAAAGGCCTTTGCTGCCTCCAGTCTGGGAGCTACAAATGACACCAAAGCCTCGCCATGGTCTGAGAAGGAGCCGGGCTCAGCCTCAGCCCGGCTGCTCCCTCCCTGGGAGGCCCAGGGCAGGCCTCCCCTCTCTGGGCTGTTTTCCCAGCTGTGTTTGTACAATGAGGTGGAGAGCTTGTTCCATGTCCCTTGCTGCTCTGACCCTCTGTGCCTTGGTCTCCCCCTGCCGGGCCTGCTCTGGCGTGTGGCAGAGACCCACCTGGTTCTCCGTGGCTGGCTGGCACTCCTCCAGCCTGACCCCAAATGCCCTTGGGGCAGCCTTCTTATTTTTCTTGATGATGTTGATGCCCCAGGGGGTTTTGGGGGCTGCAGCACTGTCATCTGAAGTGGGGGAGACAGAGCCAGAGTGAGCTGGAGTATCCAGGAGGGTCGCACACATTCACTGCCACATTCACACATTTGGATGTATGGGGATTCCATCAGAGAAGAAACCAGATGCCCAGGGCTGATGGGACATTGTATGGCAAGAGAGAAGGCCTGAAGGGGAGGATGCTTACCCCAAAGGAGAGGCCCAGAGCAATGCAAGGACTTCTGTGTGGCTCGTGGGCCAAAACTACAAGGCGGAAGCCATAGAACTTTGTTTCTTTAGAGACAGGGTCTCTGTCGCTCAGGCTGTAGTGCAGTGGTATGATCATAGCTCAATGCAGCCTCAAATTCCTGGGCTCAAGCAATCTTCCCTCCCCAGCCTCCCGAGTGGCTGGGACTATAAGCTCATACCACCACACCTGGCTAATTAAAAAAAATTTTTTTGCCAGGCACAGTGGCTTATGCTTGTAATCCCAGCACTTTGGGAAGCTGAGGCTGGCAGGACCACATGAGGCCAGGAGTTCGAGACCAGCTGGCCAACATGGCAAAACCCTGTCTCTACTAAACATACAAAAATTAGCTGGGCGTGGGCCGGGTGCAGTGGCTTACGCCTGTAATCCCAGCACTATGGGAGGCTGAGGCGGGCGGATCACAAGGTCAGGAGATCGAGACCATCCTGGCTAACACGGTGAAACCCCGTCTCTGCTAAAAATACAAAAAAATTAGCCAGATGTGGTGTCGGGCACCTGTAGTCCCAGCTACTCAGGAGGCTGAGGCAGGAGAACGGTGCGAACCCAGGAGGCAGAGCTTTCAGTGAGCCGAGATCACACCACTGCACTCCAGCCTGGGCAACAGAGCAAGACTCCGTCTCAAAAAAAAAAAAAAAAATTAGCCGGGCGGGGTGGCGCATGCCTGTAATCCCAGTTACTAAGGGGGCTGAGGCACAAGAATCGCTTTAACCCAAGAGGTGGAGGTTGCGATGAGTTGAGATCATGCCATTGCACTCCAGCCTGAGTGACAGAACAAGACTCTGTCTCTAAATAAATAAATAATATATAAAAAAATATTTTGTAGGGATAGGACTTTGCTATGTTACCCAGGCTGGTCTCAAACTCCTGGCCTCAAGCAATCCTCCAGCCTCAGCCTCCCAAAATGATGCTGGGATTATAGGTGTCAGCCACCATGCCTGCTGGCCCAAGGGAACAACTTTCTTTTATTTATTTATTTATTTTATTTTTTTTGAGACAGGGTCTCACTCTGTCACCCAGGCTGAAGTGCAGTGGTGTGGTCTCGGCTCACTGCAACCTCCACCTCCCAGGCTCAAGTGATTCTCGTGTCTCAACCTCCCAAGTAGTTGGGATTACAGGCGCACACCACCACGCCCGGGTACTTTTATTGTATTTTTTTTTTGAGACGGAGTCTTGCTCCGTCACCCAGGCTAGAGTGCAGTGGCGCAATCTTGGCTCAATGCAAGCTCTGCCTCCCAGGTTCATGCCATTCTCCTGCCTCAGCCTCCTGAGTAGCTGGGACTACAGGTGCCTGCCACCACGCCCAGCTAATTTTTTGTGTTTTTTAGTAGAGATGGGGTTTCACCGTGTTAGCCAGGATGGTCTCGATCTCCTGACCTTGTGATCCACCCGCCTCGGCCTCCCAAAGTGCTGGGATTACAGGCGTGAGCCACCGTGCCCGGCCTTTTGTATTTTTAGTAGAGTTGGGGTTTCGCCATGCTGGTCAGGCTGGTCTTGAACTCCTGACCTCAGGTGATCTGCCTGTCTTGGCCTCCCAAAGTGCTGGGATTACAGGTGTGAGCCACCTTGCCCAGCCAGGTAAGAACTTTCTAATAGCCAAAGGTGAGGGAAATGGGAAAGGTTGCTCTTGGAAAGGGTGGGCCTCTCATCCCTGCGGAGACACCAGCAAAGATTAGAGGACCACCCAGCAGGGATGTCAGGGAGGGGAATCAGGCTCCAGGCCCTTCCACCCCAAGACCCTGAGAGCCCCCAGACCCTCACAGGCATGCACATGCAGACAGACATACCGGTAACCCTGGCACACAGTCAGGCACACACGAGCAGACACAGCCCAACACACACACACATGCTCTCCCCTCTCCATGCCCTCTTCCCCAACACACCACCCTGTCTCAGTGGCCACCTTCCTACCTTTGCTCCCTGCGGGCAGGTCCTGAGTCCTGAGGCCACGTGCCGCACTCTGCTTGAGGAACTCAGACTTGAGGCCCCCCAGGCCGCGAGAGCCTTTGGGGGAGGAATCAGCTTTGGGCCCAGAGCTATGGCTGTGTAGGAAAAAGGGGGAGAGGAGAGGTCTTCACTTGGGGTGGCCAAGCAGGCCACCCACCCTGGCCTCCTGCCCCTCGGGACATCCCCTCCACCCTGAGGCAATGCCTCCATGCCAAACTGCAGCCTGGAGACCCTGGATACCCTGGATACCCCTTTCCCCAGCAGAGGGCAGCCCTGGAGGTGGTCCAGGAAGACATCCTCTGCCTTCAGCCCCCTACCACCCCCACAGAGGAGACTGCTCCATGAGGGCTAGGCCTCACCTCACTTTGCGATAATCATTAAGCTTCTTGCTGATCAGAGCTTGGTTGGCACAGCCGGGGTCCTGAAGCAGGAGAGGAGAGAGCGGATCATGTCAGTGCCCACAGCCAGCCCACCCCTGGGTTCATCCCTAGCCCTGCTTCCCCTCTTGTCCACCTGCCAGGTGGACAGCCCAGACCCTGGAGTGAGAAAGACCAGGCCTGGACTCCCCAGCACCCTCTCACCAGCTGAGGCCTTGGGGAAGCCTCTTAGGCTCTCTGAGCCTCAGTCTCCTCGGTAATAAACATGGGGGGCTAAAAGGGAAGGCTCGGGGCTGGGTGCAGAATCATGCAGCACTCGCCACTTTCCTGGCAGATGCTGAGCAGGCATGGAGGAGGTGCCCCAGGAGGGACTGCTACTGCCATAGTGATGTGACTTGGAACCCCCCTGACTAAGCCTTGTTGGAGACAGCCAAGCCAGGCCCCCAGAGGAGGAGGCCCAAATTCCAGGTGCCTTCCTCCCTGCAGTGGGGAAAGCTGTTCCCGGGAGAGCAGAGCCTGGTCAGCGAGAGGATGTGTCCTCAGCAAGAGGCCATGCACTAGCGCCCCCTCCCACGGCCAGAGCAGGCCCAGGCCCACTGCCCTCTTGGCAGAGACCCCAGGCCCGGGATGCCCACATGACTTTGTGTGGGTGTCTCAAGGCACTTCTGTGCAGGCTCCTGGCCAAAGAAGTAAACAGGGAGGAATCCCTACCTAGGCCCCTGGAGTGTAGCTACGGCTGACCGCAATGGGCGCCATTAAAAAAAATTCTTCGGCTGGGCGCAGTGGCTCACACCTGTAATCCCAGCACTTTGGGAGGCTGAGGTGGGAGGATCATGAGGTCAGGAGATCAAGACCATCCTGGCTAACACAGTGAAACCCCGTCTCTATTAAAAAAAAATTAGCCAGGCATGGTGGCATGTGCCTATAGTCTCAGCTACTCAGGAGGCTAAGGCAGGAGAATCACTTGAACCTGGGAGGCGGAGGTTGCAGTGAGCTGAGATTGCGCCACTGCACTCCAGCCTGGGCAGCAGAGCGAGACTCTGTCTCAAAAAAAAAAAAAAATTCTCCCAAAGTCCCTGCCGAGGCCCTTGGCTCCAACCCTGCCCACCTGTGGCCAAAGGCCAAGCCTCTCAGCCTCCTCACAAGGTCAATGTGTTCATCCTCCTGCAGTCAGGCCAGCCCAGTGCAGTTCTGGTGTGGGGACACTCATGCCCTAACACACTCCATAGGAGGCCCCTGCCTTCCTCGCCTGCTGAGAAAAGCTGAGACTGGCCTGGAGCTGACCACTCCACATCAGAGCCTGCTCATGGCGATCCTAACACAGTCACAATAATCCCTGTCATCATTAGGGTCAGGATGGTGACTGCTGGTCCCCGCACCCGAGGACGCCAGGTCCTCCATGAGCCCTGCCCTTGCACCCTTGTCACCCCGAAACCTAGGGGGACACAATCACGAGGTGCACTCCTGTCAGCCCCCCTTTCTAGCAGAGGGAAGTGAGGCTCAGAGCGGACATCCCAGGTCCACAGCCGGTGAGAGGCCACCCCGCCCGCCCTCTGTGGCCGCCGGGCTGGCCGGGCCCTCACCTCGCCCTCGGCCCTGCTGTTCTCCCAGATCGCTCTGATCCCCCCAGCATGTCATCCCGGTCCTCAGCCTGAAAGAGATATTCACAGAAGTCAGCGGTGGTCAGCCGGAACACGTGCCTCCTCTTGGTCTCGCTGTAGATGTCCACGAGGCAGGAGCCGATGCAGACGGGCGCCGCCTTGTCCTCACCTGCGCCGGCCCCCACAGCCCCCGCCGCCGCCGGCCCGGGCTCCCGCTGCTCCTTGCTCAGCGAGAGCGAGCGCGCCAGCAGCGCGGCGTACACCCGCTTCCACTGGCGCAGGCCGCTGCCCGCTTTCTGCAGGGAGACACGGGGTTGGGGGAAACAGGAGTGGTGAGAGGTCAGTTCTGCCCACTGCTCTCACAGTAGCAGACAGAGGACAGCCGGGGGATGGACCCCACGCTGCCTACCAGGAGCCGCCTGCTCCACCCGGCTAGACCTGGGCAGCCTCCTGCCCACAGCCCACCAATGCTTTCTCAGTCCCTCGCCTGCCTAGACACCCCTACCCATCACCCTAAAGCCCGCCAGCAGACCCCAACCCTCTCCCCCTCTAAACACCAGCATCAACACTCACCGAGCGGTGGCAATGCTCAGACACCCAGCATGGCCCTCCGTACATGAAATCCTCGGGAAGCCATTCCCAGCCCACGCCCCTCCCCAGGCTGCCCCTCACCCCAGCAAACCTGCTCAGAAGCTGTCCGCACTCTTAGAGAGTCGTTCTCCCCACTTTCCTGCCGCCCACCCAAGACTCCACTTGCCCAGAAGCTCCTCTCAGGGACACCCAGAACCGCCATGTGGCCAAAGCCAATGGCTGCTTCTCCCCAACTTGCCTTAACCCCTTGGCGGCATCTGACACAGCCAGCCCCTCCTTCCCTCTCCAGACCCCATCTCGGCACCTGAGACCCCACGTTCCCGGCTTTCTTCCTAATGCCACTGGCTCCTTCCTAGTCTTCTCTGCTTCCCCTCCCCCACCCTCTACACCTGTAGTTAAACAGCCAGGAGACTCGTCACCACGGGACATTTGTGTGGAGGGAGCTGGAGGGTGTGCTATGGCATCTGAGGGATGCGGCTAAACATTGCGCAATGCACAGGACAGCCTCCCCCAACAAGGAATTATCTGGCTCAAAATGTCAGCAGAGCAGAGGGTAACAGACCCCGCCCTAAAGGAGGCGGAGCTCCAGAACTTCGCCCTGACTCTCCCCTCCTCTCCTCTCCCTGCACACCTCCCTCAAGGATGTCACCTGTGCCATGCCTTTAAACCAGGTCCACCTGCTGATGGCCATTCCCGAGCCCAGCATCTCCCCCAGCCACAGCCCGGCACCCCCACCCTGCTCAGTGTCTTCATTTGCAGGTCCCATGGGCACTTTGCACAATACTTGCCAGGCCATGTGATTTCTTACCATCAAACCTCTTCTCCACTCTCTACCCCCATCTTTTCCAGCTCAGTCAATCCATCCAGTTGTCCAGAAACCTGGGAGCTGCCCTTGACTCCTCCCTTTTCCTCGCCCTTGACATCCCATCCATCAGGAAGTCACAACTGTTCTGCCTCCAAAACATCCCCTGTCTCTGTCTTTCCTGCCAGAGGAAAGACATCTTTCCATGCCATCAACGCCTCTTGCTTGGAGGATGCACAGACCTTCCCAGTCTCTACTCTTGCTCCTGCATCCATTCTCCAGCAGCAGCTGCAGCGATCATGTTAGAATGAAAAGGAGATCACATCTCTCCCATGCTCAGCATCCTCTCAAGAGATCCCATCGCCCTCAGAATCAAATCTAAAGTCTCCTGTGGTCTGTACCTGCCTTTCTCCAAATTCATCTTCACACCTTTCTCACTATGTCAAGCCAGGGGGCCCTTGCAGGTGAGCGAGCCAAGCCTTTCTTTTCTCAGGGCCTCTCCGCTTGCTGTTCCTTCTGCCTAAGCCCCCCTCCCTCACTTCTATATGTGGCTGCTTCCTTCTTCCCCTTCAGATCTGAACTCCAGCATCACCAATGTCACCTCCTCAGCGAGGCCTTCTCTGGCCATATTTTTCCCTCAATGCAGCTCCCGCTTCTGATCAGCTTGATCCTTTCCAAGAACTTACTGCAGCCTCAGGCTGTCCTGGGGACAGGGAGCTTGTCCGTCCTCTCATTTCCATATCCCAGGGCCTACAGCAGCATGCAAGCGCTCATCAATATTTGCTGAATAAATGAATTAATGATCCTTGGAGCACCCTGAGGGCAGGAGCTCCATCTCCCATCAGACCAAGAGCTCCTCTCTGCTGGCTGGTGGCTCCACATCCAGCACAGGCCTCAGCTCTCAGAACAAACCAGACAAAGAGGTCCCGTGGCTGGCAGATGGGCACAGCCCACATCTGGCCTCCCATCATGTGGATCCTGAGCTGTGAGCCCTGCTCATCACAGAACTGCTGGAGGGGGACAGGGACATTCAGAGTAGGAGACAGCAGAGCCCTCCAGGGAGAATTTTAATGTGACAGTGAGGTGGTGACAAGGGCACCTCTCTGAGGCTAAACCAGCGGCATGACCTAGGACAAGTCAACCGCACTCCCAGGCCTCAGTGTCTCCGGCTGGTAAATGAGTGAGGGAGTTGGTCACCAAGGCTGCATGCAGCTCCCATGCTGGGGCTGAGGCTGAGGGGACAAGTCACTGTCCCTTTCCCTCCTCTGCCTGACAGTCCATGTCTCTGAAAGAGGCTGGGGCTGGGAGGGAGCACAGAGAGGGTGCCCACGGCCTGGGTGGACCAAGGGCCTGAGGCTGACTTGAAGACTCTCCTCTAACGTCCAGGCCACAGCACCAAAGGAACAAGTGACATCGGGTTTTGGCCAGCAAGGGAGTGGAGGCCTGGTCCTCCAGAACTGGCCAGTGAGCAGGAAGGGGACAGCTCCTGTCCCTGAACTGGGCTCAGGGCCCCCAGGAGCTGAGGGTCAGGCTCCCCAGCAGGGGGAGCCAGCCACCCTCACAAGGACCCTTCATGTGGCTCACACGTTAGACTGGAAGGGCTGGCCCACTTGCGGCTCTCCTCGCACAGTGCACGTGGCTGGTCCCTCCTTGCCTCATGGCTCCCACCCCACGGGTCGCTGCCAACTTGCTGGCTCTTTTTGGTCTCTGTTGGCCTCCCCGGCCCCCCCACTTCTCTCAAGGCTCAGCCAGGTCTCTTGCCTTCTTCCTTCAAGCCCCTGCACAGAGGCATATGTAACTCGTGGGTGCTGACAGACAAAGGCCGTCCCCAGGTGGGCCTCCCTCTAGTAATACGCCCTCAGAGCCTCTGTCCCCAGGACATCTCCACTGGGGTCTGTCCCAGGGCCCTCAGACTCACATAGCCCAAGTGGAGCCACTTGGCTTCCTCTCCCCAAACCTGCTCCTCCAGTGTGCCATGGCCCAGGGAGGGTCCCACCACCCACCACCCTCCCTCAGCCCAAGCCAGGAATCCAGGAACCTTATCGCCTCCTCCTCCTTCCATACCTCCCAGCAGCCGGCAAGCCCTGGCCGTCCTTCCCATGGAATCTCTCTCTAAAGTGTCCGCTCCACCCAGCCCCACACCACTGCCTTGGGTCGGGGCCCCCACCCTCACTCACCTGGACAAGAGCAATGGGATTGGCTCCTCCTGTCACAGACATAACCCCAGTCTCCTGCCAGCCCCAGCCCACATTTAAAACCCTGGACAGAGCCGGGCACGGTGGCTCACGCCTGTAATCCAAGCGCTTTGGGAGGCCAAGGCAGGCAGATCACTTGAGGTCAGGAGTTCGAGACCAGCCTGGCCAACATAGTGAAACCCAGTCTCTACTAAAACTACAAAAATTAGCTGGGTGTGGTAGCAGGCGCCTGTAGTCCTAGCTACCCAGGAGGCTGAGGCTCGAGAATTGCTTGAACCCGGGGGGCGGAGGTTGCAGTGAGCTGAGATCATACCACTGCACTCCAGCCTGGGCAACAGAGTGAAACTCCATCTCAAAAATAGATAAAATAAAATAAAATAAAATAAAATAAAATAAAATAAAATAAAATAAAATAAAATAAAATAAAATAAAAAAATAAAATAAAATAAAATAATAAAACCCTGGACAGGCTCTTTCTGGGTATGAAGGCCCCACACTCTGGGCAGGCACCCAATTACCCAGCTCATCTTCCACCTCTCGCCCTGGCTCCCAGCACACCTCTCCCCACCTTTCCCCAGGACCCTCTAAGGAGACATCCTCCCTGTCAGGCCCCTCCACTGTCTCCCAGTTTTGTGGCTTCTCATCCTTTCGTGTCTCAGCCTCTGGATACCTCCCTACCCACGCCCACCTGCCCCTGCACCCGGGCGTCACGGCAGTCTGTGCACTTGGAACCATGATGCCACATGCGTTCTCTCTGCTCAACAGGAGCAACAGGAGCCCCAGGAGGGCAGGGCTGCCCTGGCTCCCTCACCACTAACTCCCCAGAACCTCCACAGAGGCTCCCGAGCAGGGAGGCCTTAGTCATTCTCCACGGAGGCGCATCAGTCCCGCCTCAACTTCACCCTCACTTAATCCACAGCAGCCCTTGGGGTAGGATAACATTGTTCCCATCGTACAGATCAGAAAGTGAGGCTCGGGGAAGGTAAGTGGGGTGCCCAAAGCCATGTGCTTGATATGTGGCTGGATAGGAACTCGAAGTCTGTCTGCTTCAAAGCTTATGTTCTTTCCAGGGACCCCCAAGACCCCAGAAGGCAGGGCAAAAAATTCAAATAGCAGTAAGTGGGCTGGGCACAGTGGCTCACGCCTGTAATCCCAGCACTTTGGGAGGCCAAGGCAGACAGATCATTTGAGGTCAGGAGTTTGAGACCAGCCTGAACAACATGGTGAAACTCCGTCTCTACTAAAAAAATACAAAAAAAAAATTTAATTGGGTTTGGTGGTGAGTGCCTGTAGTCCCATCTACCCAGGAGGCTGAGGCTGGAGAATTGCTTGAACCCAGGAGGTAGAGGTTGTAGTGAGCTGAGATCGCGCCACTGCCCTCCAGCCTGGGCAACAGAGTGAGACTCCATCTCAAAAAAAGAAAACAAATAGCAGTAAGCAGAAGTACAGCAGTTTCAAGTGCTGGGCACTGGGTAAACCCTTTACTTAGATCATCTCATTTAATCCTTAGCAATAGGCTTATGAGCTAGGGATTACTGTTAGCTCCATTTACAGACGAGGACACTGAGTCATGGCCAGGTGAGTCACCCAGGCTCTCAGAGCAATGGGTGATGTAGTCAAGAGTCAAACCCGGGTTCATCCTAATTGCCGGGAGGGAAGGCAGTGGTCTCTCCTCCCACTTCTCCAGCCCACAGCGCAGCCTGGGGCCAGGATTTGCACCCCATGGATCCAGGGGCTCTGCCCTTCTCCTCTCAGAGTCCTGCTGGTTCCCTCCCAGGCCCTCCCCAAGTACTACCCGAAGCCCCCTTTGCCTCTCACCTGGATCTCCATGGTGGCTCTAACTGGTCTTCTTGCCTCCAGCGTGGCCCCTCCCTAACTCACTCCCAGGGAGCCAAATGAATATTTTAAAGCTGTAACTCCCTTGGCAAGAGCCCCCGAGAGCTTTTGGTTGCCCTTAGGATGAACACTAAGCCCTTTGCTGGCTTGCCTGCATCTTCTTGGGCCTTAACTCTCCTACGGAAATCACCCCGGCCTTGTTCCTTGTTTTCCATGAGCCCCAGCGGCCATCTTCAGGATGGCCTGTCAAGCCAGGGCCACTGTGGGATGGTTTTGCCAGAATTCCAAGCACGACTCGATCAGATCCATCCCACAGCAAAATCCACCTCTCTTGTTAACTTCTTTTACATAAGTTCTTTAAATCCCCCTGCCAGGAAGTTCTTCCTAGCATCTATCCTCCATCCTTCATGCAACAACCTACACTGGTTCTCTCTGGCTCCAGAGGCTGTCAGGGTAGGCCTAGGAGAGGCTGGAGGGTTCTGCTGGAGCCAGCTTCCACCTCATTCCTCCACCCATCTTACCTTCCCCTTCTTGGTGAGAATCTGCTTATAATACAACCAGCCTTCTCTCCTGATATTGCTGAAGGTCGCATCTGAGAGGTCAGAGGTTGAGTGTCGCTTAGAAGGAGCGTCAGCGTCTTCAGAGGTGCCCCAGCTATCCAAGGACTGCAGGGAGACAACAGAGGACAATTTAGGGTGGCTCCCACAATGCCAGCATCTCAGGAACCCCATGGACCACTTGTGGCCGCACAGTCCTGATATATGTCTGTGCTACACCCCGATGTGCCATGCGACCTCATGGGCATTGCTTGTCCTCTCTGGACCACTTGTGTTGAGGTCATGAGACCTACATAAAGGAGAAGCCAGAAAGGAGGAAAGGCTATGACCTGTCAGCAGACCACACGCCTCACCACGCTAGAGGAGCCAATTCGGAGCCTCCCGTAACTATATAGACTTAGAAGAATTAAGGAAATGGAGGAAGTGATCGTGTCAACGAGGAGTTAAATAAACAGGGGAAGTGGGAACATCAACAAAGGCTGAGGGAGTGGAGCAGGTAGTCATGTCCACGAGGCGTTAAACAGAGGAAGTGACAGTGTCAACAGGACTCCACCCAGAGGGCGCAAGTCAAGGGAGAGTTAAGTAAGCAGAAGAAGTGATAAGAAATAAGCTAGGTGCCAATATCACCGGGGTGTTCAACCAACCAATGAGACAGAGCGCTTGACATCAAGATGGCTTTTCCAGTCCATCTAGAATCAAAAACAGCCAGGGGAAGGTGGGGTGGGCACGGTGGCTCATGCCTGTAATCCCAGCACTTTGGGAGGCTGAGACAGGCAGATCACTTGAGGTCAGGAGTTCAAGATCAGCCTGGCCAACATGGTGAAACCCCATCTCTACTAAAAACACAAAAATTAGTCAGGTGTGGTGGCGCATGCCTATAATCCCAGCTACTTGGGAGGCTGAGGCATGAGAATTGGTTGAACCCAGGAGATGGAGGTTGCAGTGAGCTGAGATCATGCCACTGCACTCCAGCCTGGGCAATAGAGTGAGACTCCATCTCAAAAAAAAAAAGAAAAATCGTGCATGAAAAATATATATGTGATTTTAAAAACAACAATATGTCCAGGTGTGGTGGCTTATGCCTGTAATCCCAGCATTTTGGGGGGCCGAAGCAAGAAGATCACTTGAGGCCAGGTGCGGTGGCTCAGGCCTGTAATCCCAGCACTTTGGGAGGCCGAGGTGGGTGGATCACCTGAGGTCAGGAGTTCATGACCAGTCTGGCCAACATGGTGAAACCCAGTCTCTATTAAAAATACAAAAATTACCCAGGTGTGGTGGCACACGCCTGTAATCCCAGCTGCTCGGGAGGCTGAGGCAGGACAATAGCTTGAACCCAGGAGGTGGACGTTGCAGTGAGCCAAGATCATGCCACTGCACTCCAGACTGGGCAATAGAGTGAGACTCTGTCTCAAAACAAACAAACAGCCAGGGCTATCACAGGCCTGATCCTGCCTCCCCAGGTCCTGAGGCTGGGAACTCCACCTGTCCACCAATCTCAACCCTGTGTCCAGGCCACACCTTTCCAGTGTCCACCCCGACCCCATCCCATGAAGACAAGATGCGATGCAAATACTGACTCAGGGTAGTGAAGGAAACATATGAAGCCCCAAATATAAGCTCGGGGAGCTTCTATTCTAGCTGGGGAGCCAGGCAGGGAGGAAGGGAAACACCAATTGTGCATGAGGCGTGCTGAGGAGGAAAACAGAGTAGCGAAGGGAGGCATGAAATGTCAGGAGTGGAGACTGGAATTTCAGGGAAGACCTAAAAGGCTGCGAAGACAGTGGAGAAGTGAGTCGTGTGGCTATGGGGGATGGGTCTGGAAAGAGGCAGTCCAGACAGGGGCCCCTGGGTGGGGCTGCATGGTGTCATTCAGGGATGTCGGGGCCCACAGCAGAGGGCCGGTCCCGCGGTGGACACAAGGGTGAGGGGTGCAGGGAGGAGGGGGAAGGCGGGAGCTGGAGCAGGAACCCCCATGCCGAGGCTGTGGCCCCACCTCCCTGACACCCTCTCTCCCCACACCCTCACTCCTGCGCACGCACACACACTTGCAGCCCACCCTGTCTGTGAAGAAGCTCCGGAGCAACGGCAGGCTGGGTATGCGGTTTGGCAGGTGCCTGGGAAGCAAGGGTGGAGGGTGAGGGATGTGGGCAGCAAAGCTGGGACCTCACTATCTCGTCACCCACCAAACCCCAAGCCCAGAAGCCTTCCAGCGGGGGAGACACACTGTCCCATGCATAGAGGACCCCCAGGGCCAAAAGCCCTGCCCCAGAGCAGCTGGCCAGGGTGGCTGTGGCCACCCCACCCCATGTCCAGACAGGGCCTCACCGCAGAACCTGGCCCTCGTCACGGAAGGTGTTGAGTCCATCATCGCAGGACTTGGAGCGCTCCGTGCTGATGGCCAGCAGGTAGGAGGAGCGGCGGCCAGCCTTGATGCTGCCTGCAAAGCCGCCCACATCGGGCCTCAGGGTCAGCGGGGCAGCAGGTCAGGGGCTTCCCAGAGCCCTCCCTTCTAGGCAGGGGCAGGAGGTGACTCTCCCAAGGTGCCCCAGGAGAAGCAGAAACCAGAGGAAGAGGCCAGACATCCAGCAGCAGACCTAACAGAGACCCCTGGGACTGGGCAGCGAGGGAAAGGGTGGGGCTGGGGGTGTGGGGAGCGCTCACTGCAGTCCCGCGAGTAATGCCATCCGAGGGTGAAGGTGAAGGTCGGGGAAGATGGGCTGGTGCCCAGGACAGCGGCTGAGTTCATGGCACTGGAGACCACAGCAAAGGCAGGGACATGCTTGGCTTGGAGGTCAGTGCTGGGGCTGGTGGGCTCATCTATGCATGTGGAAGGAGAAAGGTGTGAAGGCGGCAGACAGCGGAACCTGCTTGCCTCCACCCTAGCCTTGCCAGCCCCCGTGCCACTCACCTCCAGGCTCAGACACATCCCAAAGGGTCCTGCTGGCAACATGCCCACTGTCAAGCGTGACTGGCCCACTGTCCAGACTGTGGCCATGGAATCCTTACCCTCAGGAGTGGGGCTGAGACACCCTCCTTAGACCGGACTCCTGAGGACAGAGCCAATATTCCCCCATCAGACTGGGAGCCTCCTGAGGGCAGGGACAGTGTCTCCCCCATCAGACTGAGGGCACTCAGAGAGAATGAATTATGTCTCCCCTCTCAGACCAAGAGCCTCCTGAGGGCAGGGACAGCGTCTTCCCCATCAGACTGAGAGCTTCCTAAGGGCAAAAGCTCCCCCATCAGCTGGGGCTCCTCAAGGGCAGAGATGACATCTCCCCCTCAAACAGAGTGTGCTCTGGAAGAAGAAACTGCCTCTCCCGGCCACAGCCTAGAGCCTTTCATCAGGGCTCAGTGGTGTGGATGGGGCCCTTGAGACAATCCAGTGAGATCTGGAAGTGAAGAAAAAGATTATAATCTGGGATAAATATAAAAAATTACAATAAAAAATTTATTGCAAATTTACAAATTATGGTTGTTTATATGTACATGGTAAAGGGCAATGTTATGGTTTGTGAATACAATATGAAATAACTAAGATAATTAAGAAATAACTGATGTAATTATCATTCATTGTTTCAAATTTTTATCTTTTATTGTGACAACATTTAACATTTACTCTTAGCTCTTTAAAATGACCAATGTACTATTTTAAATGAACCAATAGAAACCAATTTATGTAAACAATTGAAAATCTGGGAAATCAATTATGAATTACTGTAATAATTTAATAATTAAAAGTTAATAATGTAGTTAATTAAGTTTGATTTTTTTCAAACTTTTTTTATCATTTCATTGTAATGTTTAATACAAATGCCTACATATATACGCATTGTTCTGTGTATTTATACATCTTTTTATGGGTATAAATTTTTGTCCCTATAGCTATGTAGTTGCTGATGTCAACAAATGTTAATAAAACTCTGGAAGAATCAGTGCAAACAATTAGGAATGTTTATTTCTTGAAAGTATATACTTAAAAATATAATAATATGTAGAATGTTAATAATTACTAAAATTTAAATATTAATGATAAAATTCATAATAAATATAAGTAACAAAATATCACAGCCTAGAAGACTCCAGAGTCCTGCGAAGATAAACGTGACTTTTCCAGCTGAGGAGAAAGGAAACCTCTCCCGGCACCAGCTCCTGGGACCTGTCCCGTCCTCAGTGGGTCCCGAGCGCCCCCTGGTTGCCCCGCGCGCCCCTGCAGGGAGGTTTCTGTCTGGGCTCACACCGACCTCCCCTCACTGTGTCTGTGGTACAGTAATACACGGCCGTGTCCTCGGTTTTCAGGCTGTTCATTTGCAGATACAGCGTGTTTTTTGAATCAACTCTTGAGATGGTGAATCTGCCTTTCACAGGTGCAGCGTAGTCTGTTGTCCCACCATTAGCTTTGCTTTTAATACGGCCAACCCACTCCAGCCCCTTCCCTGGAGCCTGGCGGACCCAGCTCATCCAGGCGTTACTGCAAGTGAATCCAGAGGCTGCACAGGAGAGTCTAAGGGACCCCCCAGGCTGTACCAAGGCCTCCGGCAGACTCCACCAGCTGCACCTCACACTGGACACCTGCAAACACAGAGACACTAAGGTCAGAAACTGCCACACATATCCACTGTTTCTCTCACTCATGTCCACTCACACTCAATCTCTCTAGCTCTCCATAAGTCACCTTTAAAAATAGCAGCAAGGAAAACTCAGCTCAGCACAAACTCCATGGTGATTCCTGTCTGTTCAGTCCTGATCACTGAATGAAAATACTTGGGAATCCCAAGGCTGGGGCTCCTCTCCCAGAGCTGCAGGGTCAGGACTGGGCTGGTTTTCATCAGGAGACGGAGGGCCCTATTTTTATGTCACCTACTATATAGCAAGCTCTGGGGTGGGACGCCTGAGCAGAGGGCAGTGCCCAGATAAGGTAATGATGCCCTGCAAGAATCTGATGACAATGATGGTGTTTGGAAAACTTGCTGTCTTATTAGGAAATTGTGCTGTGATAAACACTTTGCACTAATCACTCTCTTACATTTTTACATATTTGTGTAAATCATATTTTTAGAGGTCAATGGTTTCTCTATTTACAGATGGTGAAGTAAACCCATACGTGGAGGGGCTTTGTATGTATCTAAGAGCTCATACCTGAGGTTAGTGAGCCCCAGTATCTGGGCCTGTGCTCCTCATCCACTGGCCCTATATTACTCCCTAACCCAACTCCAGGACAGAGCTGGGCATGCCTAGTGTGGCTTGTGAAACCCACTTTCTGTATTGAGAACATGTGTAATTTTGCTGCATTCTAGCATTCACCTAAAAATATGGTGAGAACTAGGGTTCACGAAGATAAATTATTAGGTGTTTCTGAAATTTAGTATTTTTTCTATCTTTATATCACTTACTTCTTGTGCAAGTTTTCATTTGTTTGCTGGTAATAAATTTTATAAATTTCAGTTTACTGATAATAAACTTCACATATTTAAAGTGTACAATTGATAAACCTGATGTAACCATCCTAGTTATCAAGGTGAACCAGAAAATTCTCAAAATTTCCCTCTCATTCTTCCATATTCCTCCTCCTTTCCTCTTCCCTTCTTCTACCATTTCCCCAAATGGTAAATTCTGATCTTCTTTATATTGCTGTAGATTCAATTTAATTTATCAGAATTTATTAAAATGGAATAACATAGTACATATTCTTGTTTGCTTTATTTTCCTGAACATCAATACTTAGATATTTTACCTTGTTGTTATATTGCTTAAGTTCAGTTTTTATTTTCCAGAATTTATATAAATGAAATTATATGGTAAATCTTCTCATTTGTCTGGTTTATTTTACTCAGCAAAAATACTTAGATATTTTACCTTCTTGTTGCATGTATCAGACAATTATTTATTATAAATGTTGTGTAGTATTCCATTGAACAAATTTACCATAATTTGATTTTCTGTTAAGCAGCTTAACAATGTTCAAATTATTTTATTACTCTGGTAGTACTAAAAATCTACTACTCAACTTGAAAATGTACATAAATGAGGAATATATTTTCTTTTTTTCTTACAACTACATCAACAATAACAGATAAACAGTCAAGATGAAATTTTGCAAATTTCTGAATGCTTAGGATAACTGAAGTTAAAAAAAAATCTTAAATTTAACAAGAAGCAAGTTCTTGTAGAGAGTAACAAAGCCAGCATATGAGATTACCTAAGGCAGAGTCTGGCGTATGAAATATAGGCTGTTAAAGATAAAAATACAAATATATATGGGATTGCTTGAAATTGAATATGGTTAGCTTGTTGTAGTTTGAAATTCTAAGGGACCACATACTGAAGAGCTTTTCTATCCTCTTGAATCCCTTTCCCCAAAAAAGGGGCAGTCACAAAATCTTCCTTTCCCAAAGTGTCTGTCTGGGAGAGAACAAGAGCCCCCATTTTTGAAAGGCATTCAGACTCGACTCCCTTATATCCACTACAGAACTAAAAATTACTTTGCAGGGGAACCACCAAAACCAGTACCCTAGGGGCACTGGTGCAACTCCTCAGGAATTGAGATGGGAACAGAGGTCACTGCCACGAAGTTCTGTTGAGACACAACTCTCTTTCTTATGGAATCAGAGCTTTAGTCTGCAGGGCAGGGCAGCAGATCTGGGAGGTGATGACACTGATGGGGAACACTGGAGCTGTGGGAGGGAACACCTGGGGGAAACAGGGGGGCTGTACCCCAGTGGAAGGGACAGGAACACACAGATGAGCATCTCATCTGGAGGAGGGTCAGGAACACTCAGAAGGTCACACCCAGACTTACGGGCACAATGCCTTTCTAGGAATATGGACCGAGATGAGGTCAGAGACTCTTCCTTCAGTGTAAGGGCTTCCACTAATTTATCAATTGTCAGTTACATATAACGGAGGAATGCACCTGTGGGAGCTGAAAGAGATTCTCTGGAGGATGGAACAAGGAGAAGAGACACAGTCACGCAGCAAAGAAGAACAAGATATCACTGGAGCATCTGTAGTCTCTGGTGGACATAGAAGAACAGACTTCAATTAGTTGTTGAAACCTTTATATCAGTCTTTACTAATTTATATGCTAAAATAGTTGGCCTCATCAATGGAGTCTTATTATCCCCATCAGGGATGAGTGTCCATGTGGGCACGTGGTGCAGTTCTAGTCATGGGGGCAGGGGAGGTGGTCTGTTCAGGTGTTCCTGGTCCTTCAGAGGAGAATTGCAGAACTGTCTCTGCCCCTTTTCCAGCCAATATATAAAATATGTATGTGACCATGGGAATATTGTCACCATGTAACTGCATGATGGGAGTCACCTGAGGGGTGAAGCTGACTTTCTGGATGCATCAGTGTGGAAAATTGAGAAAAGAAACTTCTTGGGCACATGAGCTGTCAAATTATTCAATCCTGGAGCCATTCACTTCCAGAGGCTTCCTGTTTCATCAGGTTGTGATTTTCCTCATTGTGTAGTCAGCCTAGGTTGTCTTTCTTCACTCTCTGTTAAAATAGTCACACATAATATCTAGAAGCATTAAGATTAATAAGTAACTAATTTGAAAATTAGAACAAGTCCCAAGTGAAGTCAAAGTTACTGTGTGGTTGACAGGAAACATGGCTGGATACTAAGAGTGTGTTCACATCTGTTTTATGTAGATTAGCAACATATTTTGTATATCCCTTAAGTAATACTTTCATTGAGACTCCTGATTTAACACTATTTCCTGATGAATAACACCTAAATCATAAAGGTGGAGGTTATTACCTAATAATTCATATTACTGGTACAAACTTTCACCTAGGGTATATTCCTATACCTGATGTAAAATCAGCCCAGAATGGAGAAGTTAATTCTCTTATTAGAGCTTGTCAATTAACTAAAAACCAGGATTAAATACAGATGTTCTACATTAGTGTGTAATTTTGAAATGTGTTGCAAGCAGAGGAGGTTCTTATGTCTCCTAGAAGCCCCATCAAAATGGACAAAAAAGACACTTTTAAATAAATTCCTACATTATAGAGACCTGACATATGAATTTGAAACCAAATGCCAACAAAGGAGAAAACAAACAAATAAAACAACTAGTATGGAAGCTAGAATAATGTGATGCACCATTACACCAAATATTCAGTCTTAACATGGTTTTTAATATTATGTAAACATGGAAGGTATTGCCATTGTTCATATGATACAGAATCAATGGCACTCACAAGCATCTGAATATGTTGAAAAATGGCACCTTCAAATAAAAATTATGAAAACTTCAATAAAATATTGAACTCTATTCACCAAGGGTTATACCATTAGCACTATGGCATGATGGTTTCCTCCCTCAGCACACATCAGTTATTACCCTATGACTTGGTAGCTGGAAGATTCACACTTTCGAGATTTTACCCTCATCACATACCTTTGTCCTATTGCATGCATGTGTTAACAAAATATTGAAAATGATTTTTGTGTTATACACACTCCAATGACTAAAAATTTAAAGTTGCCTTTTTACCACATCTTTTAACAGCATTTTGTGATATCCGACCATGAAGTTATGTCTATTGTGTGTCTTTTATCACACAATGTGAATCTAGTTAGGAATCGCAGGAGCTTCCTCATTTGACACCAGTGGGTGTTTCACACTGTGCAATCCCCTTCCTGTGAGTGGGAAGCCTCACTCTGACCCACCACGAAACCATCACAAAAGCCCTGAGCCAGTCTGCTTTCTGGCTCTATCGAGCCATTTTGGGTGTTCCTTAGAGACCAGCACTAATCTCAACAGACCCCTCAAGAGGTAATTAACTTTTCCATATTCACATCGAGGGAGTATGCAGCACCCACAGATGTGACATCCACATGACATTTTAGTTGAGATCCCTTCGCCTTTTTGAGGTGTCAACTAGAACTGACGCTGTGAGCTTGTTGTCATGGCTGCTAAACACAGGACCCACCTGTTCCCTGAACCAACTCCAGGACAGAGCTGGACATGCCTGGTGTGGTTTGATAAACCCCCATTTTTAATAAAATCATGACATTATTTTGCTGTATTCTAGTGTTTCCCTAAAAATACAGGTAGACCCAGCGTGTATTCATGTATATATTCAGGAGTCACTGATTTCTCATAGATATTTAATGGAATATGTAATCCTTTCTTTAAATTATACTTTACGTTCTGGGGTACATGTGCAGAATGTGCAGTTTTGTTACATAGGTATACACACGCCATGGTTGTTTGCTGCACCCATCAACCTGCCATCTACCTTAGGTATTTCTCCTAATGCTATCCCTCCCCTAGCCCTTTACCTCCTGACAGGCCTCAGTGTGTGATATTCCCCTCCCTGTGTCCATGTGGTCTCATGGTTCAACTACCACTTACGAGTGAAAACAACGGTGTCTGGTTTTCTGTTCTTCTGTTAGTTTGCTGAGAATGATGGTTGTCAGCTTCATCCATGTCCCTGCAAAGGACATGAACTCATCCTTTTTTATGGCTGCATAGTATTCCATGGTGTATATGTGCCACATTTGCTTTATCCAGTCTATTATTGATGGACATTTGGGTTGGTTTCAAGTCTTTGCTATTGGGAATAGTGCCGCAATAAACACACGGGTGCATTTGTCTTTGTAGTAGAATGACTTACAATCCTTGGGGTACATACCAAGTAATGGGATTGCTGGGTCAAATGGTATTTCTAGTTCTAGATCCTTGAGGAATCGCCACACTGTCTTCCACAATGGATGAACTTATTTACACTCCCACCAACAGTGTAAAAATGTTACTATCTCTCCACATCCTCTCCAGCATCTGTTGTTTCCTATTTAATGGTCACCATTCTAACTGGTGTGAGATGGTATCTCACTGTGGTTTTGATTTGCATTTCTCTAGTGATCAGTGATGAGGAGGATTTTTTCATGTTTTTTTGGCTGCATAAATGTCTTCTTTCGAGAAATGTCTGTTCGTATCCTTCACCTACTTTTTGATGGGTTTTTTTTTCTTGTAAATTTGTTGTAGATTCTGGATATTAGCCCTTTGTCAGATGGATAGATTGCAAAAATTTTCTCCCATTCTGTAGGTTGCCTGTTCACTCTGATGATAGTTTCTTTTGCTGTGCAGAAGCACTTTACTTTAATTATATCTCATTTATCAGTATTAGCTTTTGTTGCCATTGCTTTTGGTGTTTTAGACTTGAAGTCTTTGCCCATGCCTATGTCCTGAATGGTATTGCCTAGATTTTCTTCTGGGATTTTTATGGTTTCAGGTCTTGATAAGTCTTTCATCCATCTTGAGTTAATTTTTGTATAAGCTGTAAGGAAGGGGGTCCAGTTTCAGTTTTCTGTATATGGCTTGCCAGTTTTCCCAACACCACTTATTAAATAGTTCCGGAATTCTTTCCCCATTGTTTGTTTGTGTCAAGATTGTCAAAGATCAGATGGTTGTAGATGTGTGGTGTTATTTGGGAGGCCTCTGCTCTGTTCCATTGGTGTATATATCTGTTTTGGTACCAGTACCATGCTGTTTCAGTTACTGTAGCCTTGTAGTATAGTTTGAAGTCAGGTAGCATAATGCCTCCAGCTTTGTTTTTTTTTTTTTTTTTGCTTAGGAATGTCATGGCTATGCAGGATTTTTTTTGGTTCCATATGAACTTTAAAATATTTTTTTCCAATTCTGTGAAGAAAGTCATTGGTAGTTTGATGGGGACAGCATTCAATCTATAAATTGCTTTGGGCAGTATGGCCATTTTCATGATATTTATTCTTCTTATTCATGAGCATGGAATGTTTTTCCATTTGTTTCGGTCCTCTCTTATTTCCTTGAGCAGTGGTTTGTAGTTCTCCCTGAAGAGATCCTTCACATCCCTTGTAAGTTGTATTCCTAGGTATTTTATTTTCTTTGTAGCAATTTTGAGTGGGAGTTCACTCATGATTTGGCTCTCTGTTTTTCTGTTATTGGGTTATAGAAATGCTTGTGATTTTTGCACATTGATTTTGTATCCTGAGACTTTGCTGAAGTTGCTTATCAGCTTAAGGAGATTTTGGGCTGAGACGATGGGGTTTTCTAAATATACAATCGTGTCATCTGCACACAGAGACAATCTGACTTCCTCTTTTCCTATTTTTATACAATTTATTTCTTTCTCTTGCCTGATTACCCTGGCCAGATCTCTCAATACTATGTTGAATTGGAGTGGTGAGAGAGGCATCGTTGTCTTGTGCTGGTTTTCAAAGTAAATGCTTCCAGTTTTTGCCCATTCCATATGATATTGGCTGTGGGTTTGCCATAAATAGCTTTTATTATTTTGAGATACATTCCATGGATACCTAGAGTATTGAGTTTTTAGCATGAAGTGGTGTTGAATTTTGTTGAAGTCCTTTTCTGCATCTATTGAGATAATCATGTGGTTTCTGTCATTGGTTCTGTTTATGTGATGGATTACACTTATTGATTTGCATATGTTGAAACAGCCTTGCATCCCAGGGATGAAGCCGACTTGATCGTGGTGGATAAGCTTTTTGATGTGCTGCTGGATTCGGTTTGCCAGTATTTTATTGAGAATTGGTGCATTGATGTTCATCAGGGATATTGGCCTGAACTTTTTTTTTTTTGTTATGTCTCTGCCAGGTTTTGGTATCAGGATGATGCTGGCTTCATAAAAAGAGTTAGAGAGGAGTCCCTCTTTTTCTATTGTTTGAAATAGTTTCAGAAGGAATGGTAACAGTTCCTCTTTGTACCTCTGGTAGAATTTGGCTGTGAATCCATCTGGTCCTGGACTTTTTTTGGTTGGTATGCTATTAATTACTGCCTCAATTTCAGAATTTGTTACTGTTCTATTCAGGGATTCGACTTCTTCCTGCTTTAGACTTGGGATGGTGTATGTGTCCAGGCATTTATCCACTTCTTCTAGATTTTCTAGTGTATTTGCATAGAGGTTTTTATAGTATTCTCTGATGGTAGTTTGTATTTCGGTGGGATCAGTAGTGATATCCCCTATATTACATTTTATTGCATCTATTTGATTCTTCTCTCTTTTCTTCTTTATTAATATGGCTAACTTTCTATCTATTTTGTTGATGTGCTGTATTCAGGAGACCCATCTCATGTGCAAAGACACACATAGGCTCAAAATAAAGGGATGGAGGAATATTTACCAAGCAAGTGGAAAGCAAAAAAAAAAAAAAAGAAAGAAAAAAAACAAAAGCAGGAGTTGCAATCCTAATCTCTCATAAAACATTTTAAACCAAAAAAGATCAAAAGAGACAAAGAAAGGCACTGCATAATGGTAAAGGGATCAATGCAGCAAGAAGAGCTAAATATCCTAAATATATATGCACCAAATACAGGAGCACCCAGATTCATAAAGGAAGTCCTTAGAGACCTACAAAGAGACTTAGACTCCCATACAACAAGAGTGGGAGACTTTAACTCCCCGCTGTCAATATTAGACAGATCAACGAGACAGAAAATTAACAAGGATATTTAGGACTTGAAGTCAGCTCTGGACCAAGCAGACCTAATAGATATCTACAGAACTCTCCACCCCAAGTCAACAGAATATACATTCTTCTCAGCACCTCATCGCACATATTCTAAAACTGACCACATAATTGGAAGTAATACACTCCTCGCCAAATGCAAAAGAACAGAAATCATAACAAACAGTGCAATAATCAAATTAGAACTCAGGATGAAGAAATTCACTCAAAACTGCACAACTACATGGAAACTGAAAAACCTGTTCCTGAGTGTCTACTGGGTAAATAAAGAAATGAAGGCAGAAATAAAGATGATCTTTGAAACCAATGAGAACAAAGACACAACATATGAGAATCTCCGGGACACATTTAAAGCAGTGTGTAGAGGGAAATTTATAGCACTAGATGCCTACAAGAGAAAGCAGGAAAGATCTAAAACTGACACCCTAACATCAAAATTAAAAGAACTAGAGAAGCAAGAGCAAATTCAAAAGCTAGCAGAAGAGAAGAAATAACTAAGATCAGAGCAGAACTGAAGGAGATAAAGACATGAAAATCAACTCCAAAATATCAATGATCCAGGAGCTGGTTTTATGAATCTTTAATTCTGTGTTGAGAAATTTAAAATTTCTTTAGTTTGATGATTGAAGTCCTTATGCCATCGTTCTGAGATTTTCTTTTTTATTTCTCATATATTTTATCCATCTCTAAATTCTTTTCTACCAAATTATATATGTTTCAATTTGTAGTATTTTAATAAGTTGAAATTAGAAAGTAACTATCTTCCCTTAATGTGTACCATTTAACAAATAATGACATAACCATAACTTTTCTCAAAACAGAAAAAATTATCCTCAAAATTTCCTCTTGTTGTCCTGTAATTTCCACTTCCTACACCTTCCCTTCTCATACCATGACCACGGCCAACTACTGGTTTTCATTATGTAACTTTAGATTAGTTTTCATTTTATAGAATTTATAAAAGTGGAACTGTATGTATGTACTTGTATTTCTTTGGTTTATGTTACTCGTCATAAGTACTTGTGAATTTACCCTTGTTGCTCATTTCCAGCAGTACTTGTTTGAACAGTGGGTATTATTCAAGTGAATGAATTTAGAACAAAGTGTTTACTGCTTAACCTGCTGATCAATATTTGGATTGCTTTCAGTATCTGGGTATTATAAAGAAAGGTGCTACTCAGCTTAGAGAACTACACAGTTGAGAAAGACAATGTTCTTATTCCTACATCAACGTGAACAGCAGTTAAACTGAAAAAGCTGCACTTCAATACATTTTCTTCAACACATCAGGTAATTAAAGTTGTAGAACTCTTTGTGTGTGTCAGTTTGTGTGTGAGAGAGGAGGGAGGAAGGGACACAGAACAAGTGAGAGATCCTACATAACTGACCATAATTTATGAGGTGCTCAAATATATACAAGGACTTAGTCCTGAAGGACAAGGTCCACATTAGATGGAGAGGACAACTTGGTGCACCTACGTGTGGCTATATATTTATATAAATATCATTGTCTAATAATACAATAATATACATTAGAATAAATATGGTGGAGAGTAAAATATGTCAGTGATGAAAAACCCCACCTCCAGCACCTTTTTTCCCCTCTTGCACCTGCCTTAATGTGTCCTGAGCGCCCCTTGGTGACCTGAGCACCCCCTGGTGTTCTGAGCTTCCCTGCAGGGAGGTTTGTGTCTGGCCCCACAATGACTTCCCCCTCTGTGTCTTTTGCATAAAAATCCATGGTGGTGTACTCATTGCACATGTAGCTCAGCTGTAGGAAAAACTGCTTTCTGAATGTGTATCTGGAGGTGGTGACTGGACTCTTGAGAAGCGGGTGGTACTGTGTGCTTCCTCATGACCTACACACCTGACCCACTTCAGCTCCTTCCCTGGGGGCTGGCAGATCCAGCTCCAGGAGGAAGTACTGGTTATGATCGGAAATCCAGAGGCGGCACAGGTGAAGGAGAGGGTCTCTGAGGGCTTTACTAGAACATGACTGCACTGAAAAACACAATTTTTGTCATACGCAGCATCTGAATGACATTTTGATGAGAACGATCCCAGGCTAGAAGCATCAATAACAAGGTTGACATCAGTGTAAGGTTGGACAGGCAGTTGCTGTGCAGATATTTTCACAGAAGTAATTATTTTATTGTTGTGGTTGTCTTTGTGCAAGGTTGTGGCTTTTCTGAGTGTTATAAAACTAGCTCTTGTTGTTAGGGATATAAGTAATTATTTTGTTGTTGTGGTTGCCTTTGTGCACAGTTGTGGCTATTCTGAGTGTTATAAAGCTAGCTGTTGTTCTTAGGGATATAAGTAATTCTTTTATTGTTGTGGTTGCCTTTGTTCAATTTGTGGTTTTTTGGAGTGTTATAAAGCTAGGTCTTGTTCTCAGGGGTATGTGCATGAGAAGCTTCCATAAATGGCCTTCCCCAGCTCCATGTGTCAGGGTTTGAACACAAGGGACTCCAGTTGGATTCCGACAACTTTTACAGGCTCTTCTAACACTACCGGTAAAGAAGGTGACTCTGTGACAGTTTACACAGCACAGGATCAATTCCACATCCTCACCCCACTTTGACCAAAGAAGCTTATGCCCTCATTCCTAATGGCCACATGCATTCCCAGATGCGTCTCCAGAAAACAGAGTGGAGTGTGCTTAATAATGAGAGAGAAGAAAGTCTCAGCAGCCTCTCCCAATGGCTGCAGGAGTCACAGCCTGAGCCCCACCTAAGCTCCAGGGAAAGGGCTTGAGCCCCAGGATTTAGACCACAGGGACAACATCATTTTTTCCAGAAAGCAGGAAAAGCAAATGGAAAAGCAAGAACCACTAAAAATGAAAGTCAGAAAGAACCAGATCAGTGCTGATACTCATTTGAATATTTTCAGGAGAAATGTCATACATAAAACCTGTGAGGTCCTACATGACACTGAACCTGGTCCAGCCTCTCTCTTGGCTGTAATCAAAATCCCTAAAAGCCATTCTAGTCAGGGAATCCCATTGAAGTTCCTGTCCTGAGTCTGACTGGAGAAGACTCACCGGGCACCCCTGAGCTTCCTCACGACTCTGATGCTGGTGCGCATGGTTGAGGACTTCTCATTCCGGTAGGTGGCAATGTACATACTGTGCATGTGAGAATGAGTCCTCATATTACAATGATTAAAAAAAATATGTAGAGATGACATTGGTGGGCACAGAAATCTAAAATTAAAGAGTTTCCCTAGAGAAACTGTCAGAAGCAGAGGAAGTCCCAAATCCTGACAGGAAACAAACCCCAGCCTCCATGTGAACCTGCTCTGGGGTTGACTCTGATGAATGGGTCCTGAGCGCCCCCTGCAGTGATTTCCCCCAACGTTCCTGCAGGAGGTTTGTGTCTGGGCTCACACTTGTGTCCCCTCACAGGATTTCTCACACAGTAATACACGGCCATGTCCTTGGCTCTCTGTCTGTTCTTTTGCAGATACAGGGACTTGCTGGAATTGTCTCTGGAGATGGTAAATTGGCCCTTCACGGAGTCCACATAGTGCGTCTTACCGCCATTCCAACTAATATCCGAGACCCACTCCAGCCCCTTTCCTGGAGCCTAGAGGACCCAGTTCATGTCACTGTTACTGAAGGTGAATCCAGAGGCTGCACAGGAGTGTCTCAGGGACCCCCCAGGCTGGACCAAGCCTCCCCCAGACTCCACCAGCTGCACCTCACACTGCACACCTGCAAACACAGAGACATCCTGGTCAGAAACTGCCACACATAGCCACTGTTCTGTCACTCATGTCCCCTCACACTCAATATCCTTAGTTCTCCATGAATTACCTTTTAAAATAGCAGCAAGAAAAACCCAGCTCAGCCCAAATTCCATGGTAATTTGTTTATTGCTGTTGACCCAATAGAAACACCTGAGAATCCCAGGGCTGGGGCTTCTCTCCCACGGCTGCAGGGTCAGGGCTGGGCTGCTTTTCATCAGAAAAGGGAGGGTCCTATTTGCATGTCTCCTATTACATAGCAAGCTCTGAAGTGGGACACCTGAGGAGAGGACTGAGCCCAGAGTAATGAGAGTGAAACAGCAAACCTGAACAACTACAGATAAAAAAAAAAAAAAAAAACCTCAGCATATCAGAGTTGATATCATGGAGCAAACATGAACTGAAAATTTGAGGATAGGGGTTGATAGGGAGACCCAGGATGCATATATGAGTGTACCTGGGGCAGGTGTCACTCCATGGCATTTAAGCTAACCTGGAAACATTTAGAGTTCCTTGAGGATGTGCGCATTAACAGTGTTGGAGTGTGAAGCTTCTAGAGCCATATATTGTTGCAGGCTTTCCTTACAAAGTTTGAAATATCCCACATGACCTCACACTCACACAGTGTGACCTTGCACATCCCCAAGGTCACCTCACATGTGCCCTGAGTCACCTCACACATCCCCAATGTCACCTTACACATCCCGCAGGTCACCTCAAACATTTCCCAGGTAACCTCACACAAGTCCCAATTCACCTCACACATCCCACAGGTAACCTCACACTCACCCAAGGTCACCTCGCACATCCTCCATGTCACCTCAGATGCGCCTTAGGTGACCTCACATGTGCTCAGGTCACTTCACACATCAGGCAGGTCACCTCACATATTCCCCATGTTACCTCACACACACTCCTGCTAAGCTCACACATCCCCCCACGTCACCTCAAACGCACCCACATCACCTCACACATTCCCCAGGTCACCTCACATGTCCCACAGGTCACCTCACACATTCCCCAGGTCACTTCACATGTCCCACAGGTCACCTCACACGTTCCCCAGGTCACCTCACACGTCCCCCATGTCACCTCAGATGCGCCTTAGGTGACCTTACATGTGCTCAGGTCACCTCACACATCAGGCAGGTCACCTCACATATTCCCCATGTCACCTCACACACACTCCTGCTAAGCTCACACATCCCCCACGTCACCTCAAACGCACCCACATCACCTCACACATTCCCCAGGTCACCTCACATGTCCCACAGGTCACCTCACACATCCCCCAGGTCACCTCACACGTTCCCCAGGTCACCTCACACATTCCCCAGGTCACCTCACACGTCCCACAGGTCACCTCACACATCCCCCAGGTCACCTCACACGTTCCCCAGGTCACCTCACACATTCCCCACGTCACGTCACACGTCCCCCAGGTCACCTCACACATTCCCCACGTCACCTCACACATCTGCCACGTCACCTCACATGTCCCACAGGTCACCTCACACATCCCCCAGGTCACCTCACACGTCCCCCAGGTCACCTCACACGTCCCACAGGTCACCTCACACGTCCCACAGGTCACCTCACACATTCCCACAGGTCACCTCACACATCCCCCAGGTCACCTCACACATCCCCCAGGTCACCTCACACGTCCCACAGGTCACCTCACACGTCCCCCAGGTCACCTCACACATGCCTTAGGTCACATCATACATGCCCAAGTCACCTCATGAGTTCCCCATGTCACCTCATGCATGTCCAGGTAACCTCACACGCACCCAGGCCACCACACATGCACCCTGGGTCACCTCACATGAGCCCAAGTTCACCTCACACATACCCCCAGGTAACCTTACACATCCCCCAGGTCACCTCACACATCCCCCAGGTCACCTCACTGTCACGTGACCAGGTCACCTCACCTTCATACAGGTAGGTCGCTTCACACATGCTATGATACATGTATACATCATGGAATTGTTAATCAAGCTATTTAAAATATCCATCACCTCACAAATGTGTAATTTCTTTTTTTTTTTTTTTTTTGAGACTGAGTCTCACTCTGTCGCCGAGGCTGGAGTGCAGTGGTGCGATCTCGGTCACTGCAGCCTTTGCTTCCCAGGTTCAAACAATTTTCCTGCCTCAGCCTCCCGAGTAGCTGGGATTACAGGCGCCCAACACCACGCCTGGCTAACTTTTGTGTGTTTAGTGGAGACAGGGTTTCACCATTTTGGCCAGTCTGGTCTTTTTTTTTTTTTTTTTTTTTTTTTTATTATACTCTAAGTTTTAGGGTACATGTGCACATTGTGCAGGTTAGTTACATATGTATACATGTGCCATGCTGGTGCGCTGCACCCACTAATGTGTCATCTAGCATTAGGTATATCTCCCAATGCTATCCCTCCCCCCTCCCCCGACCCCACCACAGTCCCCAGAGTGTGATATTCCCCTTCCTGTGTCCATGTGATCTCATTGTTCAATTCCCACCTATGAGTGAGAATATGCGGTGTTTGGTTTTTTGTTCTTGCGATAGTTTACTGAGAATGATGGTTTCCAATTTCATCCATGTCCCTACAAAGGATATGAACTCATCATTTTTTATGGCTGCATAGTATTCCATGGTGTATATGTGCCACATTTTCTTAATCCAGTCTATCATTGTTGGACATTTCGGTTGGTTCCAAGTCTTTGCTATTGTGAATAGTGCCGCAATAAACATACGTGTGCATGTGTCTTTATAGCAGCATGATTTATACTCATTTGGGTATATACCCAGTAATGGGATGGCTGGGTCAAATGGTATTTCTAGTTCTAGATCCCTGAGGAATCGCCACACTGACTTCCACAATGGTTGAACTAGTTTACAGTCCCACCAACAGTGTAAAAGTGTTCCTATTTCTCCGCATCCTCTCCAGCACCTGTTGTTTCCTGACTTTTTAATGATTGCCATTCTAACTGGTGTGAGATGATATCTCATAGTGGTTTTGATTTGCATTTCTCTGATGGCCAGTGATGATGAGCATTTCTTCATGTGTTTTTTGGCTGCATAAATGTCTTCTTTTGAGAAGTGTCTGTTCATGTCCTTCGCCCACTTTTTGATGGGGTTGTTTGTTTTTTTCTTGTAAATTTGTTTGAGTTCATTGTAGATTCTGGATATTAGCCCTTTGTCAGATGAGTAGGTTGCGAAAATTTTCTCCCATGTTGTAGGTTGCCTGTTCACTCTGATGGTAGTTTCTTTTGCTGTGCAGAAGCTCTTTAGTTTAATTAGATCCCATTTGTCAATTTTGTCTTTTGTTGCCATTGCTTTTGGTGTTTTGGACATGAAGTCCTTGCCCACGCCTATGTCCTGAATGGTAATGCCTAGGTTTTCTTCTAGGGTTTTTATGGTTTTAGGTTTAACGTTTAAATCTTTAATCCATCTTGAATTGATTTTTGTATAAGGTGTAAGGAAGGGATCCAGTTTCAGCTTTCTACATATGGCTAGCCAGTTTTCCCAGCACCATTTATTAAATAGGGAATCCTTTCCCCATTGCTTGTTTTTCTCAGGTTTGTCAAAGATCAGATAGTTGTAGATATGCGGCATTATTTCTGAGGGCTCTGTTCTGTTCCATTGATCTATATCTCTGTTTTGGTACCAGTACCATGCTGTTTTGGTTACTGTAGCCTTGTAGTATAGTTTGAAGTCAGGTAGTGTGATGCCTCCAGCTTTGTTCTTTTGGCTTAGGATTGACTTGGCAATGCGGGCTCTTTTTTGGTTCCATATGAACTTTAAAGTAGTTTTTTCCAATTCTGTGAAGAAAGTCATTGGTAGCTTGATGGGGATGGCATTGAATCTGTAAATTACCTTGGGCAGTATGGCCATTTTCACGATATTGATTCTTCCTACCCATGAGCATGGAATGTTCTTCCATTTGTTTGTGTCCTCTTTTATTTCCTTGAGCAGTGGTTTGTAGTTCTCCTTGAAGAGGTCCTTCACATCCCTTGTAAGTTGGATTCCTAGGTATTTTATTCTCTTTGAAGCAATTACGAATGGGAGTTCACCCATGATTTGGCTCTCTGTTTGTCTGTTGTTGGTGTATAAGAATGCTTGTGATTTTTGTACATTGATTTTGTATCCTGAGACTTTGCTGAAGTTGCTTATCAGCTTAAGGAGATTTTGGGCTGAGACGATGGGGTTTTCTAGATATACAATCATGTCGTCTGCAAACAGGGACAATTTGACTTCCTCTTTTCCTAATTGAATACCCTTTATTTCCTTCTCCTGCCTGATTGCCCTGGCCAGAACTTCCAACACTATGTTGAATAGGAGCGGTGAGAGAGGGCATCCCTGTCTTGTGCCGGTTTTCAAAGGGAATGCTTCCAGTTTTTGCCCATTCAGTATGATATTGGCTGTGGGTTTGTCATAGATAGCTCTTATTATTTTGAAATACGTCCCATCAATACCTAATTTATTGAGAGTTTTTAGCATGAAGGGTTGTTGAATTTTGTCAAAGGCTTTTTCTGCATCTATTGAGATAATCATGTGGTTTTTGTCATTGGCTCTGTTTATATGCTGGATTACATTTATTGATTTGCGTATATTGAACCAGCCTTGCATCCCAGGGATGAAGCCCACTTGATCATGGTGGATAAGCTTTTTGATGTGCTGCTGGATTCGGTTTGCCAGTATTTTATTGAGGATTTTTGCATCAATGTTCATCAAGGATATTGGTCTAAAATTCTCTTTTTTGGTTGTGTCTCTGCCCGGCTTTGGTATCAGAATGATGCTGGCCTCATAAAATGAGTTAGGGAGGATTCCCTCTTTTTCTATTGATTGGAATAGTTTCAGAAGGAATGGTACCAGTTCCTCCATGTACCTCTGGTAGAATTCGGCTGTGAATCCATCTGGTCCTGGACTCTTTTTGGTTGGTAAACTATTGATTATTGCCACAATTTCAGAGCCTGTTATTGGTCTATTCAGAGATTCAACTTCTTCCTGGTTTAGTCTTGGGAGAGTGTATGTGTCGAGGAATGTATCCATTTCTTCTAGATTTTCTAGTTTATTTGCGTAGAGGTGTTTGTAGTATTCTCTGATGGTAGTTTGTATTTCTGTGGGATCGGTGGTGATATCCCCTTTATCATTTTTTATTGTGTCTATTTGATTCTTCTCTCTTTTTTTCTTTATTAGTCTTGCTAGCGGTCTATCAATTTTGTTGATCCTTTCAAAAAACCAGCTCCTGGATTCATTGATTTTTTGAAGGGTTTTTTGTGTCTCTATTTCCTTCAGTTCTGCTCTGATTTTAGTTATTTCTTGCCTTCTGCTAGCTTTTGAATGTGTTTGCTCTTGCTTTTCTAGTTCTTTTAATTGTGATGTTAGGGTGTCAATTTTGGATCTTTCCTGCTTTCTCTTGTAGGCATTTAGTGCTATAAATTTCCCTCTACACACTGCTTTGAATGCGTCCCAGAGATTCTGGTATGTGGTGTCTTTGTTCTCGTTGGTTTCAAAGAACATCTTTATTTCTGCCTTCATTTCGTTATGTACCCAGTAGTCATTCAGGAGCAGGTTGTTCAGTTTCCATGTAGTTGAGCGGCTTTGAGTGAGATTCTTAATCCTGAGTTCTAGTTTGATTGCACTGTGGTCTGAGAGATAGTTTGTTATAATTTCTGTTCTTTTACATTTGCTGAGGAGAGCTTTACTTCCAACTATGTGGTCAATTTTGGAATAGGTGTGGTGTGGTGCTGAAAAAAAGGTATATTCTGTTGATTTGGGGTGGAGAGTTCTGTAGATGTCTATTAGGTCTGCTTGGTGCAGAGCTGAGTTCAATTCCTGGGTATCCTTGTTGACTTTCTGTCTCGTTGATCTGTCTAATGTTGACAGTGGGGTGTTAAAGTCTCCCATTATTAATGTGTGGGAGTCTAAGTCTCTTTGTAGGTCACTGAGGACTTGCTTTATGAATCTGGGTGCTCCTGTATTGGGTGCATAAATATTTAGGATAGTTAGCTCCTCTTGTTGAATTGATCCCTTTACCATTATGTAATGGCCTTCTTTGTCTCTTTTGATCTTTGTTGGTTTAAAGTCTGTTTTATCAGAGACTAGGATTGCAACCCCTGCCTTTTTTTGTTTTCCATTGGCTTGGTAGATCTTCCTCCATCCTTTTATTTTGAGCCTATGTGTGTCTCTGCACGTGAGATGGGTTTCCTGAATACAGCACACTGATGGGTCTTGACTCTTTATCCAACTTGCCAGTCTGTGTCTTTTAATTGCAGAATTTAGTCCATTTATATTTAAAGTTAATATTGTTATGTGTGAATTTGATCCTGTCATTATGATGTTAGCTGGTGATTTTGCTCATTAGTTGATGCAGTTTCTTCCTAGTCTCGATGGTCTTTACATTTTGGCATGATTTTGCAGCGGCTGGTACCGGTTGTTCCTTTCCATGTTTAGCGCTTCCTTCAGGAGCTCTTTTAGGGCAGGCCTGGTGGTGACAAAATCTCTCAACATTTGCTTGTCTATAAAGTATTTTATTTCTCCTTCACTTATGAAGCTTAGTTTGGCTGGATATGAAATTCTGGGTTGAAAATTCTTTTCTTTAAGAATGTTGAATATTGGCCCCCACTCTCTTCTGGCTTGTAGGGTTTCTGCCGAGAGATCCGCTGTTAGTCTGATGGGCTTCCCTTTGAGGGTAACCCGACCTTTCTCTCTGGCTGCCCTTAACATTTTTTCCTTCATTTCAACTTTGGTGAATCTGACAATTATGTGTCTTGGAGTTGCTCTTCTCGAGGAGTATCTTTGTGGCGTTCTCTGTATTTCCTGAATCTGAACGTTGGCCTGCCTTGCTAGATTGGGGAAGTTCTCCTGGATAATATCCTGCAGAGTGTTTTCCAACTTGGTTCCATTCTCCACATCACTTTCAGGTACACCAATCAGACGTAGATTTGGTCTTTTCACATAGTCCCATATTTCTTGGAGGCTTTGCTCATTTCTTTTTATTCTTTTTTCTCTAAACTTCCCTTCTCGCTTCATTTCATTCATTTCATCTTCCATTGCTGATACCCTTTCTTCCAGTTGATCGCATCGGCTCCTGAGGCTTCTGCATTCTTCACGTAGTTCTCGAGCCTTGGTTTTCAGCTCCATCAGCTCCTTTAAGCACTTCTCTGTATTGGATATTCTAGTTATACATTCTTCTAAATTTTTTTCAAAGTTTTCAACTTCTTTGCCTTTGGTTTGAATGTCCTCCCGTAGCTCAGAGTAATTTGATCGTCTGAAGCCTTCTTCTCTCAGCTCGTCAAAATCATTCTCCATCCAGCTTTGTTCTGTTGCTGGTGAGGAACTGCGTTCCTTTGGAGGAGGAGAGGCGCTCTGCGTTTTAGAGTTTCCAGTTTTTCTGTTCTGTTTTTTCCCCATCTTTGTGGTTTTATCTACTTTTGGTCTTTGATGATGGTGATGTACAGATGGGTTTTCGGTGTAGATGTCCTTTCTGGTTGTTAGTTTTCCTTCTAACAGACAGGACCCTCAGCTGCAGGTCTGTTGGAATACCCTGCCGTGTGAGGTGTCAGTGTGCCCCTGCTGGGGGGTGCCTCCCAGTTAGGCTGCTCGGGGGTCAGGAGTCAGGGACCCACTTGAGGAGGCAGTCTGTCTGCCCGTTCTCAGATCTCCAGCTGCGTGCTGGGAGAACCACTGCTCTCTTCAAAGCTGTCAGACAGGGACACTTAAGTCTGCAGAGGTTACTGCTGTCTTTTTGTTTGTCTGTGCCCTGCCCCCAGAGGTGGAGCCTACAGAGGCAGGCAGGCCTCCTTGAGCTGTGGTGGGCTCCACCCAGTTCGAGCTTCCCGGCTGCTTTGTTTACCTAAGCAAGCCTGGGCAATGGCGGGCGCCCCTCCCCCAGCCTCGTTGCCGCCTTGCAGTTTGATCTCAGACTGCTGTGCTAGCAATCAGCGAGATTCCGTGGGCGTAGGACCCTCCGAGCCAGGTGTGGGATATAGTCTCGTGGTGCGCCGTTTCTTAAGCCGGTCTGAAAAGCGCAATATTCGGGTGGGAGTGACCCGATTTTCCAGGTGCGACCGTCACCCCTTTCTTTGACTCAGAAAGGGAACTCCCTGACCCCTTGCGCTTCCCAGGTGAGGCAATGCCTCGCCCTGCTTCGGCTCGCGCACGGTGCGCACACACACTGGCCTGCGCCCACTGTCTGGCACTCCCTAGTGAGATGAACCCGGTACCTCAGATGGAAATGCAGAAATCACCGTCTTCTGCGTCGCTCACGCTGGGAGCTGTAGACCGGAGCTGTTCCTATTCGGCCATCTTGGCTCCTCCCCCGCCAGTCTGGTCTTGAACTCCTGACCTTGTGATCCACCCACCTCGGCCTCCGAAAGTGCTGGGATTAGAGGTGTGAGCCCCCACTCCCGACCTGTATAATTTCTTAGTGGGAAAAATTTTAACATTTACATTTTTAGCCATTTTGAAATATACAATGCATTCATAGCCATATTTTCCATCTTGTGCATTAGAACACTGCAACTTACTCCTTCTGTCTAACTGGAACATTTTACACTTTGACCAAAATCTCTCCTTTTCTAGTCCACCCCTCCAGCCCCTGGTAACCAACATTCTATTCTACTTCTGTGAGTCTACCATTTTAATGCACTACAGTGAAATAATGAATTACTTGTCTTCTGCTCCTGCTTGTTGCATTTCACATGTGGTCCTCTAGAGTCATGATTGCTGTCGCATTTCAAAACCAATCATGCCTGTTCAAGAGTCTGCCAAAGTCTTAACTCATTTGAGCCTTAACTCAAAAGTCCACAGTCCAAGGTCTCATTTGAGATGAGGCAAGTCTCTTCCATGTGAGCCTGTAAGATAAAAACGAAGTCAGTTACTTCCTAGAAAGAATGGGAGTTCAGGCACTGTGTAAATACAGCCATTCCAAATGGAGAAATTGGTCCAAACTACAGGCCCCATGCAAGTCTGAAATCCAGCTGAGCAGTCAAATCTTCATGTTCCAAAATAATCTTCTTTGACTCCATGTCTCAAATCTAGGTTACCTGATGTAACAGGTGGGTTCCCATGGTCTTGGGCAGTTCTGCCCCTGTGGCAGAACTTTTTTAAAACTTTTCAAATGAAAAGTTTTAAAAAACTTTTGCAGGGCACAGTCTCCCTCCTGGCTGCTTTCACGAGCTGGCATTGAGTGTATGTGGTTTTTCCAGAAATATAGTGCAAGCTGTCAGTGGATCTACCATTCTGGGTTCTGGAGGGCAGTGGCTTTCTTCTTACAGCTCCACTAGGTGGTACACCAGTAGAAACTCTGTGTGGGATTTCTGACCCCACATTTCCCTGTCACACTGGGACTAAAGGCACTTGCCACAATACCTGGCTATTTTTTGTATTTTTAGTAGAGACGGGGTTTTACCATGTTGGCCAGGCTGGTCTTGAACTCTTGACCTCAGGTGATCTGCCTGCCTATGACTCCCAAAGTGCTGGGATTACAGGCCTGAGCCACCATGCCTGGCCAAGATTAATATGTCATTTAATGATGTATTTGAAAACTTCATGGTTCTACAAACACACATACATACACAACAGCCCAGCAAAGACACATACATATGCCCATGCAAAAGTGAACGTATATCTAAACACCAAAATAGCACACCTATTTGTTTCATATTTTTTAATTACTTAATTGAATTTAAACTGTGTTTGCAGTTTGAGGTTGTAGTAGAAAATAATGCTCTTCTACGTGTATGTCTGCCTATTCCAATACTAAAAAGACAAATATATTTAAATACATGTTTTGTTAAAGCTGAATGTAAATGCTGTTCTTGCCAAATATGTCACTCAAATGTGCAATGGTATTAACTTTAAATATCAGTCTGTTTTTAATAAATTGAATAACTAATAAGACAAACATTGTATTACATTATTTGTTAAATTTAGATTGTAGTTTTCAAACCAGGAAAGATAAAATTGTTTCATTTGAAAAATTTAAAAAAAAACTTTTTTGGCATGAATATTCAATACAAACTCTGGTATTTATTTGTCAATATTCCTTTATGATAGAGAACATCCAGGATAATGAAACTGAACACAGCCCATGATTTTCAGGGCTCACTCACAATGGCATCTTCCTAGAGGGTGGTCTCAGAGGGTCCAAGCACATGGGGATTTGGACTTCATCATCAAAACACTAGTGAGCCCCAGGGCTGAACACACAGAGGGCAGCAGGAGCTGCAGAGCCCACTCTGTGGTACTTAGGGAAATGAGGGGATGGTCTGCAGGACCCTGGAAAAGGGTGAGTAGGGCAGAGTCTGCAGGTAGATGAGCATATTCTAAGGAGAGCCATTATCCTCTAAACTTGGTTGGCTTCAATGATTATGAAGACAAGGGAACTGATTCACCAGACTTGGAGGTCAGAAAGTAAAGTGACTTTCTTTTTCCTTCATGGAGACTGAGGAAGGTAAAATACTTTCAAAGAAAAAGGGAAGATGGAGAAACAGTCTGAAAAACAGGACACCTGAAGCCAACCAAAATGGAGAACAAGAGTATTTAAAGTCGTGTTTAATTTCCAAAAACAGCAGATGAAAGAAAAAGAAACAAAATGCCATGTATACGCTGAGTTAATGTTAAAAAACATGTACAATTGTTTGACTATTACAGCACAAAAATACAAAACTCTAATCATTGAAACAGTTTATATTGAGGATATACATTTTCTTTAAATAGGGTCTCACTCTGTCAACGAGACTGGAGTGCAGTGGCACAATCACAGCTCACTGCAGCATTAACCTCCCAGGCTTAAGGGATCCTCCCACCTCAGCCTTTCAAGTAGCTGCTACCACAGGTGGAACCATACCCAGGTATTTATTATTATTATTTTTGTATAGAAAAGACCTCACTGTGCTGCCAGGGTGTTCTAAAAGTCCTGAGCTCAAGTGATCTGCCTGCCTTAGCCTCCCAAAGTTCTGGGATTACAGGTGTGATTTTTATAATTTTACTATTTTAATAATAGTATTATTTTTAATCAAGAGAATATATAAATAACCTATTTTAAAAATTGTCCTGAGAGATCATTGCTAGTATTACTTGGAAAATATGCAGCATTAAAAGTTGAATTAAATTCCTGTTCTAAGTTAATGTTTTGTAGGTAAAAGTAATCATGGATTTACAAGGAAGAAATGGTGAGAGATCCTGGGGAAGACTTTTGCTTGACCAGGTCGGGAATCACCAAGGTTTAAAAGAAAACCACAGCTTCTCAGGCTCCTGATTTGGAGCTGCTTCCTGAGAACCCCCGTGTACTGAGCACCCCCTGGTGGTTCTGAGTGCCCCTGGTGTCATGAGCGCCCCCTCGTGGTACTGAGGGCACTGTGATATCCTGAGCACCCCTGATGCTTCTGAGCGCCCCCAGGTGTCCTGAGCGCCCCCTGGTGGTTCTGAGCTCCCCCAGGTGTCCTGAGCGCCCCCTGGTGGTCCTGAACACCCCCTGGTGACCTGAGTGCCTGCTGGTGGTCCTGGGCAAACCCTCGTGTCCTGAGTGCCCCCTTGTGATTCTGAGTGCCCCCTGGTGTCATGAGCACCCCCTCATGATCCTGAGCACCCCCTAATATCCTGAGCACCCCATGGTCCTAAGCACACCCTGGTGGTTCTGAGTGCCCCCAGGTTGTCCTCAAGGCGCCCTGGTGGTTCTGAGGAGCATCTACCATGCAGCTCCCTCCTGTCTTCCTGCAGAGATTTTTCTGTTGGGGCTCACACAGATATTCCCTCTCCTGTGTCTCTCACAGTATTACAAGGCCTTGTCCTTGACTTTCAGTTTGGTCCCTTTAAGGTAGACTGCACATTAAAAGGTGTCACTTGGGACTGTTAATTTATTTGTGCTTATGGAGAGTAACTCTGAGAACTCCCACTTGATCACTCACTGTTTCCACCTACACAAATCCCTGTCGTGAAGCTGGCTGGACCAAGCTCATTGCTGTAGCCAGTAAAGGTGAAATCAGAGGCTTTGCATGAGAGTCTCAGTGAGCCACTGGGTGTACAATTTTTCCCCCTCTGACTCCATCAATAAATTTCACACAGGACTTCTGCAAACACTGAGGAAATGGAAGAACGGCCCCATGTGGAGCAGCCGCACCTGGACCTGATTCACAAGGGACACTAATATTGAGGGTGATGAGAAGGGAAGCCCAAATCAGTGCAGATCCCACGGTGTGGACACTGAGGAAGGGAAGAGACATGGGTTGGCTCCTCGCCAGGGCCTGAAGGAACAGGGGATGAGCTGCCTTTCATGAGGAGGGGAGGGGACACATTTCCTTGTCTTTCTTTTCGTGGTCTTGGGTGCACCGCTCGGCATTGCTCATCCATCCTCTGTGTCTCCATTTCAGGGGGGCAGGTTCAAAGGACTCGTGGGTCTGGATGCACAGGGTTAATCTGCTGATTAGTCTTTTTTATTTTCTAGTGTGGACCCTGTTCAGGTATCTTCACAGTAGCAAACATTATCAAAAAAATACATCCAGTAAGAACTTAAAAATACATTTCCAGAGAAAACGGACACCAATCTCTAATCGGTGCATTTAGAGCTACAAACTACTGTTCTTGACAATAAGGCAAAGTTAAGGTACAATAAAAAAATGCAGATCTACACCTTGTCAGGGAGGGATTTTATAATTATTATCTTGAGATCATTTTCCCATAAAACAGTTCAACATTGGATATATCTGCTTGTGTCAGGAAACAGTCACTGTGGAAATATGTGTACTTATCAGAGTGAAGAGTTCACATGCAGACATGTTTGTCTGAGACAAGAGTCCACATGAGGAAATGTCATTACCAGAGGAAAGAGTAAATGTAAGGACATACGTGGTGGTCTGAGAAAAGAGTCCATGTGGGGACATATGTGTTTGTCTGAGGGAAGAATCCACGTGAGTAAAGGTGTGTTTGTCTGACAGAAGAGTCCCCATGTTGACAGGTGTGTGTACCCATCTGCGGGTAAATGCCCATTCAGGGACAGTGTGTGCCTGAACTGAGCTGAAGTTTGGGGAAAATCTTTATCAACCAAGGAAAGAAAAGAATTATCTGGGTTATTTGCTTGTCAGGAAGAAAAAACCTGGGTCACGTTGAAAATTGATTTTTTTAAATTAAAGGTCTTTAGTGAATGGTAACATCTTATATGCAAATGAGGAAATTTACTTCATTCTTTTTTGCATGCATCTCATGATATCCCCACCCTCACCAAATAAGTTATTAGATAACTTTATACAGTCTGCATTTAATCCTGGGTTTAATGAACTGCTAAATACTTTTTACAAAAATTGTATATATTTAGGTTTATATTTTCCATCACACAATTATGAGCTTAGACAAATTAACTGCATCGTGTCTCAACCATTTTATAGCACTAAAAATAATTTTACTATTCTTAAACAGTGCCATTTTTACTTATTTAATACTCATTCTCTAAATTCCTTGAATATCCTCTATCTGTTTACTTGACTATAGTTTTGGTTTATACCGAATTTCAAATAAATGATATTATATGGTGTAATTGAAATGACTTCACTGAAGAAAGTAGAAAATGAAGTTGCTAGTCTAATTAACTTTGAAAATGAGGAAATTCTGTATGTTTAAAATGTAAAGAAACTACACATAGCACTCTATTCTAGTAGATAAACATATTTCCAATGAGCTTTACATTTCTGATACCGCTATGCATGTGTCCTAAAATTGTGCAACCAGGTAATAATAAGGCAATTGGTGGGATAGGATTCCTCACTTTAAAGTGGATGGTTATGGACAGTCAAGGAAGGAAGGCTAGAAAGGTCCACGTGGTAGCATAGTTGGGTCAGGAGACCAGTGTGTTCTCATTTTTAATATAATAAAGTTACAGAAGATTAGGTACATAAGTAGTTTTGATGCGTCCATAAACATGGGTTCATATAAACATGCACATCTGCTAGGCCAGTAGGTTGAGAGGTCCTAGAAGTAATTATACACGGTATCACAATTTTTTTTTATTTTACTGCTATTCGTTAACGTTAGAAACAAGCAAGCTTTAGAAAAATGGCTAATTCTATGTACAAAAGAGGTAATATAGAAAATGAACTTAGAATTTGTTGTAATACAAGGAAACAGGGAAGTGTTCAAAAACAAAAGGATGAGGTGCACTGTAAGGATACAGGATCCAAACTAAATGAGCTCCCAGGACCTAATAAAGCTGTGGTGATTTGAACGATAAAATGAGTAATATAGCATGGATCTTCTTCAGAGTATGAAATATATATTCATAAACCAATACACATATTAATAGATGATTATGAAAATAAATATTGGGAAGACGAACACATCTCCTTACAGAAGTATTCCAAATATCTGAGGTGAATAGTCCTCCAATCAAGTAGGTGAAGTTTAAACACTCATAAGTTGATTGTGGCCTGAGGTTAGACACATAGAAAAAATAACCACTATTTGGTATTCTATAATGAGACTTCAGATATAATGTCAAAACATCATCTATGAATGAATACAATTTTACATGTTTTTGAATCTAAATTTGTACAAACACACACATACACACACAGACACATGCACACACACACGTATGTTTCTGCAATACACACTGATAAGGGAGTAAAGACAGCCACAGACTTGGAAAAAATACTTCCAAGTCACATATTTGTTAAATGAATTCTTTTAATTTGTTAAATGACTTTTATAAACAATATGCAAGTAAACTTACAATGAATCAAAACAAAGCAATGCATTTAAAATGAACCAAATATCAGGAGAGGCATCTCAACAAAAGTTATTGGAAAATTGTTAAATATGAACTTTTTGAGGGACATGTGCATTTAAATAAAAATTAGATCCCATTACTCACCTACTAGATTGGTTAAAACACACAACTCTCATAAGGATACATGGCAATATGAATGTGGAAAACCAAGAACTATCATGCATTGATGGTGGGAATTCAAAATGCTACACGCACAAAAGGAGATTTTTTTGGCATTTTTAATAGATATAAATGCAGACTTAAAATGTGATTTTGTGTCTGTATTCCAAAATACTTACAGCACTGATTAAGAAATTAATGTTTACAGAGATACCTTCAGAGGAAGTTCTATATTAGTTTCATTAATTTGATTAATTCTCTAATCATTGAAATTTGTTTACAGAATAAATGTTGTATGAAAAATCTCTCAAATAATTAAAATTTCTCAAATACACATTAATATTGTTCCTTTTCTTTAATGACTTAATGTCATTTTCTAAGCAAATCTTTAATCTAATAATCTTTGTCATCTCCTCTGTGTCAGCACAGGTGTCTCCTTCCTGGGGTTTCTGACACTCTCAGGATGTGGGTTTTTGCACTGTGTCTCTCACACAGTAATACATGACCATGTCTTCAGATCTCAGGTTGCTCAGCTCCATGTAGGCTGTGCTCATGGACCTGTCACTGGTAATGGTGACTCTGCCCCAGAACGTCTGTGCATAGTGTGTGTTATCATTGTAAGGGTTGATTCATCCCATCCACTATGCCCTTGTCCAGGGCTTTGTCACACCCACCGTGTAAAGTATTTGGTGAAGGTGTATCTGGAAGCCTGGCAGGAGACCTTCACTGAGGACCCAGGCTTCTTCACCTCAGCCCCAGGCTGCAACAGCTGAACCTGGGAATGGACACCTGTGAGGAGAATGGAGGAGTTGATAAAAGCCCCCTTGACTGAACTCAATCCCCTCCTCATCACTGGTACTTGGGAGCCCCTTACCTGTGGCAGCTGCCACCAAGAAGTGGATCCCCCAGGTACAGTCCATGGTGAGGAGCTGTGTTCTCAGGGGCTTCTATAGAGGAGGGATGTGGTTGTTGGGTGATGCTCTCAGGGCACAGACATCCAAATTTACCTCAGTGGATCTCAGGTTATTTGCATATTCATGACATAGCATTTCATAGAAGAAAGCCTGGTTAATAATAAGAAAGGGAAGATAAATGACACATCAGATTTACAAGAGTGAGATGCTGATGGTCCAAGCCCTATTCCTGTTTGAGGAAATGCATGCCCTGCTCCATTTATGAACATTCATGAACAGAGGTCCTTTCACAGAAGAACAATCCCCCTCAGGACACGCTCCTCACTGTGAACCTACATTTTATAAGCACAGAGACCACCTGGATAATTTCTGGAACCATCACTCTCCATGACACTGAGCAGGTGCCGTGGTTCTGTCCTGGATCCATCAGTCACCAGCACAGCTGACTGATGACTGAGGAAGTTACTGCTCATGTCCCACGTGAGTGACCAGCAGGTCCTTCTGAGATCTGCTGGGCACTCCTGAAACAGTGTCTCCAGCACCTGCCTGGTGTTCAGATCCCCCCGGATCTTCAATAGAAACACTCTTGTTTACAGATTTGCTCTGTGATGTGTGATTAGAGATGATTTTCTCATCTCAGGAACAATAAGAATCAGAAGCTGAAACGGTAGTTTCAAATTCTTTATGAACTCATTGCTCCCAAAATATTTGTCAAGGAATTTGTGTTTTGAATAATTTCGGGTTAATTTTGGACTCAATTTATTGGAATTTTTTGAAGTATTTATGTATTTTCAATTAATATCCATAGGTCCTCATCTTTACATATTGATATCTAACTCACCTGGTCTGTGCCCCCAACAGCCCAGACCCTGCCTTGCAAAGAGGTTCCTGCTGGGACTTACAAATCATTTCCCCCAAGCTTCTCTAGCCCAGCATGAAATGGCTGTGTCCTGGTTTATCACACTCCTTCAGTGACACCATATGCTACTGACACGATCTCTTGAAACAACTGATTAGCCTTACTAAACCTATTGAACTCTGCAAGGAGACCCAGAGCAAGGATTCAATGACACAGAAAGGAGCCCCTTCTCTGAAGCTCCAGATTCACTTCATTAGTGGAACCAAAATGAAGACAAAAACTTACAGGAGATTTGGGAGTGCCGTGTTTCTTCACTGGGCTCTTGCAGTTGAATGTTGCATCTGAGAATACCAGCAGGTGCAGATACATTCAGATGAAAGCCCACTCCATATCCACTATTCCAATAACACACATTTTCCCTTCTTCCTAATATGTAGCTTTTAGGAAGTGCCTCCTATGCTGACACTAGGCCCAGTTATCTGACTTTCTTCTCCTAGAGATTTAAAGCAAACAGGATACAGGTGGAGACTTGGGAAGTGCATGCAGGTTGTTATTTTCACTTTCTCAGCTAGGAAACCAGCAAAGTCCCCATAATAAAAGAAGCTGAGATCTATGATGGCATTTACAAGATGTTGGTCTTAAAAATCATGATGTCAGAGGCTTCACATTGCTGTACTGCCTTTGTCTCACCCTCTGTCATTGTCTTAGTGTTTCTGTATTCTCCTCAGATAGAGTCTGTGCATTGCCACACTTTCATCTTTAATCCATAGTCATCATCCTAGTTAGAATGGATTGTGCAGTGCAGGTAAGCACTGCCTGTTCTTCCAATGGAAACCTAGAGATTCGATAGGCTTCCTCTTCTGGGCTGTGACCTTGAAAAAGCATCTCCAGGGGAAAAGCTCATTTTTGGCTGTTACTCCCTTTTGTGGTTTTGGCCTCCCTGGACTATTTACGTACATCTTACCCCTTTTGGCTAACTTTACTCATTCATATAATAATGGAAGAATGGGAGAGAATCTGGAATGGGAGATTTGTCTTCCTTCACATAGGATAAGGTTCTGGAAAAGTCATTCCCTTTAGAAGCTTTTGAAGTAGGCTCCTGGTATAGTTTTCTGTAATTAATCATCTTCATTTCATCTTCAATTCTGACCCACAGGAAATTTATTTGGATTGTATATTTTAGAATCTGGAGGTTTCTGGAGAGAAAGTCCAGAAACCTTAGAAGTATAAGACCCTCTGGAATGGTCACATTTACCGAGTCCACATTTGTCTTTCAGACGTCTATAGTGGTTACCATATAAGTGCCTTCAACAGCTTGTGGCTTCTGCAGCTCCTGCAGTTTCTGCACCAGTTAAGCAAGTGCTAACTGCAATTCTGGACATGCCCATCTCTCCAGTTTTTGGAGTGGGTAATATTTCTTGCAATTTCAGTTATTTAGTAGATTCCAAAATGTATTGACATTCAGATTATGCAGATTTATTTTGACATAAAATATGACGGTGATGAAATTTATAATCAATATTTTGGAGCATAAACCAAAAGTACAATCAAAGGTCACCTTTGATGTGTTACTGGAGGCAGAATTCTGACCTTATTACATGTAGGTGGCACATCTGACATAAATAAACAGGCAAGAAAACAGAGAAAGGACCTGGCACAACACTGTGCCATGGCACAACTCTGGTTGCCCTTAAAACTTTCTCCTTCATTTCAACCTTGGTGAATCTGACAATTATGTGTCTTAGGGTTGCTCTTCTCAGCGAGTATCTTTGTGGTGTTCTCTGTATTTCCGGAATTTGAATGTTTACTTTCCTTGCTAGGTTGCAGAGGTTCTCCTGGATACTATCATGAAGAGTGTTTTCCAACTTGGTTCCATTCTCCCTATCACTTTCAGGTATACCAATCAAACTTAGATTTTTCTTTTCACATAGTCCCATATTCCTTGGAGGCTTTGTTTGTTCTTCTTACTCTTTTTTTGTCTAAACTTGTCTTCTATTTTTATTTCATTAATTTGATCTTCAATCACTGATATCCTTTCTTCCACTTGATCAAATCAGCTGTTGAAGCTCATGCATGCATCACAAAATTATTGTGCCATAGTTTTCAGCTCCCTCAGGTCATTTAAAGTCTTCTCTACACTGTTTATTATAGTTAGCCATTCATCTAACCTTTTTTCAAGGTTTTAGCTTGCTCGTGATGGATTAGAACATGCTCCTTTAGCTTGGAGAAATTTGTTATTACTGACCTTCTGAAGCCTACTTCTATCAACTCGTCAAAGTCATTCCCATCCAGCTTTGTTCTGTTGCTGGTGAGGAGCTGTGATCCTTTGGAGGAGAAGAGATGCTCTGTTTTTTAGAATTTTCAGCATTTCTGCTCTGGTTTCTCCCCATCTTTGTGGTTTTATCTAAGCTTTGTCTTTGATGATGGTGACCTACAGATGGGGTTTTGGTATGGATGCCCTTTTTGTTGATGTTGATGCTATTCCTTTCTTTTTTTTTTTTTTTTTTTTGAGACAGAGTCTTGCTCTTGCCCAGGCTGGAGTGCAGTGGCGCGATCTCGGCTCACTGCAAGCTCCGCTTCCTGGGTTCACGCCATTCTCCTGCCTCAGCCTCCCGAGTAGCTGGGACTACAGGCACCCGCCACCACGCCCGGCTAATTGTTTTTTGTATTTTTAGTAGAGATGGGGTTTCACTGTGTTAGCCAGGATGGTCTCAATCTCCTGACCTTGTGATCCACCCGCCTCGGCCTCCCAAAGTGCTGGGATTACAGGCATGAGCCACTGTGCCTGGCCATGCTATTCCTTTGTATTTGTTCATTTTCCTTCTAACAGTCAGGTCCCTCAGCTGCAGGTCTGTTGGAGTTTGCTGGAGGTCCACTCCAGACCCTGTTTGCCTGGGTATCACCAGCAGAGGCTGCAGAACAGCAAATATTGCAGAACAGCAAATATTGTTGCCTGATCCTTCCTCTGGGAGCTTTGTCCCAGAGGGGCACCCACCTGTATGAGGTGTCTGTTGGCCCCTACTGGGAGGTGTTTCCCAGTTAGGCTACACGGGGGTCAGAGACCCACTTGAGGAGGCAGTCTGTCCATTTTCAGAGCTCAAATGCCATGCTGGCAGAACCACTGCTCTGTTCAGAGTTGTTGGACAGGGACGTTTAAGTCTGCAGAAGTTTCTGCTGCCTTTTGTTCAGCTATGACCTGCCCACAGAGCTGGAGTCTGTAGAGAGAGTAGGCCTTGCTGACCTGAGGTGGGCTCTGCCCAGTTCAAGCTTCCCAATGCAGTGGCTCATGCCTGTAATCCCAGCAATTTGGGAGGCCAAGGCCCAGGTAACAACAGTGAAACTCCGTCAAAAAAAAAAAAAGCTGAGGGGATTGAGGGGATTTCTATGCAAAGTGTGGATGGTGTGTTTTAATTTCTCCTTGCTTAATATAGTATAATGTGAGAGGAGATTGATAAAGAGGAAACTATTGGAAAATGTGGAATCAGGTATTTTATAAATAAAGAAGGTTCTCCCATCTTCTGGAAACCCCATAATCTTTTGAAAAATGAAGGAATTTTAAGATTTATTTCTACATTCTAGATACATGCCTAATATAAACTTGGATTTAAGTGCAAACAGAGATACATAGAAGATGAAAATTCTGCAGCAGATCATTTGCCAAATAGGCAGTTTTATACCAGTTTGTAATTTTACCTAAGATTCAAAAGATAAATGACAGACAGATCCAAATAATAAATTCTAACATTTCAATGCTAGACAACTGGTTGAGAGGCGCTTGAACTGACATTATTCTGATGAATCATACCTCAATAATAAAACTGTATTGAATGGTGTACCTGTTCAAGAGGCTGCTTGAGTAAATAGTTTCTACCTCCCCTACTTAGGAGTCCTGCCACAACCCAACATGCTCTAAAACCTGGGGGCCACTAAGAACAAAGACAGAAGTTTGAATATTATGAAGTTATTATGAAGTTTTTGAGAGATCCACAATCACTGATGGGGTGATTGGTGAGGGTTTTCTCTAAGGGCCTAGGCTTGGAAGAGTATGGCTCTTTGTTATGATGAACAAAGAGCTGTTTTTTTTGATGAGTAGATGGCAGCAAAGACCATCAAGGAAAATGAAGAAATGGGGAAATATGGTCCAAACAGAGGGACAACATAAAGGTCCAGAAACTGACATCAATGAATATAAAAGCATATGGATTTCTTGGCAGAAAATTTAAATATTACAATCTTGTTTAATAAGCTAGTGGCAGCATGCAAGAACACTGTGAGAATTTTAAGAGATAAAAAAATTTAAAAGAGAACTAAAAAAATTTGGTGTTGAAGAATACAGTAAGTCAGCCAAAAATTTTTAGACAGCACACTGTAGGAGAGGCTCAGGCTTTCCTTTCCCCTACAGGAGGTAGCCCTGCAATTTCCTTAGACGTGAATCACTGTTTCCTCCCACCCACCTTCTAGATTCTCTTCAGAGATTCTCCCGACTCCAGAGCTCATGTTCTCACATGTTGTGCGACTTTGGGTTAAAACACACCTGAAACATTTAATGGCTGTTGTCCTTGATCATTTGATCATCATCTGCATTTTAGTTGATGTGATTTTTTTAAACCTCAGTTTGAAGGAAAGAAAAAAAAAATCTATAGACTCTATCTAGGCCAGAATTACTTCTCTCTCTTTCCCTTGGTAGCTGCGAATGTAGCCCCAAATATGATAGGAATCAATAAACACTGCAGCTGTTACAACACTTTCTTGGTCAGCTGTTCCAACAGTATGAGAACCACGGCAGCACAATTATTTTATGGGACTAATTCTGTTCCTACTGGAGACACATTTATTCTTATGTACCAGGACCTCCAGTCCATCGCAGCCTATGATTATGGAGAAGGAAAGAAACATTCTTCAAATTTTCATCATACATGTGGCAAGAGAAACCGATATTTCTGTCCACTGCTTTCTAGACCCAGGTATTGTAGCTCCTGGCCATGGGACACTGTAGTGCTCTCTGTTTGGGGGCATTTAAGCATCCTAGAGAATAGTATTATCCCCAAAATGGCCCTTCTTTATTAAATTTCCTACTATAAAACGGAAGCATAAACTACCTGCTGTTTATCTCACATCAGACTGTGGAGACCTAAGTCAATGTTTCCATTGTTCTGCTGGGGCCTTGTTTCTGGTCAACTGTGAGGGAGAAAGAACTGCTGGATCACAGACTCTTGTTCCCGTGATCACATCTCCTGTCCCTTAACTATATCTACATCCCCTCGTGTCAGAACACATTGTGCAGTGTCTCATTCTAGGAATAAGATATTCAGTAACTTGGACAGTGACTCTAGTAGCTTCTCTATGATTAAGAAAAATACATGTGAAGATAAGAGTTAATTCTTCTAAGTATAAATGACTACCTATCAGGTTTGGGCTTTGACTAAATTTTTTAAATTGTCTCCTTATGACTGGTGGGTATCCTTACAGGGTGTAATGATTTTGTTAGACAAATGTGATATCTATCACTATCAGCTCAGGCACTCGGTGAGAGGTGCTGGTCAGTCTGGTTGGCGGTATCTGTGCTCAGCCTTTATTGTACGTTAGGGAATGTGCTGATATAAAGAGAGAGGATGCTATCACTTGTGTGGCAATAATGATTAAACTGCAGAAAATCATCGTATTATGAGGTCTCCATACCCTCCTATGCAGCAGAAGAGATTTCCCTTGCTTTCAGCTGCTGGTTTCCTTACATTAAAATTTATTGCATTTCCTTTTACTGCACATTTTTTTTAAATTCTAAGATACTGTCTGCTTATTTAATTAAAGTAAGCACCAATAAATTTTAAAATTATCAATTACCTGTATAAGAAACATAAAATGGGTGTGGTGAAGATGCCGAGTAGAGATACCAGAAAACAAAACTAATAAAGAAACACATTGTGTAAGTTTAGAGTCATCACTGAGCACTGAAACCATGAGGAGCTTGTGTTGACTTTTATATTATTGAAAGTCTATTATATTTGACATCCAGAAGGCTGATCACACCAGTGAGAAAAATCTGTAGAGTGGTCCACACAGATCAGAAATTAGAAAGTGATAAAGTCACAAACTTGCACAACCTGCAGACATTCAGTGTATTCAGCATTCAGCTCTTCCCATTTCTTCAGTAAAATAGATGGGTTACATCTGCATGGAAAATGGGACAAGTATTTTGTAAGCTGATTCTCCTGGGAAGTTGCTAATGAAATCAGTCAAGTGATGCTCTGACACAGGATTGTGAAGAGGACGTTGACCCCTGGTGGTCGCTGTCATCAACACGGGATGCTCAACGCTGGTGGGTGTCTTTGTTACTGTTTTGTTCACAAGAGATTTTAAGCTGTCATGTGCTGCATGCAGGTGAGTTTTTAAGCCTCAGATGAGGAAAATAACATGACCACACAGTAGATGAGAAAATTGAAGACCTCACTTCATCAACCACATTCCACTGATGAGACCTGTTCACACAGAGAGCCAGGGATGAGCTGGGAAGAGGAAGGGGCTGGGGAAGATCATCCATAGATGGACCCATCCAGCCTGCTTGAACTCCCTGTGGAAGGAGGGTGTAAATGTTTGTCCTCAACTGATAGCGAGTATTTCAAGACCTTCACAAGCTTTCAGAAAAACAGTTTTCATGAACAAGTGCCCATACGTTACTCAGAGATGTACTTGTCATCATTTATCCTTCCTCTCTAGGCAGCACCACAGTAGCATGTTCTCAGAATTCTCCCTGATCCTCTGTGAGTTCCTGGTGCAGCTCCTGGAGGAAAAGCCTGCATGAGGGAGAGAGCCCTCCTCAATTGCAGCCCTGAGGCTGTCCCCAAAGTGCCATCAGCTCTCCTACATCCCTCTCGAGCCTCTGCTCTCTCTCCCTTCCACCCCCACCCCTTGGACAAGCAACATCTGAAAGTCTTCCCTGCCCTCGGCTCCCAGAGCTCTCTGGCGGTGGCCTGCACTCTCCCTCAAAGCGGCCCTCCCCCAGGTCACTGTCTTCCCTTCGATGACATCACGCGCCCACCCTGCGCTCCTGCTGGGCTGAGGCCCTCGGAGCCTACTTCACCGGGTCCTCTTCTCTCTTCTCTCAAAGGCCATGGGGTTTGCCTGCGGTCCAGATGGGTTGGCCCTCTTCCCCCTGTCCTGGGTCCTTGAGTGGCCCCGCTTATTTAGGCCATCTATGAGTCACTTCTCTAACGCCCCTGTCTCCAGACCAGCTTCAGTCAAAGGCTGGGCCAGAGAAGACCCTAGTGAGAAACTTCTGATGAGCAGTGTGACCTTGCCACCTCAAGGGTACCCGCCCACCGCCCCTGGTCTAAGCACAGGTGACACCGCCTGTCTCCCCCAACCACACACACCCCTTGAGGCTCCTCCTCCAAGCCTGGGTAGGGACACTGCCCCTCCCTCACCCAGGAAGCTCAGTCTGGCTTGGGCCAGAACCGCTTTTCTTCCTAAAGCTGGAGGGATGGCCGAGGGCTTAGCTTAACGGGATAAGCCATCTGGGGACTGCAGTGTCCACGATCAGATCAGGGAGCTTGAAGTTGAGGGGGGCACACTTTACCTCCCAGGCCAGGAGAATGACCACTTCCTTCCCCACCCCACCCCCAGGCTACTCTTGCCCTAGAAAATTCTAACCAAGCTGCTCAGCTGGTGGCGGAGAGGCAGCCCAACAAGCTGGCTCTTGCTGGGTAGGCCTGGGGGTCCTGGGGAGAGGAACACGGGGTGGGTGGGGGGCGGGCAGCCAGGACCTCAGACCTGAGGCCTTTGGGGAAGGGTCTGTGCACCCGCCAGGCACCAGGGGGCAGCCTTGCCTTATTCCCGCTCCAGTCCCCTCAAGTCCGAAGCCCCTACCCACTCTCATGCCAGGCAGGGGTGGGGGCCACCGGGGTCATTTACCCGGGCCCCTTCTCTGCCTTGGTGACAAAGTGGAGCCTTGCTCATCAGTCAGGCAGGCTCCCCTCTGGCCACTGTGGAGACACAGAGGCCTGTCACCTGAAGAGCTGGTCCCAGCCTCCAGCTTCCAGGGTAGCCGGGAAGCTCTAGCCCCCAGTGGGCAGCGGTGGACAGAGCTCAAGGAAGGAGCGAGCACCGGGAGGAGACGGCTGCAGCCTGCCAGGAGCGGGGAGAAAGGGAGAGAAGGGGAGGCGGAGGGCTGAGGGGGCCCGGGGGACGTCTTCCTAGGGCTGGGAGGGGCAGGCCGGGAAGCCTGGGCCACACTAGGAGCGGGCGACCCTGGGGTGAGGGGCGGCCCGGAGCACTGCGGGAGGAGCTGGCGGCCGCCCCAGGTAGCAACCATCCTGCCTCCCGCTGGAGCGGCGACTCCTCCCCGGGAGGAGGGCAGGGACAAGGTGGGCGGACTGTGACGAGCAGGGCGGGAGGGAGAGGGGGGCCGGCCAGCCGTGGGGGTGGGGCGATAGTGACATCACCCCGGAGTCGGTTTTTAAGCGGCTGCCGGCCGGGAACCGGGAAGAGAGGAACAGTCGGAACGCGGTGGCGAGTCGCTGAGCCCGCCGCGGCCCCGAGAGCGGCTGCAGCCGCCGCCGCCCAGAAGGAGAGGGCGAGGCGCGCCTGAGCCGCCGCCGCCGCCACCGGAGTCTCGGGTGAGCCGGGCAGCCGCCGCGGGCCCCGGCCGGGGCCGGGGGCGCGGGCCACAGGCCCCTGCTCCAGCCGCCGCTTGCAGACTGCGAGCGCCGATATCGCCCGTGCCCCGCTAGGCTGAGCCTCGGGTCGGCCGAGGAGCCGTGGCAGCCGCCACCGCCCGAGCCGCGGGCAAGAGCCTCCGGAACCGCTGCCGCGGACGCCTGGCCGGGCCCCGCCGACGCCCGCGCGCCCCCGGGCCCCTGACACACAGGAGATTCTTCAGGCTCACTTTCAAGTGCTTCGTGGACTGCTTCTGACTGCGCCGCCTGTGACCCGCACCCCGCCGCTCTCCCGCCGCCCCGTCCCCCGGCCCGGCCGCCCCCCGGCCCCCGGCCGGCCCGCGCCCTCGGGGCCCTCCCCGGTGCCGCCGGTGCCCCGCGCCTGACCGCAGCCCCCCGCAGGGTGCCGCGACCCCAGCCCGGCCGTGAGGCCCGCAGGGGCCATGGCGAAGAAGAGCGCCGAGAACGGCATCTGTAGCGTGTCCGGCGACCAGAAGAAGGGCCCCCTCATCGCGCCCGGGCCCGACGGGGCCCGGGCCAAGGGCGACGGCCCCGCGGGCCTGGGGACACCCGGCGGCGGCCTGGCCGTGCCGCCGCGCGCGATAGACCTGGACGCGCCAGATGGACTTCATCATGTCGTGTGTGGGCTTCACCGTGGGCCTGGGCAACGTGTGGCGCTTCCCCTACCTGTGCTACAAGAATGGCGGAGGTGAGCTCCCCCGCCCCCCGCGGCCCCCTCCCCCAGCAGGCCGCCGGCCCCTGACGCCCGACCCCCAACCCCCGGAGCCGCCGCGGAGGGGTGAAGTCCGGGCAGCGGTTGGCCCCTGGGCACGCGGGGTCGGGGCCGCCCCTGGTCCACCGCTGCTGCTCGGTGGCTGGGCCGTCCGCCTCCACCCCTCTCGCAGTCATGTGCCTGGCAGGGTGAGGGGCGGGGGCCGGCGATGCCCGCGAGGCTGCCCCCCAGACTCCTGGGCTGGAAGGAGCGATTGGCCGCCGAGGTGGGAAAGCAGGCCTGCGCCTTGGGGTCTCCTCGAAGTAAGGAGCCCTGGCTGCCCCTGCGGGTCGGGCACACAAGCGGCACATTGTGTGGGCCCCCCACGTGTGCACACACACGAACACACACACAATGGGCCACTCTGTCCCTCTCCCTGCCCTCCCCTCCCCTCGCAGCCCTCCCGCTCCTCCCCTCTGGCCCGGGCCTGGAACACTGGGTACCTGAGCCAGGCTTGGGAAGCCTGTGGCCTGGCCCGCCTGGCGCCGCCACTGGAAACACTGCATGCACGTCCCATGCCCGCCCGCCTGCCCGGGCCCAGCTTAGCAAGAGCGATGGGCACGCGTGTGTCCTGTGACTACAAAACAGCACTGGGGTTTCTGGAAGCCGAAGTGACCCAGTGATGGGTGGGAAACAGAGGTCCAGAGCAAAGGCCTTTGCCCAAAGTTAGGAGAAGGATGCTGGGACCTGGAGTCAGGCAAGTTGCAGCCAAGCTCGGCCTCTGAGTAGTGGAGCGAGCCCAGCCAGGGCAAGGGTAGGAGGCCCAGAGAGGAGAAGGGGGTAGTGGCACCCAGCTCTCCCTGCCCTTTTGCCACCCCCACCCCAGCCTGCTGGCCAGGGCCTGTGCCATGCCCTGCCTATCTCCTGTAGAGCCTGACTCCCTGGGCTTGCTAAGGCCGGCCTGGCCCCTCTTCCCGCACCTGTATCCCTCTGTCCTTGCACGTGGCCATCCCACCAGCAGGGGACTGTGACCCACCCGCCCTCTGCCTTGGACCTCACACTTGCAGGCAAGCGTCCAAGTGCAGGACAGTCGCGCTCCCTGCCTTTGGATGAGCCCCTCAGGCCTGATCACCCAGCCTTGGCGCACATGCACACACGCACGTGCCCTCACTGTGCTGCCTGAAACAGGGAATTGCGGCACTAGGGACAGGCTGCGTGTCTGAGCGTGCGTGTCCTCCATGGCCATCACCCCAAGTGACCGTGGGGGTGGAAGCCCTGTGGGCCTAGTGCCTCTCTGCCACCCAGGGAATAGGACTTCAATGGCCCAGGGGCTACTGTAGCACCTCTTCAACACACTGAACCCAGCCCCTCAAGACCCTACGTGGGGCCCGAGTCAGTGGCCACCCCTACACTGACTCACCCAGTGGGAAGTTGTGATGGGGCCTTTGGAGTCTGGGCTGGCCCGCTGGGCCTGGGCAGCCTGGCTGGGGGCCACCCTGAGTCCACCCTGTGCCTCCACCCCCAGGTGTGTTCCTTATTCCCTGCATCCTGATAGCCCTGGTCGGAGGAATCCCCATTTTCTTCTTGGAGATCTCGCTGGGCCAGTTCATGAAGGCCGGCAGCATCAATGTCTGGAACATCTGTCCCTTGTTCAAAGGTGAGCAGCCCTTGGCCAGCCTCAGGGACTGCCCCCTTTTCCCAGCTGGCTCCCACTTGAGAAATCTTTTCCTGTCCTGAGCACCAGGCCTGGGGCCACGTGATGGCATCCCAGTCTCGAGGGGGGAGCCTGGAGGAGATGTTCAGGCCGCACAGTGAACTTGGGGAAGCAGGGACTAGAGGGGGCATAGGCAGCTCCACAAGGCAAGGACAGGCCAGGCATAGCCGGGCTGGGGATGGGACCTGCCCAGCACACTTGGCTCTCTAGGTAGGTCCTACTATTACTGTCCCCAAGGACGCTGGGGCACAGACAGGTGGAGCGACGTACTGAGGTTGCCCACTACGGGGGCAACTGTCTCCAACACTACCTCAGGCTACTAGAAACTCCCCCCCTCCCCACCACCACCACCACCAGCTGCTGAGGACTGGAGCTACTGGGTGGCCAGGTGGAGGCTTGGACCTCCTGGAACCGCCATGGTGGCAGTGGGACCCACAGAAGGGGCCAGGTGTGTAAGGCTGGAGACTCAACAGCACTTGGTCAGATGGGGACAGGAGGAGAGGGGCTCGCTCTGCCTTGGGTCTAGGGGGCGGCTGGAGGAGAGGAGAGAGGCTGGGGAGTCAGCCCAGTGTTGGGGCTCACACAAGGGGGAGTCCAGGGGAGTCAGGAGCACCACAAACAAGGCTCCAGAAGGACAGACGGTGGGAGCACTGCCAGCCTGGGTGGGGAGATAAAGGGGTGGCAGGGGAGGTGGCCAGGAAAGAATCTACATGGCAAGGACTTCCCGGCCCCAGGCCTGGGCTATGCCTCCATGGTGATCGTCTTCTACTGCAACACCTACTACATCATGGTGCTGGCCTGGGGCTTCTATTACCTGGTCAAGTCCTTTACCACCACGCTGCCCTGGGCCACATGTGGCCACACCTGGAACACTCCCGACTGTGTGGAGATCTTCCACCATGAAGACTGTGCCAGTGCCAGCCTGGCCAACCTCACTTGTGACCAGCTTGCTGACCGCCAGTCCCCTGTCATCGAGTTCTGGGAGTGAGTCCAGCACCTCTGGGCCAAGCCCATCCCATCCCCCAGGTCTCCCTCATGTTGCCTGGCTCCAGGGGAATGGCCCTGAGAGGGGACCAGGGTGTTTCTTGGCAGTCCCTCCTGGACCCTGCCTGCCCTTGTCTGCCCTCGGAGAGTCCTGGGGCCAGCCCCAGGGGCTGCGCCAGGTCAGCCTTGCTCCTGGGTTCGGCAGCCTATCACTGTCCTGGTCACTCCCGCCTGATGGGGGAGCTGGGGCTGCATGTGGGGTGGGATGGGAGTGGCCTCCCAAAGGCCAGGGGCTCGTGGGCTCCAGGCCCAGCCCAGATGGACAAGAGGGCCCACTGAACCCTGGGCTGTGGGAGAGAAGGGAGCCACGACTCCTGGGGGTGGACCCTGTGGCTCCATCCTCTGCTGGCACAGGCCTCATGGGACCTCCCTCCCTCCCCTAGGAACAAAGTCTTGAGGCTGTCTGGGGGACTGGAGGTGCCAGGGGCCCTCAACTGGGAGGTGACCCTTTGTCTGCTGGCCTGCTGGGTGCTGGTCTACTTCTGTGTCTGAAAGGGGGTCAAATCCATGGGAAAGGTACCACTAGAGGCATGCAGGGGGGAGGGTGGCTCAGCCCTGGGAGCTGGATGTCTGTGCCAGGCACACCCGTGGCAACGGGAGGTGACCAGACAGAGTCTAGCCCTAAGGAAGGGGGAGGTACTGAAAGCCAAGCAACACTCCCCACCCTGCAAATCCAGGGCCCAGCAGCCTTTGCTCCTGTGGGGAGAGGCCCCAGCAGGCACTGTCCCTTCCCTGTGCCCATCACCCCCACCGGTGCCCTCCTGCCAGTCTCTGACTCTTGTGACAGTCTGCTGGACCTGGTCTGGCCATCTGTTACCTGCCTATCTTGCCTTGGGGACACAGAGCAGAGTCTGGCCACATCCCTTGGGGGCTCCTGGTCAGGCTGGGGAGTCACCTGAACAAAGAAGACAATGTCCAGAGCTGTGGGACATGGCCAGCTCCCTGGGGGACAAGGTCCCCAGAGCAGCATGTGGGAAGAGGGGGCAGACAGTGTGGCAGCCGCATCTTGCCTGCCTCTGCCTGGCCCAGTTCCACTCTTCACCTGCTCAGCCCCGACCTCTCTCCAGAAGAGGAGGGGGGCCCGGCCCTGATCCAATATCCCGCTCCCTGCCTGGGCCTCCCATGCGTGCACTGCCCACACACTCACACAGCTCTCACTCCCCACATGCTCCATGCCTCCTGTCCCCACTGAGGAGAGCTCCCAGAGGCTCGCCCGCTCCCCACTGACATGCATCCCTGCAGACAAACGAGGCGCCCAGAGAGCTTCCCCACTGCACTTGCCAGGGCTGCCGGGGCCCAGCCTTGCCCCTAGCTTCCTCTGGCGGGAGCTATGGCTCGGAGGAGAATGGGGACCTCTGAACATACCTGCCCGCAAGGGGGACCGGAGGTGCTCGGAGTGGGCTTGTGAGGGAGGTGGTGCCGCAGTCCCCGCTGAGCAGCCTGGCCCCCCAGATCGTGTACTTCACTGCTACATTCCCCTACGTGGTCCTGGTCGTGCTGCTTGTGCTTGGAGTGCTGCTGCCTGGCGCCCTGGACAGCATCATTTACTATCTCAAGCCTGACTGGTCAAAGCTGGGGTCCCCTCAGGTGAGGTGGAGGTGGGGAGGCTGCAGCAGGGTGTTGTGGGGGAGCCCTGCAGGCCCCTCATGCCTGCACTCTCCAGCCCTCCTCTAGGTATGGATAGATGTGGGGACCCAGATTTTCTTTTCTTATGCCATTGGCCTGGGGGCCCTCACAGCCCTGGGCAGCTACAACCGCTTCAACAACAACTGCTACAAGTAAGCACTGCTGCCCTGCCACCCGTGCCCTGTCCCGCCCTGCCCTGCCCAGCAGCCTAACCCATCCACTCTGGCCCCTCCACCCCTCCGGGACGCCATCATCCTGGCTGTCATCAACAGTGGGACCAGCTTCTTTGCTGGCTTCGTGGTCTTCTCCATCCTGGGCTTCATGGCTGCAGAGCAGGGCATGCACATCTCCAAGGTGGCAGAGTCAGGTAGGGCCCTACCCCCAGCCCCGCCTCCAGAGCAGCAACTGCCACCCAGATGCATGATGTACAAGAACACGCAATAGAAATGCTGAAAAGTGATGAGGATTCAAACAGAACTTCTCAGATTGTGGGCCTGTGGGGGCAGGTCCTGGGATTTTTCAATGTTGACAGAGACAGGACCTCCCAGCCCCTGCTGCATGACCCAGGGTTGACAGCACCTCAGAGGCAGGCGTGGGCATGGGCGTGAGTGTTGCAGGCAGGGCTCAGGGTGAGCGCAGGGCACGACATCGGCTGCAAGGTCTAGAGCCTGCACCTTTCCCACAGGGCCGGGCCTGGCCTTCATCGCCTACCCACAGGCTGTCACACTGATGCCAGTGGCCCCACTCTGGGCTGCCCTGTTCTTCTTCATGCTGTTGCTGCTTGGTCTCGACAACCAGATTTGCATGGGGCTCTGGGACAGGGAGCCAGGAGAGGGGCGGAGTGAGGGCTGCGGGCAAGGAAAGGGGTGGAGGGTGGTGCGGGGCTCGGCCTGAGCTAGCCTGGCCACAGTTTGTAGGTGTGGAGGGCTTCATCACCGGCCTCCTCAACCTCCTCCCAGCCTCCTACTACTTCTGTTTCCAAAGGGAGATCTCTGTGGCCCTCTGTTGTGCCCTCCGCTTTGTCATTGATCTCTCCATGGTGACTGATGTGAGTGGGGTGGGGGGTCTGCCTGTGACTTCTGGTGGCCGTCTGCCATCCTCCCTGACTGGGCTCTGTCCCCCAGGGTGGGATGTATGTCTTCCAGCTGTTTGACTACTACTCAGCCAGCGGCACCACCCTGCTCTGGCAGGCCTTTTGGGAGTGCGTGGTGGTGGCCTGGGTGTATGGTAGGTCATGGCTGAGGGCTGGGCTGGGGCATGGTGGTGGGGAAGGCAGGTCTCCAGCTTGGCCCTCCCGCCTCGCCTTGCCACAGGAGCTGACCGCTTCACGGACGACATTGCCTGTATGATCGGGTACCGACCTTGCCCCTGGATGAAATGGTGCTGGTCCTTCTTCACCCCGCTGGTTTGCATGGTAAGGGCTGGGGGAGGTGGGGCGGGGTGGGGGGGGCGGGGGGGGTGGGGGCCCCATTAACCACGGCATTCTGGTCTGTAGGGCATCTTCATCTTCAACGTTGTGTACTACGAGCCGCTGGTCTACAACAACACCAACGTGTACCCGTGGTGGGGTGAGGCCATGGGCTGGGCCTTCGTGCTGTCCTCCATGCTGTGCATGCCACTGCACCTCCTGGGCTGCCTCCTCAGGGCCAAGGGCACCATGGCTGAGGTAAGGCTCCCTCCCGGCCTGCCCTCCCCTCCCCTGCTATGAACATTCAACCCAGCCTGCTTCCTAGCCAAGGAGTGGCCCTGACTAGGGTGGCAGGCAGCAGGAGCTGGAGAGAGGCAGAGGAAGTCACCGTGGGGATGAGCAGGTGACTCTGGGGGCTTCAACATGTCCTCTCCTGCAGTGCTGGAAGCACCTGACCCAGCCCATCTGGGGCCTCCACCACTTGGAGTACCGAGCTCAGGATGCAGATGTCAGGGGCCTGACCACCCTGACCCCAGTGTCCGAGAGCAGCAAGGTCGTCGTGGTGGAGAGTGTCATGGGACAGCTCAGCTCACATCACCAGCTCACCTCTGGTAGCCATAGCAGCCCCTGCTTCATCCCCACCCCACCCCTCCAGGGGGCCTGCCTTTCCCTGACGCTTTTGGGGTCTGCCTGGGAGAGGAGGGGAGAAAGCACCATGAGTGCTCACTAAAACAACTTTTTCCATTTTTAATAAAACGCCAAAAATATCACAACCCACCAAAAATAGATGCCTCTCCCGCTCCAGTCCTAGCCCAGCTGGTCCTAGGCCCCGCCTAGTGCCCCACCCCCACCCACAGTGCTGCACTCCTCCTGCCCCTGCCACGCCCACCCCCTGCCCACCTCTCCAGGCTCTGCTCTGTAGCACACCCTTGGGTGACCCCTCACCCCAGAAGCAGCAGTGGCAGCTTGGGAAATGTGAGGAAGGGAAGGAGGGAGAGACGGGAGGGAGGAGAGAGAGGAGAAGGGAGGCAAGGGAGGGGCAGCAGAACCAAGACAAATATTTCAGCTGGGCTATACCCCTCTCCCCATCCCTGTTATAGAAGCTTAGAGAGCCAGCCAGCAGTGGAACCTTCTGATTCCTGCGCCAATCACCACCAATATCAATTGTGTGAGCTTGGGTGTGAGTGCACGCGTGCGTGAGCACGTAGAGTATATATAGATCTCTATCTCTTAGCAAAGGTGAATACCAGATGTAAATGGTGCCTCTAGGCAAAGGAGGCTTGTATTTTGCACATTTTATAAAAACTTGAGAGAATGAGATTTGTGCTTGTATATTTCTAAAAAGAGGAAGGAGCCCAAACCATCCTCTCCTTACCACTCCCATTCCTGTGAGCCCTACCTTACCCCTCTGCCCCTAGCCTAGGAGTGTGAATTTATAGATCTAACTTTCAGAGGCAAAACAAAAGCTTCGAGCTGTTGCATGTGCGAGTCTGTTGTGTGGATGTGTGTGTGTGGTCCCCAGACCCAGAATGGATTGGAAAAGTGCATGGTGGGGGCCTCGGGGCTGTCCCCACGCTGTCCCTTTGCCCACAGGTCTGTGGGGCAAGAGGCTGCAATATTCCATCCTGGGTGTCTGGGCTGCTAACCTGGCCTGCTCAGGCTTCCCACCCTGTGCCCTGGGCTGGGCACAGCCCCAGGAAGGGACCCCGGACACGGCTCCCACATCCAGGCTCAAGGCGGATGCACTTCCTGCACCTCCAGTCTTCTGTGTAGCGGCTTTAACCCACGTATGTCTGTCACGTCCAGTCCCGAGACGGCTGAGTGACCCCAAGAAAGGCTTCCCTGACACCCGGACAGAGGCTGGAGGGCTGGGGCTGCGTGAGGGTGGTGGGCCTGCGGGGACATTCTTACTGTGCTAAAAAGCCACTGCAAACATAGCAATAAAAACCTGTCATTTTCCAAAGCAGGCCTCTGCTTCTGCCTCTGCTGCTCTAAGGGGTCGAGGTGCAGGAAGTAGGGGGAACCTCCTCCAGCTGGAGCTGCTGTGGTGGGCAAGGCTCTACTCTGGAGGCCTCTGAGGCCAGCACCCTTCTGGGGACTGGGAAGGGAGCAGGGAAGGCAGCAGCCCAGGGAAAACCTTGTCCCCCTGGAGCCGAGGCACCTGGGGAGAGCAGGATGAGAGAGCTGGAGAGCAGCCACACCCACGGGGAAGGATGGGTGTAAAGCCATGGGTGCTGAAATTTTCAAAATGTTACCCCAAGAATTTGTCACTGAACAGGTGCCTTGTGTCACTTGGGCCAGGCTGATAGCAGCAGAGGGGATAACTCTTTGCATCAGGGATCAATTTTGAAGGTGGAGCCAGTAGGGGTTGTGCATGACCAGGATGCAGGGCTCAAAGAGGAGTTAAGGACAACAGATTTGGCCTGAGCAAGAGGAAAGATGGAGCTGCCAGGTCCTGCAATGGGGAGGCAAGGAGAGAATGGTCCGGAGTCAGCCTTGGGTGTGTCATGCAGGAAGTGTCATCCAAGTGGAGATGTCTAGTTGGCAGGTGGACACAGGAGTTCCAGAAAGTACTGGAGATGGAACTTTGCAAGTTCTTACCACATAGAGATGACACTGAAAGCCCTGAACCTGGGTGAGCTCACAGGGACGCCGCAAGTCCCGGGACACAATGAGAGGGGCAGAGGGAAGATGCGGCAGCAATGGGGGAGGATGCCTGAGAGCTCCTGGTGGGGTCCTGCAACCTGAGCCAGTGAGGACCCCTCACAGGTCAGGGAGGAGCAGTGGCTGGCTCCATCTGTCCAGTGCTGCTGCTGCTGCTGCTGCTGGTGAAGGACAGTGACCTGCAAATGCTCACTGAGTCTGGCAAGGGTCACAGGGGCCTGGTGAGGGTGGCTTGCATGAGGGGTTGCGTGTGAAAGGCTGGTTGGTGTGCGATTGAGAAAAGGAGTGGTGGCAGCCCATTGTCATCTGCAGACGAAGGGAGAGACAACAACATAGTTTACCCAGACAAGGAAATATGAGCCGGCCTGGAAAGGGAAGGCACTCCAACACACGACACAACATGGCTGACCCCTGGAGGGCATTTCTGTGAAATGATCCATCATAAAGAGACACTTGCTATAGGGTTCTGCTCCTGAGAGAGAGACAGGGCCTTACATGAGAGGAGGGAGATCCACAGAGACAGAGGGCAAGGGTGGGTGCCAGGGGCTGGGGACAGGGTGGGGAGTGTTGAGTGGGGACAGAGTGTCAGTTTGAGAAAATAAATTCTAGAGGTGGACGGAAGAGGTGGCTGCGCAACACTGTGGCTGCACTTAATGCCACTGAATTGCACACTTAACGATGGTGAAAATGGCTCATTACATATACATTGATGACACTATATATATGTGTGATATACATGCGTTTTACCATGAGAAGAGGCGGAGAGGAATTGAAGACAGTGAGTACAGACAGGTCCTTCAAGGGGCGGGACCCATGCACAAGATGAGCATGTGGCACCCCACCCTGAAAGGGCTGGGCACGATGGCAGGGCACAGCAGGCAATGCAGTGGGTGGCTCAGGCAAGCACAGAGAGCATCAGGGATTGGAGCCTGTGAAGGGGGAGCAGGTGACCCCTCAGAGCAAAGTGACAGCTTGGGCTGCTCCCTTTGCGTCCTGCCCAGGACTGCTATCGTGCTATGGGAGAACCCCCAGAGGCCCTGCTCCTCAGCAGGCAGCACCCCCTATGGAGGGGCTTTACCCCTAAACTTCTGGAGCCAGGAGAGGGACCTGGCTTAGAATACGGCCAACCAAGAGCCTGGGTGAGAAATACATGGACCAGACAGGGAGCAGAGAAAGGAGTGGCAGCGCAGTCCCACCCTAGCTCAGCTGGGGGCTCTGGAGCCTGCTCTGGCCCCCATCTCTTCGGCAACCACTGTTTCTAGTTTTCTTTTTCTCCCCGAGAAGCCTGTCCTCTCACCATGCCTGTGCCTTCAAGAACCCCACCTGGCTGGCAGCTCCCAGATCTCCAGCCTGGCCCTCCTTAGCTGCAAAGGTGCTTCCCAACGTCGGCAAGACCTCTCCCTAGGGTGCCCCAGGCCTTCACACAGCCCCTGTCTCCAACCGACTCCAACTGTCCTGCAGCCCACGGTCACCCTCAGGACCCCTGAGCTCAGGCCAACTGCTTTATACACTGTCAGCCAGGTCTCTGCCTGGATGACAATCACCCTCTGCTAATTGTTCTCCACACCTCCAGGCCAAATGCCCTCCAAGCCACCTCATGCACCACAATGACACCAAACACACAGAAAAAAGACATTGAAAAAAGGAAACTTCACAGAAGCATGTCATTTAAAGTGGGTTCTGAAATGGAGACACCATTACCTCAGGACTTAGCTCCCGCATGAGGGGTTAGGACACAGAGATCAACAAGCAGCAGGCTTTGCCCTCAAGCAGCTCACAGTCTAGTGGAAGATGGGTAAGAAAACAGATCAGGATGCCCACGGGTGCAGATGCCCTGGAACAGAAGCTGATCCAGGAAAGCGCAAGCCTGCAGGCCGCCCTCCAGTCTAGGCTGGGCAAGCACCTCAATTTTCATCTCTAAGAGCCTGTGCCCACACCCCCGCCCCAATGTTGTTCCATCACTCCACTAGAAAGGGCGCTCCAGAAGCTGGCCTCGTGCAGCTTTCTGTCTGCTGCTAGCCTAGGCAGAACAGCGGAAGAAGCCATCAGGGCTGGTGAGGGAAGCACCCATTTGGACTTTAGCCTTTCAAAGCTCAGAGAAGGGTGAGCTCAGGGAGGCCCAAGGTAGCCGAGAACACTTCCTGGAGAAGTGGTATCAGCCTTCGGCCTTGGCACAGCAACCAGAGGGTATTGCCCACGTGTCCCCTACTCCCTCAGACACCACCTCTCAGACCGCCTGGAAAGGGACAGAACTTGTCACGAGGCAGCTGTGCTCTGAGCACAAGGGAAGGGCGACAGGATGCTAGAGAAGGGAACCACTGGCCTGGGCCTGGGCAGGGCAGGCAGAAGCAAGCATGCACAGCAGGCCATCAGCTACCCTGCCAGCATCAACATCCTTCAGGGGTCCCCCCAGTTCCAGGAGACACACCTCTAACCTGCTCCCCTGACCCTTCCGCCCAGTCCTCATGCAGACACCAGGCATGGCAGAGGCCCTGCAGGGTGGGAGCACTGTGCTGCGGGTGGGGACTGCCTTCCTCATGTGCTACTGGAGAGCAGCACAGTGCAGGGGCCTGGGCACTGGCGCCAGGCAGGAAGCCTCGGTTCTGGCCTGGCTTGCTGTGGGCCTGGAAGACACAGCTTTGAGGGAGCCACGGGAGGGACGCCCTGGAGCCAGCACCAGCACAGCGCTCTGGTGGCAGGCACACACCCAGCACGTTCTCAGGGCCAAGGGCCCCAGCCCCTTTCTGCCTAGCTCTGCCCTGGGCCAGCTCCAGGTCACTGCCAAGGACAAGTCTCCTCTCCCAGCTGGCATTAGTCAGAGGTCATCCTGCAAACCTTCAGGAGGGGGTGGGGCAGGGAGTGACTAGTGGCATTCTGCCACGTTCTGTCTGTCCCAAATGTGACGAACAGGAACCCAGAGAAGGCAAGCGAGTCCTCTACCCAGAAGCCCTGCCGGTTTACTGAGCCTCCCAAGCTGCCCACACCCAGGGAGGCAGACAGGACACACACTCGGTGGGTGGCCCTGAAGCGAGGCCTGGCCCAGCCCGGGGAGCAAGAGGACAGAGAGGGCAGGGCCTTTGAGAACAGGTGTGAGCCTGGCCTTCAGTGGTGGAAACAGGTTGAAGGCCTGTGGCCCCTTGGGGGCTCCAGGCAGGAAAGAAAGCAGAGCCCTCTCCATGGCCACAGTCACACACCGCACCACATACACACCATGACAACTTTTATTGCCCTCAAGAGAAACTCCAGTCCACCTGCTCCACCCACCCTCCTGCGGGACCAAAGAAAACACCCAGAGGGCAAAACAAAAAAGGGCTCAAACCAACAGGAAGTCAGCCCCACCGCAAGCCAAACTACAACTAACTCGTGTCCTCCACGCTCAGGCGTGGAAGCCAGGGCTGTGCCAGGCCTGGCCAGGCCAAGCAGGATAACAGCAAATGCATTCTGAACGTGTAGCAATCAGGTACCCTGTAATGTGCTTGGAGAGTGTGGACAAGGGCCAAGATGACGAGCTATGAGCTGTGGAAGGGAATGGGGGAAGTGAAGGGCACAAACAGAAGTACTGGAGGGAGAGGCTGGGCTCTCAGGAAGCAGCAGGCACGTGCCAGGTGGAAGCCAGCTGCAGGCCAGGGAGGAAGGAGGCCCTTACTCTTTCTTCTTGTCCATGGGACCAACTACTGTAGCCTGGAAAGGGACAGAAATCCCACAGCAGTAGGTTGGCCAGGTCCACTCCTCCCCTGCCATCTCCAGCCCCCTGCCCCAGAGGTCCAGCTCGGTTCCCCTCTCTCCTAATGAGAGCTATTCAAGTGAGCAAGGGGCCCCCTCCCCGGCTACACCCAAAGGCCTGCCAGGGTAGGAGCATCAGCCCTGGCCCACACTCTAAGGAAAGCCCTGGACCTAACGCCAGCCAGGGAGGACTGCCAGGACCTCACTGGGGGCTGAGTCCTGGCTGCAGGGAACAGCAAGGTATCCAGTACCCTTCAAGACCTGATCAGGCCCTTCCCAACTCTGCACACCTTTGACAGGTGCCCTCGAAGCCCAAGTCCCATCTGCCAAGCCTGCCCTATACAGAGGGCATGGGTGCCCTCTTTGAGGCTGGACCCTTCCTCCCCACCTGCTGTGGTGCCCAAACTTGGGCCACCAAGCACTGAGGCCAGCTGTCCAAAGTTAGGAGTATTTATGTGGCCCTCACTCCCAACGTCAAGACCGCCTGGCTTCCAAATGCGGCCTGGTGCACCCAAGCTAGTCTGAGGACTTGGATCAGGCCTAGGGCAGCAGGTGATGGCCACAACTAGTGCCTGCTAGGGGAGGTGCCTTTTTGACACCTTGTGCCCTTACTTGCCCAGGGATCTTTGCCCTATGTCACCCCCCAGCACTCTAGGAAAGAAGGCCAGCAGTGGGTCCCAGAGTTTCACCTGCTTCTTTGTTCTTGACTGGGCCCCAAACCATGGAATGAGCCTGAGCACGAAGATAGGAAGGCTTAGAGCCTAGTGAGCCAGTGCCACTCCTGAGGGCTGCCTCGGCAAGTGTCTACATCTGCTGCCAGGCCACCCCTCTCCTGCCCGGTGAATGGTCCCACTCGGTAGGGCAGAGGTGGCCAGGGGGAGTGGGGGAGAGGGCAGCCGGCCCCTGGGCCCCTGGAAGGTTCCCTCCGCACCCGCAGGGGCTGCCTCATCCTGCTCTGCTTTCCTGCCCTGGGCGCAGCGATACGTGAGGGCTGACCTGCAGCTTTGCGTGCTCCTACTGCAAGCGGTCGTACTCCTTGGTGAGGCCCTCAGACTGCTTCCGCATGGCCAGAACCTGGTTTTCAGCTTTCTCTAGTTCTTGAAATGATGTAAATGACCAAGAAAACAGAAATGAAAAGACAGGAATCGGGGGTAAAAACCCAGCTTCTACAGACACCAGAAACTGGCCCAAATCTATCTCAAACGAGGTTATACAGGAGCCTACTTCTCAAAATAAAACCGCTCTGCTTTTGCAGGCCCCCAAAGTAGAGGGAAAGGCTGACAAAAAAGCTCAAGATAAAGCAAAAGAAATACAGAGGACATCCCCCAGTCCCTTTAATGGAGGGGAACTCTAGTGGCTCTCGGCAAGGGTAACCTCCAGGGAGGCTGAGAGTGGGAGACAGGGAACAAGATCCCAGCCTGAAAGCGAGACCCAATGACAACCATGCCTTGCAGACAGCAGCAGCAGGCGAGGCCTGTGGTATTGTGGGAAAACGCCCCAGACTTAAGTCTATGCATGGGAGACCAAAGACAGGCAGGCCGCCTGGGAGCTGCCCACTCCGCTCCTGAACACCACTCCCACACTCCCCTCATTCTAAGCCCCCAGGCAGGCTGGGGCTACCGTGCCACACTCTGGATGGGAAAGCCCCAGCGTGCACTGCTCTAGCGCAGGGCAATCGAGTCCCACCAACTGCAGCCTGGTTCCTCCTGAGCCCCATTCAAACCACTTAGCCTCACTGGCCTGCCGGCTAAGCATGGCTGCATTGGGGTTGGAGGCATAGGGTGCTATTTGTTTGTTTTCACACAGCCCTCGAGCATGCGTGCAAGGCTTGTTACTAGTACTTTGGCACAAAATGGGCAGCAGCGGGCAGAGGACGCTCCTCTGGACTTCCCTGCGGGGAAGGACATGAGGTCAAGCCTCACTTTGCTTAGTGCTGGCCAGCTCATCCTTTAGCTTCTGCAGCTCAGCCTTCAGGCTCCTGTTCTCTTCCTCCAACTTCACCTCAGCATTCCCGACATCCAACTTGCCTCCGTCAACAGCAGCTCACTGGGAAAAGTGCCAAAGGTCAGGGTTACTCAGGAGGGAGGGAGGGAGAGGTTCCAGCCCCATCCTCCCCACCAAGCTGCGGTTCCTCAAGCTGCCCTGGCCACTCGCCCCTTCGGAAATGTCAACGCGGAACAGAGCCACCACTTGCTCCCAGCTCTTAGGCAAAGGCCAGGGCGTGGCTGCCCGCCAAGGGGAAGAGAAGCGCCAGTGGGGCCACCTGCTGCAGCTCGCCGGGCACGCCTTGCCTGCCCTGGCCCCTGGCCCTGCCTCCTTCCCGAGCAGCAGGGCTCAGCAGCTCCATGGTGCTCACCAACCCCTCCGCGGATGGCGGTGCCTTGTGCTCTCTACACGGTGCCACTCACTGCAGTCAGGGGCCCCCAGTCGGCCTGGCCAGCTCTATCCCACCTCTGCATCCACATCCCTCCGAGCTTGCCTTGCAGCTCACCTCCTGACAGGACTTCTAAGACTGGCCAACTACCCTGGCCCCACCTCCTCTCCAGCACTGAGGGATGCCACAGACCCCGAGTTCCAGAGGGGGTGCGGCAATCTTGCAGGGAACAATGGCCTAGCTGAGGGCTTTTGGTTCACAGCAGAGGGCCTGGCTCACTGAGGGGCCATTTTTCTCAGGGAAGGGTCTGACTGGAAGCAATGGATGGAAACGTGAGCAGCAACACCCTCCTCCTCACCAGGACCCCCACACACAGACGTCTCCAGCAGGCATACTCTCCCCACTGAGGACTTCCCCTCTGTGCCTCCACCCAACTCTGGCTTTTCAGGCACATTTCCCAGGGTGATAGGCTAGCAGTGGCCACTGAGGCCCTAAAGAATATGGCTCCTGCAGTATAACACCAGGACGCCCCATGGTGGGTCGAGAAACTGGACTCACCTTCTTGAGCTGGTCATTCTCCGTGTACTTCTTGGCCGCCTCACTAGCACTCTCCATCTGCTTTTTAAAGGCTTCATTGGAGGCCAACAGTGTGGCCTGCTGCAAGATGAGAGTCACCAGGCATCTAAGCAGGCGTGATTATTTACAAAAAGAAGGGAGAAGTGAGAAAAAGTGCATGAAGGGCTGGCAGGAGCACCTCCTGGTTGCTGCCACTCAACACCTGGCTCCAGCCTGGACCTGCCCTCTTGCCAAGGCAGCTGAGCGAGAAGCCGCCAACCTGGTGCTGGCAGCGTGAGGGAAAAGGTGGAGCCCAGGAGCTGTCCTCTGCCACTGTGCCCAACGGCCACCCTCAGCTCTGGGAGGGGCTGGAAGCAGGAGCCTGGGGGCTGGGAAGAGCCTCGATACAGCATGAGGTCCCGGAACGTGGCACTTTCCGGGTCAGGGCCTAGACGTGCCAGACAAGCCACAGCACCACCTTCCTCCCCTCAAGGCTGGGCTTGCCTTGGTAAGGTAACGAGAGAAGCTAATCAATCTGAGCACTTCCAACATGCCAGGCCGCATCCTCACATCTACCTGATGAGGAAGTTACTATCACTGCCCCAGCTTATAGAGAAGGAAACTGAAGTTCAGCAGCGTAAATCAATGTACCCAAGGCCAAAAACCAGAAACGGACATGGCTGGAATTCCAAATTATGTCTGCCTGACTCCAGAACCTGAGCTTGGAACTACTCTACTCTCTAAACTAACAGGGAACGGCTCCCAGGTCCCAACGTGAGATAGAACTCTCTTCTCTGGCCAGCCTCCTTCCCAACCCATCATTCAGGCTGCACTGGAACACATCCGTTATGTAACAGCACCCCAAACGAGGTCTTCTTGGGCTGGAGGGTGTACAGGAATCAGGACACAGGCACACGCTGCCTATCTGAAGAAGCCAGGAGAGACAGGCAAACACGTGGCAGCTGGAGGCAGATACTAGTCCCCAAACAGAGATTGGAATGGCCACTTCATTTCCCTTGGTTCACCCTTGCCCCGAGATGTTAGCTGGCAGGAAGAGAGGAGGGAAGGACTAGTTCAAACAGTCAAAACAAGGCAGGGGTTCCTTTCTCACACACCTCAGAAGGCAAGGGTCACACAGGGCCTGGGGGAAGGAAGAGACAAATCTGCTTAGTCCAGGGTGCTTCAACAACAGCTTACTCAGAAGAGTCAAAGTGGCCTCCTGCCCCAGCCAGGCCTTCACACTTCGCAGCCTCTGCTCATGGCCAGGGGCTGCCCGGAAGGGCTGGAGAAAGTAGAGAGCAGACAAGGTGAGCTACCTCCCTGGCCCAAGCCATGGCTATCCAGGGCCTCGGAAGAGCCCCTTTCGAGATGTACTCAGGACAGAAAGTACCCACCCAGGCCAGGAGACACCCCTGAGGTTCCCAGTTTGGGGAGAGGCTCCCAGGGGGCCCTGGCAGCACCAGGAGAGCCAGGCTATTGATTCCTGGCAGAGAAGGAGAGTTTCCAGTGACATGTGCTTTCTAAAATTAGCGGCCCAGGACCTCGTGGCCTAGGGCTCAAGTTTCCCTGCCTCAGCCCCCAGCTGCCCACCAGCCTGCCCCCGACTGGGCTACAGCCTGAAGGTGGAGGAAGCTACTGAGCGCCCTAGGAGCCAGAGAGAAACAACGCATTTGACTCACATCGGCATGGCCAGAAGTCACTGGAGAGGCCTAGAAAGAAAGGCAAGTCTGACTAAGACCCAACCCCCGGCAAGGAGCTGCCCAGCCCCAGAGCAGATCCCAGTGATGTAGAGAGGAAGAGGACCACCACTCCTAACTGGAATTGAGGGGTGGGGGTCATGCCACCTGGTGGTAGAGAGAGGACCAAGCAAGACTGAAGGCTATAATCCCCGCCACCAGGCCAGGCAAGCGGCTGCTGGTGAGTGCCCATGGCTGTCACCCCAGTACCCAGGGAAATAGCTAACACAAATGCTTCCATGGCAGTGCAGCAGAGGCCCAGCTCTTTTCGGACCATTCCAGGCCTTTCCCGGCTATTGAGAACCAGGGCTTCCAAGATATGCCAGGGCATACACAAAGTCCAGCGCAAGATCCACGCCGTGTCTGTCCGAAAGCCTGACCCTGCTCAGCCCCAGCCCAGGCCTTTAGTTCCCAGCCTTCAGACAGTCTGGGGCTCCCCTCTGCCAGGCCCTGGTTCCCCTTCCTCTTGCCAACCCTCACAGGCGCTCCCCACCCCCACAGCACCCTAGGCATACTCCTCCCACTGCACCCCCAGCCCGATAGTTCTTTTTCACACCTTCTAGGTCCTCTCTCTTCCTGCTGGATGACCCGGGATCATTCTCCCCCCAGGAACCTCACCTTCAACTGCTTCCTTCCTGGAGTCACCCTGCCCAAGCCCCTGGTCTTTTCCCTCACATGTATTCCTCAATCTAGGCTGGCCAAAGCCTGCCCTTCCAAGCCAGTAGCAGGGCCACCAGTGGCCTCCTAACCACCCAGGCAGGCGGTCACCCTGAGCTCCTTGCTCTGCTGCTAAGTTACCCTCCTGAGGTCCCCTCGCAACACCCTCCTCCCACTGTTATTCTGCTCCCTCTGGGATCTGCACTCTTCAGCTGACACCCTATACCTTCTTCCCAGCCACTCTTATCCCTGAAAGGGTTTTCTCTGCGGCCCAGACTCACACCTAACCTCCTGCTAAACATTGGCTCCTGGATGTCCCCAGAGACATTCTAGACTCAGCTTGTCCAAAATGGGCCTTCCCTTGTCCTGCCTGACCTGACCACCTCGTGTAGCCCCTGCTGTAGTCGTGGGCAGGCAAACCACCTTAGACTCGGCCCTCTTGGCCCCCTAGCCCAGGCCGCAACCCAGCGCTTTCCATGTCAACTGCAAACATGCCCGCCATCATCCCCACTGCTGGCGCCTCCTCCCTATCTGCCACCATACGGCTTTCCCATCCACCTCCCAGAGCAAGGCAAATCCGACCACGTTAGCCCTCTGCTTAAGCCACCTGCTGCCAGCATGCACACCCTCAGTGAGCTCTCCTCCCTCACTAACCACGTGGCCCCCTTCTCTAGTAACACCTAACCCCTCACCATTCCTGGAACACACCTGGCTCTGTGTGGCAGTCCTCCAGGCCGGAATGTCCTCTCGACCCAGCTCAATCCTCACCTCCCCCCCAGAAACCCTTTCAGATCTCCCACCCCATCAGAGGGACGCCTTCTGGGGGCTCCTGCAGCAGCCCCCTAGGCACCTGCATGTAACTACTTCATTCTTGGTTCTCTGCGTGGCTGCCATCCATTTATATGGCTGCCCTACCAGGCTATGAAGGTCTTTAGGCTGGGCACTGTGCCTTCATCTCTGCACTCCCATACCTGGCACACTGTAAAGGGGTCTTGCACCCACTCCAGCAAGTATAGCTAAAAAAAGGGGGGCGGGGGGCGGGACTGGGCTTCCAGATGACCAGATCCCACTCCCAGGAGAGTAAGTGCTCCCTGATAGGTGAGGGGACAGATTTGAGGCTGCACATAAGGCTGGACAGAATCTCCCTGGGCCTAGATTGCACCTGTGTTCACCTGGGAGCCTGGCACCAAGAGTGGCAGAGACAGACACAGAGCTGCTCAGTCTAGCAACAGAGGAGACAGAAGACAGGGGTGGGAAGGCGCCATCTCAGACCCGTGCTGATGGGCAAGCCAGGCTCATGGCTGCAGGGAGAAAAAACATTCAATGCCACGACCTGAAGGCACAACCCAGAGCTCCAGCCTCTGCATCCTCACACCCTAAGCCCCCACCCAGGGCCCAAGCAATGCAGACCAGGTCTTCTCTGATCACTGGCATTTTTCAGCCTGGGAGCCAGCCTTCTAGAACATTTTCCTGCTCCCTCACATTGGGTCACTCAGGCACATTAACGTGCGCTTCTGTCTGTTCCCTTGTAGCTTCCCAGGCCCCCAGGACAGGGCACGGAACATGGTCTCTAGCTTCTGCCTCTGCTGGATCTCCCAAGTAATCTTACCGGAATCACTGTTCTTAGCTATTCATTTCCAGAAAACAGGAAAGAACCTACGAGGCAAAGGCATCTCCTACAGATACAGGGTGGTCACCAATAGAATGGCCTGGGGTCCAAAAAAAGGCCAGTGAATGAAACTTAACAGAATCCAGATGTGGCCTTGGCAGACACATGGCAGCCCCAAATGCCTCAATCTGACTGGGCTTCCTTGATAGAATGTTGTTGGACACTGAGCAGGGCTGTCGTGCTTTTATAAAGGGTTGAGTAAACCAGAGAAGGCAGGAGAAACAGATCCTCTCCACAGACTCTAGAGAAACAGGGCCAACCATATCAAGTGGGGAGAGCCACGGCTCATAAGCACTTTTCGGCAGCCCTGTCTTCCCCCATGAGCAAGGGGAAGAGGACATGGGCTTAATAGGAAATGGGGAAGAAGCAAGTCCCAACCAAAAGATTCCGTGCTGTGGCCACCTGCTGTGGCCATGCTGCTGACCTGACGGGTTTCAGGTGAGTCAAGTCATTCAACCCCCAGCCCCTGTATATACATGGCATTCACACAAGCTCACTCCTCTGCCCCCAGCCGGCAGAAAGCTGGTGTCCCAGCACCACCTGCTGACTTTTCAGGCCTACCGCAGGGCGGCCAGTGGACTCTGTGTGAACATGCCCCAACTGTGGAAGAAAAAAATGAGGCAGCGCCCAGGCAAGGAAGCAAGTCAGGTGATGCCTCAGGAAGGCTTCAGTGAAGAATGACTAACACCAGGGCTTCTACTGCCCTGAGCGACTCTTACCCACCAGTCTGGAATCAGGAAAACAGGTTACAACTGGGAGAGTCACCTAGAGCAGACCCGAGAAGGCTGCCCCAAAGGGCTGCCCCAAGTCCATTTTGGTACAGCTGCGTTGCCTTCCTTGTAGCCTCCCAGCACACAGACACTGGAGAAGATGGGAAGAGGAGGGCTAGAGCTGGGGGAAATGGAGGCCGTTTCAAATGAGAACATGCCTTGTGGCAGCTCCAGCCCACGACCCAGATGGAGCTCGCCCATCCTGAGGACAGTGCAGTAAGCACAGGGCAAAGGGGCAGGTGTAGGTCTCGCCTGTCCTCCCTTCTTCTTGAGAACAAGTGACAGACCAGCTGGGTTTCTGGGGTTTTGCTGTGTATCTTTTTTAAAACCAGCTATCTGAGCGGTTTGGGGTAAGCTGGAGGGTAGAGAGCAACCGAGTGAGGTAAGACAACTTAGGCAAAGGTAGTCTGTGATTAGATGACTCAACCTAAAAAAGAAGAAAAAGCAGCTCAGCAGAGAAGCACGGGCAGCTCCATCTGGGCTAATGACAGCGATGGGATTCTACCCTGGAGGGGTAAGGAGGAAACAAAAGATGCCTGTGGATCAAGTTCAGATCAGCAAAAATTCAGGGGGCTTCCACACAAACAGGGGCCCTCCTGTGACTGGCTGCTAACCAGCACTTTGGGCCTAACCTTGACCACCATTTAAACTGAATAAGGCAGAGAAGGCAGTGCAGGTCCTCTGAACACACAAACCCCAGCCCAGAGGGAGCTGCTGTCCCCAACACACTCCAAGACTCAAGAGGGCCTCTCGCTAGCTGTCCCCCTGAAGTGCAAGGTTGGCAGGAAGGGAACAGGAGCGACTGCCGGAGTTTTCCACAAGTGGAAACCAGTGGCTCATCCAGTGTGGTCCCCTGGAGGTGGCCCCGATGCATCCATCTTCACAAACTCTCATAGCTCCTAAGACCTGAAAAGCTGGGCTGCTTGTCTAAAAAGCCCGACAAGTTCAACCCAGACATGCACCTAAAGCTGTCGCCGTCAGCCCGGGACAGCCCATTCAGTCACCAAAGGTTTCAGTGGCCCTTCATATGTGCCAGGCCCTTGGCACTGAGCTTAACAGTCTAAAGGGGAAGAGCCCAGGTTTTCCATGATGGGCAACCCTGTCAAGTGCCACGCCTCAGAGCTGCATATGCAGGCTGCCCTGGGACCTGAGGACAGCACTATGGGTCAGCCAGGGACATGGTGTGGGCCCCTCGGAACAGGCTCCACAAGGAAGCCTCAGAGATTCATGAAGAGGAGGTTCTGGCTGGGCCGGCAGCTGGAGGGGGTGTTCCGCACAGAGACCCCCAAAATGCTCAGAGAATTGAGTTGGGGGAGAGCATGTATTACGTGAGGCTCTCCCATGAGACCCACATGGCTGCTTCGTGACAGGGGGAGGCCGAAGCAGAGACTGTGGGGGAGCCGCGTCCTGGAGGATCCATGTGATAGCAAGCCACTGGAAGTGGGGTGCACAAGCCAAAGGGGGGAAGGCAGGTGGCAGGGAGCCCACTTGGTCTATATGGGATGGTGGTGGCCCCAAGGGTTGTGAGAGAGAGGCTTAGGAGGCGACATCTACAGGCTCTTTCATGGGTGGAGTCCAGCTCTGCAGGCTGAAGACTTCTTGAGGTTGGCTACCTGAAAACGTGAAAGTGCCTCACCCTGCTGGGCCACACACTGAGAAATGGCCATGATGGTTGGGCAGTCACATGGGACAAGAAGAAAGGGCAGATCAGCCCCAGGCTTCTGGGTCAAGTGATAGGACTGAGACAGTAGTGGCAGAGGCAGGACAAAAGCTCAGAAGGCTTTGGCTGGGAAGCTGGGACTCTCCCACTGCTATCCAGGCAGCAGCAGAAGACTATGGGGGCCAAGGGTACTGGCTTGCTTCTAGGTGTGATGTTTCCTTTCAGGCCAGGCCCCCTTTCCCAATTACAAGGGCTACTCAGGGGTTCTCAGGCTAACCTCCTATGTGTCCTAAGCCCAGTCCCACTGAAAACTTGTGCTAAGCACCAGGCTTTCTCCGGAACATGCTCCCCTCCTTGGCCACTAACCTGCTCACATCCTCCTTCTTGATCTTGCCTCCCTCTTCCTTCTGCTCCCCGATCTTCTATTGTTCTGCTGGAGGCTGGAATCCATCCTGTCATCACATTCCCTCTGTCCCAGCCTCAATACCTCTGTGAAGCCAGCAACCCAAGCTCAACTGCCCGGAAGCACCCTATCCTGATCATCTGCTAGGCCTCCCCTGCTCAACCCTGCTCTCCCTGTCCCCTCCTTTCCTTGCTGTCCCCAGGCCTGGCCAGAAGTCCCACTCTGCAACCAGCCCTCACACCTAGCATGATAGTGTTACTCCATGGGCAGCCAGAGCTCCCTTTCCAGCAGGGGGCTGCGTCCTGGCATTCCGAAAGCCCAGAGCAGAACCAAGATCATCTCAGACTCCCAGAGACTGGAAAAGCCTGCTGATTCAACTCCACGTGGGCCTCTCAGCTCTGTCCCCTCAACCCCACTTCTGCTACCACTGCCCCAGTTCAGGTTCCCAGCAAGTCTCACTGACAACCTCCAACTTGGTCTCCCCACTTCAGGCTCTCCTGCTCCACTCCATCCCATACACCCTTGCAAAATATTAATCCACACAGGTGACTGCATCCCAGCAGTACTGGAATACCCACTAGGCAGGCTCTCTACCACTCAGAAAAGTTGCATACGAAGTCTGGAGCCCTTAACTCCTAACCATCTAACCTGCTCAGGCCATGAGTACCTGCTCACGCCATGAGTACCTGCTCGCGTTCAAGAACTGAGCCTCTCCGTGGGACATAAAGAATGTGGAAAGAAAGGGGGTGGGTGTGGTGGCTCATGCCTGTACTCTCAGCACTTTGGGAGGCCGAGGTGGGCGGATCACACGAGGACAGGAGTAGGAGATGACCAGCCTGGCCAACATGGCGAAACCCTCTCTCTACTAAAAATACAAAAATTAGCCAGGCGTGGTGGCATGTGACTGTAGTCCCAGCTACTTGGGAGGCTGAGACATGAGAACTGCTTGAACCCAGGAAGCGGAGGCTGCAGTAAGCCGAGATTGTGCCACTGCACTCCGGCCTCGGCGACACAGAGAGACTGTGTCTCAAAAAAAAAAAAAAAAAAAAAAAGAAAAAGAAAAAAGAAAAAAAATCAACAACAACGACAAAGAAACAGACAGATAATAGGAGTGGCACGGGTGCTCCAAGAGGATCAGGAGGCCCAAAGAAAACGGACTAGCTGAGGCCACTGTTTATGACGTCAGAAACAGAGCTGCAGTCTCGACATCCACCATTGAGGAATTGGGTAGACACTCAGGAACACTCAAGAACGCTGGAGAGGCCAGGCACAGTGGCTCATGCCTGTAATCCTAGCACTTTGGGAGGATGAGGTGGGAGGATTTCTTGAGCCCAGCAGTTTGAGATCAGCTTGGGCAACAGAGCAAGACTCTGTCTCTACAAAAAATTTAAAAATTAGGACGTGGTGGCACGTGCCTATAGTCCCAGCTACTCGGGAGGCTGAGGCAAAAGGGCAGGGCTGCAGTGAGCCATGATCACACCAATGCACTCCAGCCTGGGTGATGGAGTGAGAACTTGTCTCAAAAATAAGTAAATAAATAAATAAATAAATAAATAAATAAATAAATAAATAAATATGTTGGAAACAGGTCAGTTGTCCCAGAAAAACATTCATGATAAACTGAGTAGAACATTCAAGTCACCAAGGGGCATTTAAAGCATGTGGTGCTTTAAAGCCCCATGGTTAACTTTTTTTAAACATGGGAATGTTTTTGAAAAGCATGTGGAGGCTGGGCGTGGTGGCTCAGGTGCCACACCCTCCCATGTTCCCATCCAGTAGCCTGATCCAAAAAAGCCATGAGGTTGGTCTTGCGTGACTTCTTAGAAAAGGAAATGGTGATCCCAGGGATCAGTGTGGATTCACCAGTTGCCCATAAGCGATCTAGTTAATCATTTCTGGAATTTTGCCAGAAATATATACTCCTTGCTAGTCTAAGAGTTAAGGCTAGAACCAAGACAGGGGCAAAGGCCGGGGCAGATCTAGGGCACAAGCAGGGCAGGCTAGGGCAGGGCAATGGCAAGACCAGGCCATGGCAGGGCCAGCCCAGGATAGAACAGGGCACAGGCAGGGCAGGGCCAGGGCCATGGCTGGGGCAGGACAAGGACCAGGACCGGGGTCCAGGCCAGGGCAAGGGTATGGCCAGGGTAGAGGTAGGGCCAGAGCCAGGGTCTGGGCAGGACCAAGGCAGGTCCATTGCAGGGCCAGGGTTCAGACCAGGGCCAGAGCAGGGCTGGGACAAGGCCAGGGCCAGGACCAGGAAAGGGCAATATCAGGACAAGGGCAATGGCAGGACCAGCAATGGGGCTAGGGCCAGGACAGGGACAGGGACAGGGTCAGGGCTAGGGCCAGAATAGCATGCCGGGGTAGAGCCAGGCCAAAGTAGGGCCAGGACAGGGTCAGGACCAGGGCTGGGCCAGGGTATGGCCTTAAGTAGCAAAGGGCCAGGGCCAGGGTCCATGCCAGTGCCAGCGCCAGTCCAGGGCAGAGGCAGGGCCATGGCCAGGTCTAGGACAAGGCTAGGGAAGGGCCAAGGTCTGGGTCAGGGTCAGCACAAGACCAGGACAGAGCCAAGGGAGGGACAGGGCCATGGTAGGACCAGGTTAAATCAAGGACAACACACCTGCAAATCCACTTCAGGGCCAGGGTCAGGGCAGGGCCAGTTCAGGGCCAGGGCCAAGACAGGGCGAGGGCCAGGGCTGTCAGGGTCATTGGCAGGGCCAGGGCCATGGCAGGACCAGGGTCAGGAGCAGGGGTCAATGCCAGGCCAAGGCCACAGATAGGACCAGGTCTGTGCTAGGGCCAGTGTGAGGGCCAAGGCGGGGTCAGGGCAGGGCCAAAGGGAGGGCAGGGCCAGGGCAGGGTGGAGCAGGCCCAGGGTAGCACAGGGTTAAGGTAGGGCACGACCAACCAGGGCAGGTCTATGGATGGGGCCGGGGCAGGGCCAGGGCCGGGGCAGGGCCAGAGCCAGGGCAGGGCCAAGACAGTGGCAGCTCCAGGGCAGGGCCAGGGTTAGGACCATGGACATGTACAAGGCCAGTGCCAGGGCAAGGGCAAGGGCAGGGGCAGGGCCACGGTCATCTAAGAACCAGGGACAAAGCCAGGCCCAGAGCAGGGCCAGGACAGGTACCTGGCAGGGCTAGGGTCTGGGACAGGGTCATGGCAGGGCCAGGGCCACAACTAGGTCTGTGTTATGGCCAGGTCCAACACAGTGCCCAGGTAAGGCTAGGGTGAAGGCCAAGGTAGGGCCAGGGCAGGGCCAAAGCCAGCCTAGGGCCAAGGCAGGGCCAGGGCCGGCAAGGCAGGGCCAGGAAAGAATAGGGCCAAGGCAGGGCAGGGCCAGGCCAGTGCCAGGACCTGGGCAGGGCCAGGGAACAGCCAGAGCAGGGCCAGGGCCAGGGCCATGGCCATGGCCTGGGCAGGACCAGGTTCAGGGCAGGAGCAAAACAAGGGCAAGGACAGTGCAGGTTCTTGGCACAGCCAGGGTCCAGGACAGTGTCAGGGCATGGCCAAGGCAGGGTCTGGGCCATGGTAAGACCAGCAACAGGGCTGGGGCTAGGCCAGTGACAGTGACAGGACCAGAGTCAGGGCAAGCGCCAGAGCAGTGCAAGGCCAGGGTAGGGCCAGGCATTTCAGGGTCAGGGCCAGAGGAGAACCAGGGCAAGGTCTCAAGCGGGGAAGGGCCAGGGCCAGGACAGGTCCAGGGCAGGGCCATGACAGGGCCAGGGGCTGCGTTAGGGCAAGGGCAGGGCCAGAGCAAGGTAAGGGTCAGGGCCAAGGCCAGGGTAGGGACAGGGCAAGAAAAATGGCAGGACTAGGGGCAATGCCAAGGCCAAGGCTGGGCCAGGGCTGAGTCAGGGCTGAGTCAGGGCAGGGCAGGAGAGGGCATGGTATGGCCAGTGCAGGACAGGACAAGAGCCGGTCCACAGAGAGAGCAGGGCTGATGCCAAGAAAGAGCCAGGCTAGTGCCAAGGCTGAGGCAGTGTCAGAGCATGTCCAGGGCAGGGCTGGGGCCAGGGCCAGAACGGAGCCAGGGCACAGCCAAGGCAGGGTAGGGCAGGGAAATAGTATGGCCGGGTCAGTACTGGGACAGGGCAGAGCAGGGCAAGGTGATGGTAGGGGCAGGGCAGGGACAGACCAATGCAGAGCCATGTTACGCCGGGGCCAGGACACCTCCAAGTCCACTTCAGGGCCAGGGCTATGGCAGGACAAAGACCAGGGCCAGGGTCAGGGCCAGGTCTGTGCTAGGGCCAGCTCCAGAGCAGGGCCTAGCGAAGACTAAGGTGAGGGCCAAGGTAAGGCCAGGGCAGGGTCAAAGGCAGAGTAGGGCCAGGGCAGGGTGAGGACACATCCAGAGCACAGCAGGGCAGGGTGATGGCAAGACCAGGGGCAGACCACTGCCAGCTCAGGGCCAGGGAAAGGCCAGTGCTGAGCCAGGAAAGGGTCTGGGTCTGGGTCAGGGCCAGGACAAAGGCAGAGGAGGGCCAGGGCCATGGCAGAGTCAGGGCAGGTCCTTGACAGGACCAGGTTCCAGGCCAGAGCCAGGGCAGCAGCAGGGGCAGGGCCTGGATAAGGGCAGGGCCAGGGATATGGCAGGACCAGGGCTAGGGCCAGGGCCAGGCCATAGTGAGGGCAGGGCAAAAGCCAAGGCAGGGTCAGGTCAGGTCCAGGGAGCGGCCAGCACCAAGCGGGGCCAAGGCACAACCAGCGCAGGGTAAGGCAGGGCAATGGCACCACTGGGCCATGACAGGGCAAGGTCAGTGTCAGGAGAGGGCAGAACAGGAAGGCCCATGGTGGGGCCAGGGCAGGGACGGGCCAAAGCAAGGCCAGGACATGTCCAAGGCCCGGTCAGGGCCAGAACAGGAGCAGGACCGTGACCATTGGCAGGGCCAGCGCCATGACAGGACCAGGGTCAGGACAAGAGGCAGGGCCAGAGCCAGGGCCAGAGCCAAGGTCAGGCCAGTGCAGGTTCAGGGCAGGGCCAGTGCCAGGGCAAGACCAGGGCAGGGACAGGGTAGCACAGGGCCAAGACAGTGTCAGGATGGGACCAGAGCAGGACAGGGCCTAGAGTCCAGGTAACAGTAGGGCAGGTACAGGGCAAGGCAGGGCAGTAAAGGGCCAGATCCACGGCAGGGGCAGGGCAAAGACAGGCCCATTGCCAATGCACCAGCCCTCCCTACAAAGCTCCTACGGCCTGGCCACTGCTGCAGCCCATCCATCGCTGTAAGCCTGACCCCCAACCCTGGCTGCAGCCGCCTGCCCTCCTAGCACAGCCGCTCTCCTACCGCTCTGGCGCACTGCAGTCTCCGTCGCTGCCACCCACTCGCAGCGAGGCGAGCTGTGGTGTCGCAGGCTCTGGGTGTCTCCTCCTCCTCCTGGCATGGAGCAGCTGGGCGGGCAAAGCCAGAAAAGCCTAGAGGAAGATGTGAGGGGTGGAAGGGTTAGAGCCTCAACTTGTCATGCTGGCCACTGGGTGGCAGGGGCCAGTTTCAGCAAAGGCACTCACATCCACCCTCCAAAGTCCAGCCTCTCCTTTTGGCCCAAGCTGGCCAGGAACTGGGGTCTGGGGTGGGTGCTGGAGACACCACAGCACCCAGCTCCCCACTCCACAGAAACCACTGGGCCCACCGGGTCTGCACTCCTCGGGGAGCAGGAGAAGCAGAAAAATTCAGACCCAGCCAGCCCTCCACACGCAGGTGCCAATTCCTGTTCCGAACGCCTCCACACACAGTGCCCTGTCTCCCGTGGTGTCCCCAGGGGTGCCTGGCAGCCTCTGAGGCACAGACCCAGAGTGCACAGGCCCAGGAACCACGGTGGGTGTGGGGGCTCTGCTGTGCTCAGGATTCCCATGCAAACGCTGTGCGCCTGCCGCACTCCAGTATGACCAAGTGTGGGTCGCCCTCTGGAGTGTGGAGTCAGGGAGAGGAGAACCACTCCTTCCTTGGATGCCAACTCTGCTGACCGCTGCCAGCAGTACAGCCCCTGATAGCACCAAGCTCACCCCCCCACAGCTAGTCCTGCCCTCAATAGCACCCCCCACCTCCATCCCCCAATGCCGCCAGTAGCGTATACCAAATAGTGCCCTAACCTGTCCTCCTCCACGGGCATTGCAGCCCCAGAAAACACCCATAACCCACCCTCTCTGCCGTGGGCAGTGCAGCCCTGTACAGTGCTACCAACCAGTACCCCTAATGCAGGCAATGACACCCTGGATAGCGTCCCCAACCTACCCTACACTGTGACCTAAGGTGCAGCCCTGGATAGCCCCTGTCCTGCCACTCTGGTGGTGCTGCACATCAGCCATCCAAGAGTGAGATGCTAATGCTCCAAGTCCTAATCTCATTTGAGGAAATGCATGCCCTGCTCCACTTCCAAACACTTTGTAGACAGAGGTCCTTTCACTGAAGAACAAGCACCCACAGGACATGCTCCTCACAGTGAACCCACATTTGATTAGCATGGAGACAATTGGGATCATTTCTGGGACCATTACTGTCTATGACACTGAGCAGATGCCTTTGCCTCATCCTGGTTTCATCAGGCACTAGCACAGCCCACTGGGGGCTCTGATGAAGTGACCGCTGGATGTCCCATGTGAGTATCCAGCAGGCCCCATGGACAAGCTCTGAGATCTTCTGGGTGCTACTGAGACAGTGTCTTCAGCATCTGCCTGAGATCCTAAGATCTTCAATAGAAGACTCTTGGTTTACTGATTTGGCTTGTGATGTGTGATTGGTGCTGATTTTCTCATAGACTGACAATGGCAATGAGGTGTTGGAATAATAATTTGGAGTTCTTCATGAACTCCCAGCTCTCAAAATAATTTCCAAGGAATTGGTGTTTTGAGTAAGTTTGGGTTTTATTTCTCATTCTATTTAAAATAATTTTGTGACATATTTATATCAGGAAACACAAGACACTCCAATGAGAAAGCTGTTTTTATGTGAGGTACAAAGCACTGGAGAGATGGAGATGTCCTTGAATTCTCAGAATTGCTAGAACTTGAATACCAAGGTCACCTCTGAATGGCAGTAGTCTGTCTGTGAGGACATCAATCAGCTCTGCCTTTAGGAATTTTTGAATGTGTGGACAAGATCAAGAGTGTGATTTATTTTTATCCATCCTGGTTAGAGGGAAACTTCCAGTCCCAGGAAGTGGGTGATTTTAACTGAAACACCTGAGAGCTGCCATTCTGAGCAGTTTTGAACCCTGAGATCTATTGAAGATCTTTGGAGAAAGCAGTGGGGCCTATCTGCATTCTCCTCAACGTGTGATCCTGAGGATGTGGCCTAATTTCTGTACACTTTCATGTTAAAAGATGTAGATGGCAGACTGAAGTGACAATTTCATATGCAAACTCTATAATAGGTCATAACTGGAGAATAGTCTCATCACCAAGATTACTTCACTTACTTTCCTGGGAACCAGGGAGAACCTCCGTGAGCCCTCCCATCTGAGCACACAAAGAACTCTGCTCCTGCCCTGACAGATCACACCTGTGACATGGGTACTTGAGGACAACAAGAATCAAGTCTATTGTCCTCATTCATATATTGACCAATCTAGCTTGATCCTTCTGTCTCTGAAAGGCCTCTCCTCCACTGAATTGCATGAACATACCTTCTGGTGAGGGGCATTGCAACTTTGGTATTTGATATTAGTTTAGTGAATTACATAATAAATATGCATCCATGGATTTTGGTAACAGGAGAGTCATCAGAAGCTGGGTGAGTCATATAATCAGGACAAACCTGGGCTCTCTTCTTAGTACCTGGAAAGAGTGGGCTGACCTTCTGTGGGGCAACAGAGGGGAAGAGACAGACCAAACTTCCAGAACCAGGTGAGCTCCTCACTTTCCAGGTGGTCTCTGAGCCTTTTGTTTGAACCCATGCAGAAGGACCTGTCCTCGCCTTCAGTGAAATGGCAAAGTTGCAGAAAAGATCACAGTGACCAATAATTTTTACTTACAGAGATAAAAGTGTCATAGACCTGTAAACATCAATGTGGGTGTGTATACGGTTTGCTAGGGTGTTCTCATACACCCACAAAAAATGAAATTATATTTTCTGGAAAGAAAACCAAAGGGCTTCTGAATTTGTAGGTTTTGTTATTCTCATATATGCCAGCTCCCATTTTAGGATGCTGCTCCCTAGGAACCAGGACATCGGCCCTCTGACCCTGATGACAGAACGAGCTGCTGAGGCTCAGTTCTGGACAAGAGCTACTGATAAGAGACTCACTTCCTCCACACAGCCCCACTCATGGCTGGAGGCTCTTCCCTGGGTGCAGCACCACAGAGGACATTGGGTCCCTGGTTCACAGCCCTGCTCCTGTGGCAGAGAGTCCACCCCAGCAAGAACTGCTTGCTGATAAAGTGGGAAACTTCTCCCCAACCCTCCGCTGAGCAGTCAGAGCCTATGCTGAGGGAGGAAAAAGCTCATCTGTCTCCATCTGCAGAAACTTACTTAGGAGCTCTGTCCCAGGAAAGAGGGGCTGCTGTAATTTAGCCATAATATAGAATCTTGAATCTGGTCTTAAACTACCTACATTCGTTTACAATAGAATGTGGAAAAGTTCAAAGCTTGAGTGTGCTCTCCAAAATATTGGAGGCTGTGGTGAAAGGAAGGCCCTTGGAAAGAAACAGGTGGATGCATGGGAGACAATGGCTAAACTGCAGGCCTGCTGGCTGGCTGGCTGGAGAAAACCAAGGAGGGAGAGACCTGGAGTTCTTCTGGGGTCAGAACAAATATCAGACACTCTTCAAACAAGCCCAGTTTTGTCTGTATTAGTCTGTGATGCAATTCAAACCTTAGTGCTTTGTTAAAAAGAACAGAATTTTCAATCTGCAAGTGGTGGAATTCAACATCTGGGCCTGGTCAGGAAAGAGACAGAGAAAGCTCAGCCCATACAACTGATATCTGAGAATGGCAGTGTTTCTTACAACTATGTCCCTTTGGTCGTTGAGACTGGCTTCTCTCAATTAGTGTAATGTCTGGAGTTCACTTGTAATAGTTTGTGTATCGGTCATTTGTTAGTTTTTATGCTGATGGTATTCAATGTATAGATGGTGCCTACCTTCTTTGCCCATTCGAATTTTCATACATTCATGTTATTTTTAGTTTCTAACACATGCACACACACACACACACACACACACACTATGTTGAATATTTGCATAGAGGTTTTGTTTGAATATAAAATTATATTTCTCTGAAGCAAATATTCAGGAGGGGGATTTTTAGGTAATGTGTTAAGGGCATATATAATTTTACAAGAAACTAAGAATTATTTTCCTGTGTAGCTGTTTCTATTTCCATTCCCATTAGCAATGTTTTAGACTCTGGAAACCTGGTATGCTCACCAGCATTGGTGTGATCCATCTTTCTTCTTAATTTCAGCCATTCTAAAAAGGGTGTTTGGGTATCTTATAGTGGTCTTGATTTGAATTTCTCTGATGAAAAATCCTGTTGAGATCCTGTTTATATGCCTATGTGTAATCTGTACATCTTCTTTAATGAAATGCCTGCACAAAACTTTGCCTATTTTATCCACGGGTTGCCTCTTCTTTTATTCACTGTTGAGTTTTGAAGTTTCTTACTATAATTACACAGGTGGTGATATGATTTGCAAATCTTCTCATCTAAAACTTGACATTCATTCTCTTAAAATCACTTGAGTACAAAAGGATTTTAAGTTAAATGAAGTTCAACTGATATTAATTTCATTTATTGATCATGATTTAAACTTTAATTTTCAAGATCTTTGGTCAACTATTTTTTATTTATTTATTTATTTATTTTTATTATTATACTTTAAGTTTTAGGGTACATGTGCGCATTGTGCAGGTTAGTTACATATGTATATATGTGCCATGCTGGTGCGCTGCACCATCTTGTCATCTAGCATTAGGTATATCTCCCAATGCTTAATAATTTTATATTTTCAATTGTAATTGCTTTTATCTTTATTTGTATAAATTTAAGGGCTATGGGTGCACCTTTGTTACACAGAAATATTACAGTGGTATTGGCTTTAGTGTACCCAACACCCAAGTAACGTACATTGTACCCATTAGGTGATTTTTCATCATGCTCCCAACTCCTACCCTCCCATTCTGCTAAGTCTCCAATGTCCATAATCCCTCTCTCCATATCCTTGTGTACACACTGTTTTCCTCCCACTTATAAGTAATAATGTGTGATATGTGGCTTTCTGTTTGTGAGTTAGCTCACTAATTATAATGTCCCCCAGTTCTAGGCATCTTGCTGCAAAAGACACAGTTTCATTCCTTATTGTGGCTGACTAGTATTAAATTGTGCATATATGCTATATTCTTTTATAAAATCATCTGTCGGTGGACACTCAGGTTGTCATATATGCTATTGAGAATAGATTTGTGGTAAACATAGAAGTGTGGGTATCTTTTTGAAATCGTGATTTCTTTGTCTTTGGGTAGTTACCCAGTAGTGGGATTGGTAGAATAAAGGCCAGTACTGTTTCTCATTTTTTGGAAAGTCTCCATACTGTTTCCCCCCTCTCTCTCTCTTTTTTCCTTTTTTAACTATACTTTAAGTTCTGGGATACATGTGCAGAATGTGCAGGTTTGTCACATAGGTATACATAGGCCATAGTGGTTTGCTGCACCCACCAACTCATCATCTACAATAGGTATTTCTCCTAATGCTAACCCCTCCAGCCCCCCACTCCCCAACAGTCTCGAGTGTGTGATGTTTGTTCCCCTCCCTGTGTCCTTGTGTTCTCATTGTTCAACTCCTACTTGTGAGTGAGAACATGTGGTGTTTGGTTTTATGTTCTTGTGATAGTTTGCTGAGAATGATGGTTTCCAGCTTCATCCATGTCCATGCAAAGCACATGAACTCATCCTTTTTATGGCTGCATAGTATTCCATGGTGTATATGTGCCACATTTTCTTTATCCAGCCTATCATTGATGGGCATTTGGGTTGGTTCCAAGTCTTTGCTATTGTCAACAGTGCTGCAATAAAAATATGTGTGCATGTGTCTTTATAGCAGAATGATTTATAATCCTTTGGGTATATACCAAACAATGAGATTGCTGGGACAAATGGTATTTCTAGTTCTATCTAGATCCTTGAATAATCACCACACTGTCTCCCACAATGGTTGAAGTAATTTACACTACCAACCACAGTGTAAAAACGTTCCTATTTCTCCACATCCTCTCCAGCAGCTTTTGTTTCCTGATTTTTTAGTCATCACTATTCTAACTGGCATGGGATGGCATCTCTTTGTGCTTTTGATTTGCATTTCTCAAATGACCAATGATGATGAACTTTATTTTATATGTTTGTTGGCTGAATAAACATTTTCTTTTGAGATGTGTCTGTTCATAACCTTCCCTCAATTTTTGATGGGGTTGTTTGTTTTTTTATTGTAAGTTTGTTTAAGTTCCTTGTAGATTCTAGATATTGGCCTATTGTCAGATGGATAGATTGCAAACAATTGCTCCCATTCTGTAGGCTGCCCATTCACTCTGAAGATAGTTTCTTTTGCTGTGCAGAAGCTCTTTAGTTTACTTAGATCTCATTTGTCAATTTTGACTTTTGTTGCAATTGCTTTTGGTGTTTTAGTCATGAAGTCCTTGCACATGCCTATGTAATGAATCGTATTGCCTAGGTTTTCTTCTAGGACTTTTATGGTTTTAGGTCTCACATTTAAGTCTTTAACCCACCATGAGTTAATTTTTGTATAAGGTGTAAGGAAGGGATCTAGTTTCAGTTTTCTGAATATGGTTAGCTAGTTTTCCCAACACCATTTATTAAATAGGGGATCATTTTCCCCATTGCTTCTGTCAGGTTTTTCAAAGATCAGATGGGTGTAGATGTGTGGCATTATTTCTGAGACCTCTATTCTGTTCCATTGGTCTATATATCTGTTTTGGTACCAGTACCATGCTGTTTTGGTTACTGTAGCCTTGTAGTATAGTTTGAAGTCAGGTAGCATGATGCCTCCAGCTTTGTTCTTTTTCCTTAGGATTGTCTAGGCTATATGGGCTCTTTTTTGGTTCCATATGAAATTTAAGGTAGTTTTTTTCTAATTCTGTGAAGGAAGTCAATGGTAGCTTGATGGGGATAGCATTGAATCTATAAATTACTTCGGGCAATATGGCCATTTTCATGATATTAATTCTTCCTATCTATGAACATGGAATGTTTTTCCATTTGTTTCTGCCCTCTCTTATTTCCTTGGGCAGTGGTTTGTAGTTCTCTTGAAGAGGTCCTTCACATCCTTTGTAAGTTGTATTCCTAGGTATTTTATTTTCTTTGTAGCAATTGTAAATGAGAGTTCACTCATGATTTGGCTCTCTGTCTTTCTATTATTGGTGTATAGGAATGTTTGTGATTTTTCCACATTGATTTTGTATCCTTAGACTTTGCTGAAGTTGCTTATCAGCTTAAGGAGATTTGGGGCTGAGATGATGGGGTTTTCTAAATATATAATCATGTCATCTACAAACAGAGACAGTTTGACTTCCTCTTTTCCTATTTGAATACCCTTTATTTATTTCTCTTGCCTGATTTCCCTGGCCAGAACTTCCAATACTATGTTGAATGGGAGTGGTGAGACAGGGCATCCTTGTCTTGTGCCGGTTTCCAAATCCACCATGATCAAGTTGGCTTCATACCTGGGATGCAAGGCTGGTTCAACATATGCAAATCAATAAACATAATCCATCACATAAACAGAACCAATGGAAAAAAAAACATTATTATCTCAATAGATGCAGAAAAGGCCTTCAATAAAATTCAACACCGATTCATACTAAAACCGCTCATTAACTAGGTATTGATGGAATGTATCTCAAAATAATAAGAGCTGTTTATGAGAAATGCATAGTCAATATCATACTCAATCCATACTGTTTTCTATAGAGGTCGTACTCGTCCACATTCTCATCAACAGTGTCTAAGAGTTCACTTTACATTTCATCCTCTCCAACATCTGTTATTTTTGACTTTTTAATAATAGCCATTGTGAACGGTATGATATCTCACTACAGTTTTAATTTGCATTTCCCTGATGATTAGTGATGCTGAGCATTTTTTATGTATCTATTGTCCATTTTTATGTGTTATTTACAAAAATGTCTACTCAAGATGTTTGCTCATTTTAATGGGGTTATTTGGTTCTTGTTTTCTTTCGTAGTTGTTTGAGTTTCTTGTTAATTCTGCATATTAGTACTCCGTCAGAGGCACAGTGTGCAAATATTTTCTATCATTCTGCACTTTGTCTGTTCACTCTGTTGCTGTGAAGAAACTTGTTAGATTCATTAAGTCCCATTTGTCTATTATTTGCTTTTTGTCTTTTGGTTTTTGGCTTGTGCTTTTGAGTTCTTAGTCGTAAATTATTTACCTAGGCCAGTGTCCAGAAGAGTTGTCCTGGTGTTTTATTTGAATACGTTTACAGTTTGAGGTCTTACATTTAAACCTTTAATCTATTTTCTGTTAATTATTTACATGTTGAGGGTGGGTGTCCAGTTTAATTCATGTGCATATAGCTATCCAATTTCCCCAGCGCCCTTTATTGAATGAGGTGACCTTTCCCTGGTGTATACGTTGGTTAATTTTTGTTAACTTTGTCAAAGATCACTTGGCCATAGATTATGTGGCTCAATTCTGGGTTCTGCAAAATGTACCCAAGAGCCTTGATTTTCCTGGGGCCTCAATACTGATCTGCTCACTGCTTGAACTCCGTTGACTCAGTGATGCTCCTATCATTGTCGTGGTTTGTTGTCATGCGATGGCTTTCCTAAAATTGTGGACAATTCTGTTTTCTTTTTTTTTTTTTAATTATTATACTTTAAGTTTTAGGGTACATGTGTACAATGTGCAGGTTAGTTACATATGTATCCATGAGCCATGTTGGTGTGCTGCACCCATTAACTCATCATTTAGCATTAGGTATATCTCCTAATGCTGTCCCTCCCCCCTCCCCCCACCCCACAACAGTCCCCAGAGTGTGATCCCCTTCCTGTGTCCATGTGTTCTCATTGTTCAATTCCCACCTATGAGTGAGAACATGTGGTGTTCGGTTTTTTGTCCTTGTGATAGTTTACTGAGAATGATGGTTTCCAGTTTCATCCATGTCTCTACAAAGGACATGAATTCATCATTTTTTATGGCTGCATAATATTCCATGGTGTATATGTGCCACATTTTCTTAATCCAGTCTATCATTGTTGGACATTTGGGTTGGTTCCAAGTCTTTGGTATTGTGAATAGTGCCACAATAAACATACGTGTGCATGTGTCTTTATAGCAGCATGATTTATAGTCCTGTTCAAACTTGAGCTAGGAATTTCATAAGAAAAGTGTTGTCGAATTTTTCATTTCTTTTCCACATTGATCCTCAGACTTACTGAGATGGGTTTCTGATGTCAAGCTGAGGCATTTTACTTTCCAAGTGTTGGATTTTATACTTACCTGGGTATTTAATCACCCCCTGTGTGGAAATCAGCCTCATCTATCACACCTTCCCTATAAAATTTCTAGAAATTTATTTGTACACTGCAAGTGAGACACTCCATGATGAGGACACATTCTGTCTTTCTTGTTGTTTCATAAAATTACTTTATTAGTGTAAATTTGTCTCTGCAAGAAAAGATGGTATCTGGATTTTAATTAATCATCCTGCTCTTTTATCTCCACATTCTTCTCCAACACTATTTCCTGCAGTTTAAGAATGTCATATGTTATAGATATTTGTATTCAGACCCTTGGAAGGATATGAGCTCAAGAAATAAGTGGCCACATATCAGTGATGCATGTGGCCGAGGTAATGGGACTCTTAGATGCTCAATCTTTGTCAAACAGGATACAGCCTCTGCTTACATGGATCACTAACAGGGAGCATGACATTTAATAATACAGAATAGGAAAACAGACAGGGCTCTGAGTCTGCTTGGTATAGGAAACACAAGCCCTGGCAGGAAATGGCATCTCAGTCACACTTTCCTGTTCTGCAGAGGTAGGGAGGGAGCACCACTGAGACGCAGCCTGGGTTCTTGTACAGGAGGCATCCTGGGCTGTGTCTCTGTGCTCTCCATGCACAGTAATACGTGGCTGTGTCCACAGGGTCCATGTTGGTCATGGTAAGGACCACCTGGCTTTTGGAGGTGTCCTTGGAGATGATGAGCCTGTTCTTCAGAGACGTGCTGTAGGATTTTTAGTCATTCGAAAAAATGTGAGCAAGCCACTCCAGGGCCTTCCCTGGGGGCTGACGGATCCAGCTCATACCCATTCCAGAAGTGCTGAGTGAGAACCCAGAGAGAGTGCAGGTCAGCGTGAGGGTCTCTGTGGGTTTCACCAGCACAGGACCAGACTCCTTCAAGGTGACCTAGGACAAGACCCCTGTGGAGAAGACATAAGAAGATGAAGCCCACAAAGGAGAGAACTGATGTTTCACTTCTGAGGAAGTCCCTGACCACAACACTCACAGGAAGGGGTGGTCAGCAGCAGGAGTGTGGAGCAAAACGTGTCCATAGTGGGGCACAGGAGTCACTGAGCGAGGCCCCATTCTCAGCTTTTGAACCCAGAGGAGGGTGGAGCTGGCGGAGATTTGCATCCCCTCATCTGAGTCCTACTCTATGGGGTGCACTCAGGTCTCAGGACTCAGTAGGGTAGTGCATCTGTGGTGAGGAGCAGTGAGCCCTCAGGTGTGGACTTCCACGTGTGCTCTCCATGGGGGACTCCATCTCATTTCAGGACCATGCCTCTCAGCCAAGGCTCTGAGATTCCTGCTCCTACAGACAGGGTCTTCTCTAAGTCTCACCCAGGCAGCATGCAGCTTTCTGGTTTTAGTCCTAGAGGATGAGAGGAGAAATCAATAGAGATGGTTTTCTTTCTTCCTTCAGGAGAAATGAGGGTGGGAATCTGGTAGAGCAAGGGGCTTCCGATAAGTTTCTGATAAAAATCCTCTTTGTTTAGGGGGAAAGCGATGATTTTTTTAAATGATGGAGAATACATCAACAAAACATTTAAAAATGTATTGTGTAAAGAAGTGTAAATAGCATCTCAGCCATTTACACACTGCAAGACACACTGCTTATTAGTGTGTCTGCACATAGGTGCATTCCTGTAGGAATGTTCCATGGATAATCAATCTTGTCTTTATGCCCTGTCAGCCCTTTAGGAAGAGTAGACTGCATCTCTGACATCCCTCTTCCAGCGCATGAGTGAGCAGAGGCTTTAAACAGGGTAATTGGAGGAATCCCAGGGGAGCAGCTGGCTTTTTGATCCCGCCGCCGCGGCTTTTTGCGGCTTTTGGCCCCCGCCGCTGCCGGTTTTTGCCGCCGCCGCAGGTTTCTCCCGCCGCGGCTTTCTGCCCCCGCCGACGCAGCTTTTTGCCGCTGCGGCTTTTTGCCCCCGCCGCCGCGGCTTTTTGCGGCTTTCTGCCCCCGCCGCCGCGGCTTTCTCTGCCGCGGCTTTTTGACCCCGTCGCCGCGGCTCTTTGCCCCCGCCGCCGCGGCTTTCGGCCTCGTCGCCGCGGCTTTCTGCCCCCGCCCCCGTTGCTTTTTGCTCCCGCCCGCACGGCTTTTTGCCTCCGCCGCCGCGGCTTTTTGCCCCCGCCGCCACGACTTTTTGCCCCCGCCACAGCGGCTTTTTGTGGCTTTTTGCCCCCGCTGCCACAGGTTGTTCCCACCGCGGCTTTTTGCCTCCGCCGCCACGGCTTTCTACACCCGCCGCCGCAGCTTTTTGCCTTTGCGGCTTTTTGCACTCCCCCGCCCCGCCACTTTTTGCCCCCGCCGCCGCGGCTCTGACTTCGGGATCCGCCGACTAGGCTGCCAGCTCTACCGGCGTCCTGGCTCGGGCAGCGCCGAGGGGCGCTCCTCGTCCAGCTCTCCCAGCTCCGGGGTTTCTTGCCTAGACGCCCGCGCCCCTACCTCCCCGCCTTGACCGCTGCAGCCTGCATAGACTGGCGCTGCGCCCGGCTGCGATGGGAGAGAAAAAGGAGGGCGGTGGCGGGGGTGATGCGGTGGCGCAGAGGGAGGCGCAGGGGCCGCCGCTAGCCGGGTGCTGCAGCAGTGCGGGCAGCTCCAGAAGTTCATAGGCATCTCCATCGGCAGCCTGCTCGGGCTGCGCACCAAGTGCGCTGTGTCCAACGACCTCACCCAGCAGGAAATACGGACGATGGACGTAAGGGGGTCCGGGACACTGGCTGGGCTCGAGGAGTGGCCCGGACACCTCCCTTGGGGCCCCAATTCACTCCTGGCCGAGTTGCATCCTTGAGCCCGCGTGGCCCCCTTGGAGGCTTCTCTTCCCTCCTGCACTAGCTGATGCGGCAGCCAGAGGACCCCGGACCAGCCCTCACCTTGGGCAGGATTTGTGGGGCGGGTGCGTGGTGGGAACTTGGATGGAGGCTTGAGGGGCCCGTGGGCGGGGTGGGCTGCGCGCAGACATCCCCTTACAACCCGAATTTCCATCTGGTCCAGCCCTCTCGTCTTGTAGGTGAGGAAACCAAAGGCCTGAGGGAGAACTGACTTGCCAGGAACCTCTCTTAAAGAGAATTAACAAAGTGTGGTTATTAAAGGAGAACTGAGTTGGGAGTCAGACCTGGGAGCCCACACCCTTGGTTGAGACATTATACCACCTTGAGTCTGGCCTGTTGACTGAGGGTGAGCCACTCCATCCTCGTCTGATTGTGGGGTCTTGACCTCAAGGGGTTTCCTGCAGGAAGAAGCAGATGGGTTTGCTTTCCTAGCTCTGTCCAGTACCTTAGGGACCCTGAGGACTGGAGAGATTCTTGGAGAGCTATCTAGTGTATGTCATGGGTGGGCCTTTTTTGAAGGTCAGTCTGCCCAGTGGACTGGCTCAGCCCGAATGAACTCTCTTGAATCTTTGGAGTTGTCTGTGTACTTTTAAGGGCTTCTCATCCTTGCACCAAAAGATCCCCTGGAAATTAGGTGGGAAAACCTTAACTTTCATGGGGACTTTTTCATGCACATGGCCAGGTGTGGTGGCTCACAACTGTTATCCTGTCCTGGATCCCTTGAGTCAAGGAGTTTGAGACCAACCTGGACAATATAGTGAGACCATGTCTCTACAAAAAATAAAATGTTAGCCAGGAGTGGTTGTGCACATCTGTAGTCCCAGCTACTACTGTGGCTAAGGTGGGCGGAGCACTTGAGCCTGCACTGAGCTGTGATCTCACCAGTGTACTGCAGCCTGGGCCACTGAGCAAGACCTTGACTCAAAAAAAAAATAAATAAATAAATAAAACAAAAAATATTCTTGAAGATTTTGCATTCTGTCCCACTATCCATTGGTTTTCATGTCAAGATAATGTCAGAAATTCTTTACAATTGCTTCCAGAAGGAGTAGCCTTTTGATCTAGTGCACAGGTGTCCAGTCTTTTGGCTTCTCAGGGCCACATTGGAAGAAGAATTCTCCTGGGCCACACATAAAATACACTATTGCTAACAACAGCTGATGAGCTTATAAAAAAAAAAAAAAGGTTTGTGCATAATTTTCATGATACCCACCACCACAGATAGGCAGAAAAGTCCTTTTAGTCAAAGGGTTGGACACGGCTGATCTAATGTCTTGTCATCTGTTTTGGCTTTCTCCCTGATTCCAGAATGCAGGTAGAGATGTAGAGAGGTGCTCTCAGGACAGCTGTTGAGATAAAAAAATTCGTTGTCATTTATTCCCAAGCACAGCTGTTTGTCATTTGCATTAAAAAAGTCTCCATTTAAACTGCTGTCACATATAAAACCTGTTTATATAAGTCTGTATTTTTCTGTTGTCATGGCATTTGTGGGTAGTAGTGTGTTTTAACTGAGCAAACTGTCCTTCAAATAATGAAGCCGAAGTCAGCCTACCTGCTTGCCATGTTTCTTCCCCTTCCATTTTTCTAACTTCAGGATAATTGTAAGAATGAATTAAGATTTGTGTTTAAGGCCAGGCACAGTGTCTCAGGCCTGTAGTCTTAGCACTTTGGGAGGGGGAGACGGATGTATCGCTTGAGTTCAGGAGTTGAAGACCAGCCTGGGCAACATACTAAGACTCCGTTTTGTACAATTAAATTAAAATTTAAAAAAAGAAGAGGAAAAGACTTGTGTTTCAAATTTAAAAAAAGGTGGGGGAAGTGTAATGCAAAATGTGGACTATGCCAGCTATGATTAGGAAAAATAATTTTTCCTACAGCATTATCTGTAGACTTGTATTAGCAGCATACTGGTCATAAGTGTTTTGCTTTCCTCAAATATGATGAGGTAAGGTACTTTAAAGTGTGGTGGGGCTTTCTTCCACGTGGCTCCTGGAGGTGTTCAGTCCCAATTTAGCCAATTAATTTGGGTTTAGTTTTGATATGGATAAGGGAGACGAGCTTCATTCATGGTGCACACACAGTTTTGCCAATAAGGAAAAAATAAAGCAACCTGAATGTTCCTACTCATTAGATGCTATCTGGAGAGCTCCTACCTCACCCCTGCCAAGGCTCGGGCCCTTAAAAAGACTCAATGCAGCCTTTCTGTATCTCATACTGTATTCTGCAAGATGCTCCTGTGAAAGAAAGTTGTGCTGCATCAGCCATCTCCCTCCTGAAGATCCCTGCGGATGAGGATTTGCGTTTTAAAGGTTCTGAGAACTCCTGCAACAACAGTTCTCAAACTTATTTGTCCAGGGGAATATTTTCTTCCACTGAACATAGCTGGGGAGACACGGCCTTAAGCCTTGAGCAGAGAAAGAGACAAGAAACAGTTGCCTCACTTACAACCAAGTGTTGTGTTTATGTTTTAGGTTTTTATGAAACTGAGGTGCTGTTTGAAGTTCTAAATGAAATTGGGTGGTTGAAGAGAGGCTGGTATCCCTGTAGACTTAGCCAGCCATGTGAGGTTGCCTTTTGTTGAAGGAGGTGTTTTACAAAGGGAAATAGGGTGTCTCCTGGGCATCACATTAGCACTTAAATGCATGTATCACTGAAATGAAATGAAATGATGAAATGAAATGAAATGATGAAATGAAATGATAAATTGATGAAATGAAATGATGATATGAAATGAAATGGTGAAATGTTGAAATGAAATGATGACATGAAATTAAATGATGAAATGATGAGATGAAATGAAATGATGAAATGATGCAATGAAATGATGCAATGATGAAATGGAATGATGAAATGAAATGATGAAATGAAATGATGAAATGAAATGAGGAAATGAAATGATGAAATGAAATGATGGAGTGAAATGATGAAATGAAATGATGAAATGAAATGAAAAGATGAAATGATGAAATGAAGAAATGGGATGAAATGATGAAATGAAATGAAAGGATGAAATGAAGTGAAATGATGAAATGATGAAATGATGAAATAATGAAATGAGGGGTGGAGTCAAGATGGCCGAACAAGAACAGCTCTGGTCTACAGCTCCCAGCGTGAGCGACTCAGAAGACAGGTGATTTCTGCATTTCCATCTGAGGTACCGTGTTCATCTCACTAGGGAGTGCCCAACAGTGGGTGCAGGACAGTGGGTGCAGCGCACCGTGTGCAAGCTGAAGCATGGCGAGGCATTGCCTCACTCGGGAAGTGCAAAGGGTCAGGGAGTTCTCTTTCCTAGTCAAAGAAAGGGGTGACAGACGGCACCTGGAAAATCAGGTCACTCTCACCCTAATACTGTGTTTTTTCAATGGGCTTGGAAAACAGCACACCAGGAGATTGTGTCCCGCACCTGGCTCAGAGGGTCCTACACCCACAAAGTCTCGCAGATTGCTAGCACAGCAGTCTGAGATCAAACTGCAAGGCGGCAGTGAGGCTGGGGGAAGGGTGCCCACCATTGCCCAGGCTTGGTTAGGTAAACAAAGCAGCCAGGCAGCTGGAACTGGGTGGAGCCCACCACAGCTCCAGGAGTCCTGCCTGCCTCTGTAGGCTCCACCTCTGGGGGCAGGGCACAGACAAACAAAAAGTCAGCAGAAACCTCTGCAGACTTAAATGTCCCTGTCTGACAGCTTTGAAGAGAGTAGTGGTTCTCCCAGCACGCAGCTGGAGATCTGAGAACGGGCAGACTGCCTCCTAAAGTGGGTCACTGACCCCCGAGCAGCCTAACTGGGAGGCACCCCTCAGTAGGGACAGACTGACACCTCACTCGGCCGGGTAGTCCTCTGAGACCAAACTTCCAGAGGAACGATCAGACAGCTGAGTTTGTGGTTCACGAAAATCCGCTGTTATGCAGCCACCACTGCTGATACCCAGGCAAACAGGGTCTGGAGTGGACCTCTAGGAAACTCCAACAGATCTGCAGCTGAGGGTCCTGTCTTTTAGAAGGAAAACTAACAAACAGAAGGACACCCACACCAAAAGCCCATCTGTACATCACCATCATCAAAGACCAAAAGTTGATAAAACCACAAAGACAGGGAGAAAACAGAGCAGAAAAACTGGAAACTCTAAAAAGCAGAGCACGTCTCCTTCTCCAAAGGAACGCAGTTCCTCACCAGCAATGGAACAAAGCTGGACGGAGAATGACTTTGACGAGTTGAGAGAAGAAGGCTTCAGATGATCAAACTACTCCGAGCTACAGGAGGAAATTCAAACCAATAGCAAAGAAGTTATAAACTTTGAAAAACGATTAGATGAATGTATAACTGGAATAATCAATGCAGAGAAGTGCTTAAAGGAGCTGATGGAGCTGAAAGCCAAGGCTCAAGAACTACATGAAGAATGCAGAAGCCTCAGGAGTGGATGCAATCAACAGGAAGAAAGAGTACCAGTGATGGAAGATGAAATGAATGAAATGAAGCAAGAAGGGAAGTTTAGAGAAAAAAGAATAAAAAGAAATGAACAAAGCCTCCAAGAAATATGGGACTATGTGAAAAGACCAAATCTACGTCTCATTGGTGTACCTGAAAGTGACGGGGATAATGGAACCAAGTTGGAAAACACTCTGCACGACGTTATCCAGGAGAACTTCCCCAATCTAGCAAGGCAGGCCAACATTCAGATTCAGGAAATACAGAGAACGCCACAAAGATACTCCTCAAGAAGAGCAACTCCAAGACACATAATTGTCAGATTCACCAAAGTTGAAATGAAGGAAAAAATGTTAAGGGCAGCCAGAGAGAAAGGTCGGGTTACCCACAAAGGGAAGCCCATCAGACTAACAGCTGATCTCTCGGCAGAAACTCTACAAGCCAGAAGAGAGTGGGGGTCAATATTCAACATTCTTAAAGAAAAGAATTTTCAACCCAGAATTTCATATCCAGCCAAATTAAGCTTCATAAGTGAAGGAGAAATAAAATACTTTACAGAAAAACAATGCTGAGAGATTTTGTCACCACCAGGCCTGCCCTAAAAGAGCTCCTGAAGGAAGCACTAAACATGGAAAGGAACAACCAGTAACAGCCACTGCAAAAACATGCCAAATTGTAAAGACCATCGAGGCTAGGAAGAAACTGCATCAACTAACGAGCAAAATAACCAGCAAACATCATAATGACAGGAACAAATTCACACATAACAATATTAACTTTCAATGTAAATGGACTAAATGCTCCAATTAAAAGACACAGACTGGCAAATTGGATAAGGATTCAAGACCCATCATTGTGCTGTATTCAGGAAACCCATCTCACGGGCAGAGACACACAAAGACTCAAAATAAAGGGATGGAGGAGGATCTACCAAGCAAATGGAAAACAAAAAAAGGCAGGGGTTGCAATCCTAGTCTCTGATAAAATAGACTTTAAACCAACAAAGATCAAAAGAGACAAAGAAGGCCATTACATAATGGTAAAGGGATCAATTCAACACGAAGAGCTAACTATCCTAAATATGCACCCAATACAGGAGCACACAGATTCATAACGCAAGTCCTGAGTAACATACAAAGAGACTTAGACTCCCACACAATAATAATGGGAGATTTTAACACCCCACTGTCAACATTAGACAGATCAACGAGACAGAAAGTTAACAAGGACACCCACGAATTGAACTCAGCTCTGCACCAAGCGGACCTAATAGACATCTACAGAACTCTCCACCCCAAATCAAAAGAATATACATTTTTTTTCAGCACCACACCACACCCATTCCAAACTTGATCATATAGTTGGAAGTAAAGGTCTCCTCAGCAAATGTAAAACAACAGAAATTATAACAAACTGTCTCTCAGACCAGAGTGCAATCAAACTAGAAATCAGGATTAAGAAACTCACTCAAAACCGCTCAACTACATGGAAAATGAACAACCTCCTCTGAAATGACTACTGGGTACATAATGAAATGAAGGCAGAATTAAAGATGTTCTTTGAAACCAACGAGAAGAAAGACATGACATACCAGAATCTCTGGGACACATTCAAAGCAGTGTGTAGAGGGAAATTTATAGCACTAAATGCCCACAAGAGAAAGCAGGAAAGATCCAACATTGACACCCTAACACCACAATTAAAATAACTAGAAAAGCAAGAGCAAACACATTCAAAAGCTAGCAGAAAGTAAGAAATAACTAAAATCACAGCATAACTGAAGGAAATAGAGACACAAAAAGCCCTTCAAAAAATTAATGAATCCAGGAGCTTGTTTTTTGAAAATATCAACAAAATTGATAGACCGATAGCAAGACTAATAAAGAAGAAAAGAGAGAAGAATCAAATTAGATGCAATAAAAAATGATAAAGGGGATGTCACCACCGATCCCACAGAAATACAATCTGCCATCAGAGAATACTACAATCACCTCTATGCAAATAAACTTGGAAATTTAGAAGAAATGGATAAATTCCACAACACATACACTCTCCCAAGACTAAACAAGGAAGAAGTTGAATCTCTGAATAGACCAATAACAGGCTCTGAAATTGTGGCAATAATCAATAGCTTACCAACCAAAAAGAGTCCAGGACCAGATGGATTCACAGCTGAATTCTACCAGAGGTACAAGGAGGAATGGTACCATTCCTTCTGAAACTATTCCAATCAATAGAAAAAGAGGGAATCCTCCCTAACTCATTTTATGAAGCCAGCATCATCCTGATACCAAAGCCTGGCAGAGACACAACCAAAAAAGAGAATTTTAGACCAATATCCTTGATGAACATTGATGCAAATATCCTCAATAAAATACTGGCAAACTGAATCCAGCAGCACATCAAAAAGCTTATCCACCATGATCAAGTGGGCTTCATCCCTGGGATGCAAGGCTGGTTCAACATACACAAATCAATAAATGTAATCCACCATATAAACCTAACCAAAGACAAAAACCACATGATTATCCAAATAGATGCAGAAAAAGCCTTTGACAAAATTCAACAACGCTTCATGCTAAAAAATCTCAATAAATTAGGTATTGATGGGACGTATCTCAAAATAATAAGAGCTTGTATGACAAACCCACAGCCAATATCATACTGAATGAGCAAAAACTAGAAGCATTCCCTTTGAAAACTGGCACAAGACAGGGATGCCCTCCCTCACCACTCCTTTTCAACATAGTATTGGAAGTTCTGGCCAGGACAATCAGGCAGGAGAAGGAAACAAATGATATTCAATTAGGAAAACAGGAAGCCAAATTGTCCCTGTTTGCAGATGACATGATTGTATATCTAGAAAACCCCATTTTCTCAGCCCAAAATCTCCTTAAGCTGATAAGCAACTTCAACAAAGTCTCAGGATAGAAAATCAATGTACAAAAATCACAAGACTTCTTGTACACAAATAACAGACAGAGAGCCAAATCATGAATGAACTCCCATTCACAATTGCTTCAAAGAGAATAAAATACCTAGGAATCCAACTTACAAGGGACGTGAAGGATCTCTTCAAGGAGAACTAAATTCAATGCCATTCCCATCAAGCTACCAATGACTTTCTTCACAGAATTGGAAAAAACGACTTTAAAGTAAGTATGGAACCAAAAAAGAGCCCGCATCGCCAAGTCAATCCTAAGCCAAAAGAACAAACCTGGAGGCATCACACTACCTGACTTCAAACTATACTACAAGTCTACAGTAACCAAAACAGCATGGTACTGGTACCAAAACAGAGATGTAGATCAATGGAACAGAACAGAGCCCTCAGAAATAATGCCACATATCTACAACTATCTGATCTTTGACAAACCTGACAAAAACAAGCAATGGGGAAAGGATTCCCTATTTAATAAATGGTGCTGGGATAACTGGCTAGCCATATGTAGAAAGCTGAAACTGGATCCCTTCTTTACACCTTATACAAAAATCAATTCAAAATGGATTAAAGACTTAAACGTTAGACCTAAAACCATAAAAACCCTAGAAGAAAACCTAGGCTTTACCATTCAGGACATAGGCATGGGCAAGGACTTCATATCTAAAACATGAAAAGCAATGGCAACAAAAGCCGAAATTGACAAATGGGATCTAATTAAACTAAAGAGCTTCTGCACAGCAAAAGAAATTACCATCAGAGTGAACAGGCAACCTACAAAATGGGAGAAAATTTTCACAACCTACTCATCTGACAAAGGGCTAATATCCAGAATCTACAATGAACTCAAACAACTTTACAAGAAAAAAACAAACAACCCCATCAAAAAGTGGGCGAAGGACATGAACAGACACTTCTCAAAAGAAGACATTTATGCAGCCAAAAAGCACATGAAAAAATGCTCACCATTACTGGCCATCAGAGAAATGCAAATCAAAACCACAATGAGATACCATCTCACACCAGTTAGAATGGCAATCATTAAAAAGTCAGGAAACAACAGGTGCTGGAGAGGATGTGGAGAAATAGGAACACTTTTACACTGTTGGTGGGACTGTAAACTAGTTCAACCATTGTGGAAGTCAGTGTGGCGATTCCTCAGGGATCTAGAACTGGAAATACCGTTTGACCCAGCCATCCCATTACTGGGTATATACCCAAAGGACTATAAATCATGCTGCTATAAAGACACATGCACACGTGTGTTTATTGAGGCATTATTCACAATAGCAAAGACTTAGAACTAACCTAAATGTCCAAAAACGATAGACTGGATTAAGAAAATGTGGCACATATACACCATGGAATACTATGCAGCCACAAAAAATGATGAATTCATGTCCTTTGTAGGGACATGTATGAAACTGGAAATCATCATTTTCAGTAAACTATCGCAAGGACAAAAAACCAAACAACGCATGTTCTCATTCATAGTTGGGAATTTTACCATGAGAACACGTGGACACAGGAAGGGGAACATCACACACCGGGGACTTTTATGGGGTTGGGGGAGGGGAGAGGGATAGCATTAGGTGATGTACCTAATGCTAAATGACACATGGACACAGGAATGGGAACATCACACACTGGAGAATGTTGTGGAGTGGGGGGAGGGGGGAAGGGATTGCTTTAGGAGATATACCTAATGCTAAATGACGAGTTAATGGGTGCAACACACCTACATAGCACATGAATACTTATGTTACAAACCTGCATATTGTGCACATGTATCCTAAAACTTAAAGAATAATAATAAAATAAAATAAAAAAAAACAAAATATACACTAATACAGATTAATGAACTAAAAAAAAAAGTAGAGAAAGGTCATTTAAAAATATAAAGGATACAGTAATAATCTAACACGTTGAAATCTAAGAGAGAGAAAACAGCTGGTCTGAACAGCATTTTAAGTGGCAATGTTAGAGGTTTTATCAAAATCGACCAATAATGTTCAACCACAGGTTCAGGAGGCTTTGCAAACCAAAGGAAAACACACACAGAGGACACACCGAGAAACATAGTGGGACAATTTCTAAAAAGTAAAAGAAAAATGTAAGGAGCACTTGATAAAAAAATTGGGCTAACTACAAACAGAAAGAGTTGACTGATAACCTTCTCAAATGAAACAATGAAAGCCAACAAGTGAGGTATTGATATCTTTCAAGTCCTGAAATAAAATAAGTGCCGACCTAGAACTGTCTACTTGGTGGACATATCCATCAAAGGCAAAGATACAATAAAGAATTTCTCCCAAGCAGACCCACAGGAAAGGAAATACTAAAGATTATTCTTCAGGTAGAAGAGCCATGATCCCTGATGAAAGTTTGCAGTTAGAAGAACGATTTTTTTTAATGAAAGAAATAAACATAGAGAGAAATTTAATTGGATATCAGCTGTATAACAGAATGCTATCTCATAAAGTTTAAAATGTATCTTCCATACAACAGCAGAAGCATATAAGTTGTGAGTTGGATAAATTAATTTTAAAATATTGTCAAGTCTTTTTTTTGCAAATAGACAAGTGTACCAATTATATTAGGCCCTGAAGTCAAGAATGCACGTTGTAATAAACCAGTTAAAACATAATCAGACCAGATTTTTTTAAATGGACTCTCTTAAAGTTTTTATAATTTATATTTATATTTCACATATGTTGAAAGTAAATAATGGAAAAGCATGCAATGCGAATATTAACCAAAATATAGCTTTCGTTGTACTTATATTCACATTTAAAAAGTTGGACACAGTTAACTCTCAGTGATTTTTTTTACACAATGGAGGCAAGCTGTGCAGTTATAACTAGTATTATATTATGCTCTTGGCCTGATTAGAGAAGGGAAAGGGGCGATCATACCAGACAACGGCAGAATGAAGCAACAAGGAGTAGAGTTACAGAACATGATGCTGTAACTGGTTACACTTTTAGAGTTAAAGATAGTAAACTGGACAAAATATATGAAACTTTTTTTGAAGTACTGAACATCAGGCAGCACAGGACTGTGCTCTGCAAGAGAAGAGAAGGAGCCAGAATGGGTCCTGCTTTATTCCCAGGTTCTCCGTGACAGCAGTAGAGAGGAATCCCAGAGAGAGCAGACATTGTCATTGCACTGAGGAACCAGATAAAAATCAAAAAAGTTTGAGCAGCTGGAATGTGTAGTAGAAGAGAAAGTTTACAGAAAAAGGAACCAAGAATAAGCCTAAGGTTTCTCCCAAGTCCCTAAGCGAAATGTAAAGACATGTTAGTTCTGACCAGCCAGAGAAGGGAATCCCCTCTGTATATCCAGGGTATTCAGTAAAGACCACTGGAGGTTCATGCCCTAGTGACAGTGCTCATTTAGCTCCAAATTACAGATGGCTCTAGACTAACTCAACAAAGTTTAAAGAGAAGATTTAAAACAACAACAGAAAAATAATCATCCTGAAGTTACTGAACTGCCTGCCACAACATTGTTCAAAGGTAGCCAATAAAATCTAGATATTCAATAGCATAACATCAAAATACCCCCCAAAAAAACTCTGACATGCAAAGAAGCCGGAAGATATATATTATTAAGATATATGTTAACAGTATAAAAATAAGTCATTTATAAATGACAGAGAAGAAGGAATTTTCAAGGTCCTTAAAGTAAATATATTTTATAAATACATATAGATAAATACATATATATGTCAAATTACTTAAATGGAAATTGAACATAGGAGAAAATAGAAGTTATAAAATGAAAAATGTGACATGTATAGATGAAAAATAAATATTTGAAATAAAAATTCCACGATATAGAATAAGTAATGGATTTTACCCTAACATCAGAAAATTTATAGAAAAAAATAGAAGCTTTACAAACTAAAGGACAAAGGGTAAACTAAAATAAGAAAGCCAGAATCTCACTGATACGTGAGACAATATGCAGCAGTGTAACATACATGTAATTAATATCTCAAAAAGGATGGGTGGGGCAATTATACTTGAATAAAGAATGGTACACTCATTCCTGAGGGCACCGAGGAGGGAGGATAGCTTGAGATTCCTAAGGGAGGGTATTATCCATTCATGAAGGTCCATCCCCATGACCCAACACCTCCCAGTAAGCCCCACCTGCAACATTGGGGATCAAATTTTAACATGAGATTTGGAAGGGGCAAGCATTCAAACCATAGCAAGAGTTAAATTTCCTTTTAAAAAAAGTCACTGATATGATTCCATTTCACCATAGATAAAAAGTAGTATTTCAGCCTACCATTGAGTGTACTTATAGGTCACCAAAAGGGCACTCTGTCTCGGAAATACAGATTTGCCTAGAGGTATCCTATTGCAGTCAAAGAAACAGCAATGAGGGATAGAAAAGGTTAGTGATGGAGACACCAACCTTGCATTTTACAACAAACAATGTAAAAACGTTACGGATTGGTTCTGCTAACTTACTACAGTTTACATTCCTCTCAGGTGGGAGAATTGTTGAGTTTTTTCTTAAGATAGAAAAGCAATTCAGATAATCTGAAATCTCCACAAGAAGGATAAGAAGAACAGCAGAAACTATTCTAGGCAGGAAGTCAATCCTTTCAACTGTCTGTGCTCCATAGAAACCATTGTCTGCACTGGGAGTCATATGAGGTACAGACAACAGCCAGACCTCTGATCCTCTCATTAGTGATTTCAGAAGAAATTACCAGTCAACTGAGTAATTCACTGAGTAAAGTAAACATTTGGCACTGAAAGAGATTAGACTGATAACTATTTGTATCACCATGTTCATGAAGCTGGAATATTTTCCATTACTGGTATCACATCCGAATGGAAGTTGTTAAAAGGTCTCTCATCTTGTAAGATGGATATGAAAGAACATTTTCTGAGAAATGAAATTATTAACACACCTACGAGCTGGATGGAAGAGAAAAATAGAATTATCAGCTTGAGTTCTTCTTCTTGATAAGACAACTTACTAAAAACATAAAGAGAAAAATACAAGTTTAAAATAATTAACCAGAAGAAGACAACTCTAGATTTTTTAAATTGCTGATAAGATTTTAATTTGCTCCAAGTTGAAAATAACTATGTTGCTTGTGTTTTAAGGCACATAATGAGCAATTATATCACACATGATAGATTCAGCATTAAAATATTATCCGTTAACAGCTGGAACTCATAAAAGCATAGCACAATGTGAAGATGGAATTTGCTAAAATAAACCATCTGCTGAAAACTACTATTCTGCAAATTTAAAAATAAAGTTTAAATTTTTTTGTCTTATTTAATAGGTCTGTGAAAAAAATGTAATATTTGAAAAGTAGATGCTACCTTAATTAGTTCTTTATGTTAGACAGCTGGTTACAGTAATGCACAGTAAGGTGCTACATAGATATATTGCTAAATTTTCTGCATATACCATGCATTTAGTTTAAATTATTTGAAATTTTATAGTTAAAGTAACAAATGTATATTTAAATGTTTTGACACAAATTGCAAATATACCTTTAAAAAGCGTCTTACACACTACATATTATTTGTCACATATATATTTGTCTTTTCTCTATAGGAAAGTTTAAATTTTTCCCTTGAAGCTTTAATTATATGAGTCTATAAAACAAACTGATAATGTACAAATTAACAGGAAAAAAGGTTTACAGATATAATTATGTGCACAAGTATGCACTTGGACTTTACATAATACATAAATATATATATACAAATATTTGTATATTATAAATAGATATACAAATATATACTATATATATAAATACTCCAGGAAAGGCAAGGTAGTCAACACGCCTATGCTGTCTTGAGATTACGGAAAACACAGAGCTCTAGGTTGTTAAATCAGGCTTTGCGGAAAAGAGGTGATGACAAGGAAGAAAGAGGAGCCTGGCAGCAGAGATGGTCTTGTTACATAGACGAAACCTCACAGGGAGCAGCCCTCCTCTTGAGAAGTATAGATAGGAAATGGTTTTTACAAATGTAAACGTGCCAGACTCAGTTAATCTTTCCTAAACCCAGACAAGGGAGTATCTCAGGGAAAGCCTGTCTATATCAATGCAGATTTTCTCTACAAATGCAAATCTCCCCAACAAACACAGCTTTTCAGCTATTCTTGTAGAAGAAGCTATTTCCAGTCTTCCGAGTAGCCATCTTGAAATATGTCAAAAAGTTGGCCAGGCTCATGCCTGTAATCCCAGCACTTTGGGAGGCTGAAGTGGGTAGATCACCTGAAGTCAGGAGTTCGAGACCAGCCTGACCAACATGGTGAAAACCCGTCTCTACTAAATTTCAAAAAATTAGCCGAGTGTGGTGGCAAATGCTTGTAATCTCAGCTACTTGGGAGGCTGAGCTAGGAGAATTACTTGACCCTTGGAGGCTGAAGTTGCAGTGAGCCAAAATTGTGCCATTGCACTCCAGCCTGGGCAATAAAAGCAAAACTCCATCTCAAAAAAAAAAATGTATTTTAGGGTAATATTTTGAGTATCTTTACCTCCATATGTACAATAAATATTATTGTGATTTTTAATCTTTAGTCTCTGTGAAGAAAACACAGGTGTGATCTCTAGTGTAGCTGAACATCACGTTTATTTGACAATATTGCACTTGTGTGTGGGTGTATGTGTGTGTAGCTACTCTTTACCTTTGTTCTCACTTAATGATTAGATATTAACAATTAATTCAGTAAAATGTATGTTTTGCAGTATTTCTCCATGTTATTATGCTTTCAATTAGTTTAATCATGACCCTATAATGTGTACATTTTAACCTTTTACTATAGGTCTCAATCTTACTTTGGTTCCTGTATTTGAATTTATGCTAATAAAGTCCTACAGCTAAAAAGGATTATATAAACATCTACATTTTTACTAGTATTCTGGTGTCATTTTAAATTATGTAATTAAACCAAATTTTAATTTGGATTATTGTTATCTGAGTTCAGGATCTAAATTTTTAATTTTCTTATAAATATTACATAATTATTTCTGAACCATATATTGACTAATCTGCCCTTTATATGATGTGCATTATAGGAGCTTGGGATTGATTCATTTGCAAAGATGAATGCTTGAGAAGTAGATATTTAATCATAACATTTCAAAATCTACTGGATAACCTAGAATTGAGAAATAGCCTATAGGTTGAAAAACTCCTGTAGTGAAGAAAGAAAATAACTAATATACATTGATAATATAAATATTATAAGTATTTTATTATCACCCTGAAATTTGATAATACAAACATGTAATATCTACATATCATCCATATATCAGGTCATAAAAAATCAATACATTCTTCAAAAATTTAGCATAACAGAATGTACTCTCTCTCCTTGATGGAATTAAGTTACAAATAAAAGTAAAACTAAGTAGATAAGTAGATGGAAGCAGATGTTTAAAAACAAAGAAAAATATTTGTTTTGGATAACATAAAAACTCAATTGACAATTCCAATATTTCAAGAGGTTTGGCTGTCAACTGGGGGAGAGTTTTCCCCAGGAGACATTTGTCAATGTCTAGGGTTATTTTGGAGGTGTCAAGACTAGTGGAGGTGTGAAATTTAGAGGTCAAACGAAACACCTAGCATTGCTAGGGCAGCCTCCCACAACAAAGAATCCTCCGGTCCTAAAGGTAAGTTGCACCAAGGTTGAGAAACCATAATCTTTAAAGTAAACACTATGTAGCCATTCCAAGTGCTCAGGAAAACACATCAATGCTCTCGTAGGGAAAAGTGCAAACATTTTAATTGCTGTACATGGTGACACAAATCCATGTTGTTAATCTAAGTGGAAGAGGCTGAAGCACAAAACGTAATTCAAAGAGTTTACTTGAGCCACAATGAGGACAGCTGCCTGGAAGAAACAGATCCAAGTATCCTTGGATATGAACTCCCTTTGGAGCTTTCCAACAAGCAGTTTCTTAAAGGCAAAAAAGGGACAACAAGTGGGATGACGCAAATAGGTTTGTCACAAATTCTCATTGTCTTATGGAAATAACATTTATTAGTGACTGGCTATACACTGTTACACTATTATTGGGTGTGGATTATAGTGTCTGGTGTGGCATTATTGGTTAATTTATAGCTACTGTGGCAACAGCAAGCAGCCTAGATGAACACACAGCTCAAAGAGGAGCAGAACAGAACTGCTGTCTCATTTGAATATCTCTCTGGGCCTGATTATTTAAAAGGACTTGCATTTCTCACATGAAAGTTATTTTCTTTTCTCAATGTCAATAAATGACAATAAATAGACATAAAACACATCTTTTCGAGGATGAAGTAAATGGAATAAAAAACAAAACCCAAGCTGAGCAGAAATCATAGAGGGAAGAAAAGGTTATAAATATATGGATTTTTCAAAATGATTTTAAGCTATTAGGAATCAGTTAAATGTTGCGGGATTTTGTCTGGGTATGGGCTAAAAGAGAATGTCCCTTTTGCCTTCTGAAGTTTCCCTGAAAATCACTAATAGGAGGCAGATAAATAGTAGAAAAGGCATACAAGTTTCTGCAATGTGTGTACACTGGAGCCCTTAGAATGAAGACCCAGACACACGATGTGTGCAGAAGCTTATCTACCACATGAAGTTTACAGAAAGAACGGGGTCTTGGATCACGGGGGGGGGAAAAAAAGAAAGGTTATGTGAGAAAAGGACCCTGGCTAGCAGCAGTGGACTTATTACGTAGGTGAAACCTCACTGGGAGCAGTCCTCAGAGAGACGAGACAGAAAATGTTTCTTTCAGACCTTTGGAGACCTCAGACTCTCAGTTAACCTTTCCTAGATCCAGACAAGGGGGCAGACTTCAGAGAAAGCCTGGCTGCCTCAAGGCAGATTCTCTACCGATGCAAATCTCCTCAAGACAGCTTTGCAGCTATGTTTACATTTCCAGCCCTTCTGAATAGCCATTTTGAAATATATCAAGGAAATATATTTTGGGGTAAAATATATTAGTTTCCTTCATACAGGTATAAAACGTACAGGAATAATTTTTGTCAATGTCTACTACAAATCCAATATAGCTGTTATTATAAAACCCACCAGATATTGAAGAAAAAATATGTAGAGTACATCACTTACAAATATTGATACTAAAATGCCAAATAAAAATAATATCCAACAATATTTGAAACAGTAAGACAAGAAATTGGCAAAAAAAAAAAAACAAATATCCACCTTGGGGATGAAAGTGTGATTCCAAATTTGGTAATCCAATAATATTAATAATCATATTGATTAGCCCAAATAAAAAATAAATAGAGGATTCTCAGTACATGCTAAAGTATATTTGTTAAAAGGTAATATTCATGTCTTTAAAGATTTTAAATGCTATAAAGAGTCTGATATTCTATATGCAAACATGTGTATGTCCATTAGAAGAAGAGAGGCCTGATTTTAATGTTACTACATAGAGATAGAGAAGTGGATAGATTAATTTGCATATGCATAGAGAAAGCATAAAATAGAAATTTACTACCATACTTAAAGGAATTTAAATTCAACAATAAAATAATTCAAAGGTAAAATTTTAAATATTTTTCACAGGTACATTAATATTAGATAATATTTATAATAATTGTGAAAATATTCAATGCTAAAATAAGATAGAATGTCTAAACCTCAGTATTAAAACTAGTATAAATATTTGCTTGTTTATACAAGGAAAATTCAAGCTCGACCTAAAATTATATAGGAAATAAAAGAAAAATTTTAAGGGAGCTCTTTAATAACACAAACATATATATATACACACACATATAACATGTATATATGTTATATGGGATAGATATAGATTTAACATATTATATCTATATTTGTATCTATCTGTAACTACAGCTGTATGTATGTACATTTCTATATATTTACTCAGTGATATAAATATAGACTGGAAGAAATATAAAGGCACATATGATTCTTGGATAAAAAGGATTTAGTATCATAAAGACAAATTCTTTCCAAATTCACCTATGAATTCACAATATACAGTTTCATTTGTATAATTTAAACTTTTTAAATAAATTCCAAGATTCATTTAAAGGAATATACATGTATACCAGCCGTAAAGAAAGAAGCAAGAGTGCACTAAACTAACTTGCTATTAAAATACATTTTTAAACTTAGTAATTAAAACTGAGCAGTACTGATTTGGAGTACTGGAATTTAGGTATATGGGATCTCAAAAGCATAGAGCTCAAAGGAGAACCCTGTATGCACGAGAGCTTAGGATGTGCTTTAGAAGGAATTACCAAACCACAGGCAAAGTTACTTTAGTGTCTCAGTCTTACTAGGTTTGAAAAGCCAGAGAAAAGACTCAAGGCCACCATATAAGAGCAAAACAAAAGGACAGGGAGAGAATGTGAAGATACTGAAACATTTTACATAAAGTTGTATAAAACATACTTTAAAGAAAATGTAAAGTTTAGGATATACATCAAAATTAGCAGAACCACTAAATAAATAAATAGGCATTGTAAAATAGCAAGAGAAAATTTAAATGGATTTCTAAAAAATATTGACAACAATGATTTTTAAAATATGTTTAAGAAATTCCGTATTTCACAGGGCAGCCTTTCACAACACAGATATGTTAAGACATAAAGGTCCTTCTGTTTTGAATTTACTAGTGTTTTTAGGGTTACAAATTCTTCTACCCTTGTCTTTTGTCTGATGGTGCAAAAAATTTTCATGAGCATGTAATTCTGAATGCCTGATGGATTGACATATATAATATGCTGCTAGTATTAAAATATGTGACGGAAAACACATCCAATCTTCTCACTGTTTACATAAATTCTAGGTTTCTCCTATTTACCTCAAGCACGTATGGAGCGACTTCTTACCTTTTAATATTGCCATGGCATTCACATTGAACGTAAGTTGAACTCTCTCATATGGTAGCTGGGTTCAGATTCCCTTGACAATTTCCAGTTCTAACCCTCACTGTTCTTCAGTGTGGCTGGCCCAGATATTGACCCTACACAGTTGCCTCCTCCTGGTGACTACCCGCTATGGAACCGTTGGATACAACCTACATGAATCACCCCACAGACCTCACAGCCCACATGGATGGTCCCCACACGCCAGAGTGACCTGCTCAGTTGCAGCGGGAGCCAAGAAATGTGCCTGCTGGTACTCACCCCACCGACTAGAGCCCCGTGGAAAGCTTATTTGGGTAATGTTCTGGGCCAAATAAAGGCTGGAGTCCCACAGACCCCTTTTCTCTCTCTTGCTCACCACTCATCTTCCCCATTTTGTTCAGCCCTATGAGGTGTGCTACTGTATTAGACCATTTTCCCACCACCGGTAAAGACATGCCCAAGACTAGGTAATTTCCAGAAGAAAGAGGTTTAATAGATGCACAGTTCCACATGGGTGGGTAGGCCTCACAGTCATGGCACAAGGTGAAAGGCACGTCTCACATGGCAGCAGACAAGACAAGAGAGCTTGTGCAGGGAAACTCCCCTTTATAAAACCATCAGATCATGTGAGACTTATTCACTATCAGAAGAACAGCATGGGAAGGACCTGCCCCCATGATTCAATTACCTCCCACCTGTTCCCTCCCACAACATGTGGGAATTCAAGATGAGATTTGGCTGGGGACACAGCTAAACCCTCTTCTCAGCTACCCTCTTCTCAGCTACCCTCTTCTCTCTGGATCTGTGAGTAATAAACCTACTTCTGTGATTTCCCATGTTTGGTTCTGTGGCCTCCATGTGTCTGAGCTGACCTACACTGGAACCTAACTCTCTTCCTGGCCAGGGTCTCTCAGAGTGGCTCTTGTCAGAAATACACAGGACACAGGTCAGGCAACAGTGACCAGGAAACTCCTAGTCTCAACAGATGTTCTGGGAGAGGGAGGCCTGGTCTTGGGATGCACACCTGGCCACTGCTGGGCTAAGGAAGTGTCCTGTGAAAGGCACATGTTAAGCATCCACAACCCACTGCCTAGAACCCCAGAAAGGCAGGGCTCCAATTGACAGTCACTCTCCAGAGACAAACCTCAAGCCCTAACTGGAGGAAAATAAAACAATGTAAAAATTTGAATTTATCTTACTATTTCAATGATCCAGTAAGGCATTCTATGCCTGTACACCACATATTTTCTTCGTTTGTGGATATATTTTAGATAGAATTTTATGTCTGGCTTTCACTTTAGCCTGGTCCTTACCTCAAGCATAAGGTAAAGATTTTCCATGTGTTCTTTTCTGGTACTACTACCTGCCAGTGTGGGGTCATGTCCTAGTCTATCTTGAGGGAACCCCCCTATTCATTATTGTCAGAGTGAGACTGTTAAGTCTTAATTTCCCTGGACAACTTCACTGCATGACTTTTAATATGATTTTTAAATATACCCTTTACTGGACAATAAATTATATACATATCTGAGTAAGAGATATGATCAGGAAGAGGCATTGCCTTATTGAGCTTTTCTGTTTGGTGAACTGTCATATGTTCTCCTCACCCACCAGTCACCTCTAAACCGTATTGTTCCAAGACAACAAACAACTCGAGTGTGTATCTTTCACCACTAGATTTGTCTTTGCTCCATAAAGCTTAATGCTTAATAGGGTTTCTGTTAGCATTTTCTCTATTTATTTTCCCATAAAATATCACAGGCCTTCTTAATATGGAATTATGGGTGATTTCATTCAATCTGCATCATATCAAGTTGAGGTTCATGTTGATGGAAAGTAAAACATACGTTTAAATTATCAGTAATGATGTTTTCCCCTCCTTTTTAGCACATGTGCCTGTGATACAAGCACATTGTAATACAATTGTAGTCTCATGCTTTGATCATTCCTAAGATGAAAATAACATTTTTAGATAAAATATCTGAGTTTTATGAGGCCTTTAGTATGTGATGTGATAGACTATCAGAAGACCATACTTTTTTCTAGTTTTCCATGGAATTCTAACATTGTTTCATCTTTACTCCTACCAGAGTAATTTTCCAAAATAGATATCTTGTCATTCTTCCTGTTGTTATCAGTAAATAAGTGAAACAAAAACTAGATTTTATAATTTATCTAGAACAAGAAAGTAGAATTGAATCTATAATCATTAAGGAGACTAACCAGTCAATTACACAGATAGGCATTTTACATTTTGAAGGTTATATGGACCCATTGTCAGATATATAATTATTTATGTCTGCATGGACATCACCTGTGCATATTTATGTAGCAATCAATGAGAGCTGATTTTTATTTTTATTATATATATTTTTTGAGATAGGTTCTTGCTTTGTTGCCCAGCCTGGAGTGCAGTGGTGCAATCACTGCTCACTGCAGCCTCAACCTCCCAAGCTCAAGCAATCCTTCCACCTCGGCCTCCCAAATAGCTAGGACAACCGTTGCACATCACCATGCCCAAGTTTTTTTTTTTTTTTTTTAACTTTTGATAGAGACTGGGTCTTGCTATGTTGCCCAGGTTGCTCTTGAACTCCTGGGCTCCAAGAATCCTCTCATTTCAGCCTCTTCAACTGCTGGTATTACAATCACGAGCCATCATATGGGCTGGAAGCTGATTTTTAAAATACTGAGATCATATAGATGACAGCACCTGAAAAATAGACAACACCAAGCTTTATGTTAAAAGGTGTGAGGTTATCAATATTGTTGTGGCTATTGGGGAGGAAAGCATTAGTAAAGCCAGTGAGTTAAAACTGTTGCTTTAAACTTTGGCTTTAATTTAACAATTGTTCTCTGGGGTGACAGTATGTATGTAACCATGCTATGCCCATTCACAGATGCACTAGAGGGAAGAATTTCTCAAAGACATCTGTTCTAAGATTGAAATTAAACCATACTGGGTTTGAAAAGAGAAAGTCCAGGAATTACCAAATATTTTAGATATCAGATAAAAGAGAATGCCAGGTATGCGATGATAATCAGCAATGCTTGTTCACACAATACATCAAATCAGTATTTGAATGAGCTTTTGAATTACAAGGGCAAATGGATCAAGTCTTGACTCTTTGGTAGATAAATCTTATTAGGCTGAGATGTGTTTTCCCCTGTTTTTCCACAAGGAGATTACAAATTTGCAAACCTCAGCTGCTCTCATTTTATGCTGTCACCAAGCCAAAAGCTGAAGTTCATCAATCATTGTGTCTAAGTGTTCACTAGTTATATACCATTTTGTAGTTTAAGCTATCTTTCTAACTTCCTAAATCATCACCTTCATTTGATCTTTTTTCCACTATTATCACTTCTTTATTGACCATATAAAGAATATACATAAGTTCTTATTTTGTTATTGTTCATTTTAGTCTAATTTCATCAAAATATCATAATCTTTTAATTTCATTTTAATTTCAAAGATTAAATCAAACCTACATAGAAATGAGTGTAAGATTTTCATTTGCGTTATTTTGGCATGAATTTGCTATCCTCCCTCATGCACATAGAGATCATTTCCATATACGTGATTTCAAACATCCAAGTGCAGTATTAAAAACAGTTGTAAATTATGGTTCTCATTTTCATGATACAATTACTATATAAATTTCCTCTTGCTGCTGTAACCAATTATCACAATCTTCATATCTTACAATAAAGTGACAGTTAATTCTACAGTTCTGGAGTTCAGAAGCCTTAAATGAGACTCACAGGGCTAACATCAAGTTTTGGGCAAGGCTGCAGTCTTTCTGAGGGCTATGTGGCAGAATCTATGTACTTGATTTTTTTCAGCATCCAGAGGCCACCTTTATTCTTTGGAACATGACCGCATTCTTATATCCATTTTTTTTTTTTTGAGATGGAGTCTCCTTCTGTCACCCAGGCTGGAGTGCAGTGGCACGATTTCAGCTCACTGCAACCTCTGCCTCCCGGGTTCAAGCGATTCTCCTGCCTCAGCTTCCTGAGTAGCTTGGACTACATGCACGTGCCACCATGCCCAGTTAATTTTTTGTATTTTTAGTAGGGATGGGGTTTCACCATGTTAGCCAGGAAGTTCTCGATCTCCTGACCTCGTGATTCACCCACCTCGGCCTCCCAAAGTGCTGGGATTAGGCGTGAGCCACCGCGCTGGGTCCTCATTCTTGTATCTTAAAAGTCAGTGATGTTGAGTAATTTCGCATGCCACCACCTCCATGGTTGTCTTTCTTCTGCCTTCTTCTTTCACTTATAAGGAAGCTTGTGATTTCATTGATCCCACCCATTTAAGATAATCTCTCCATCATTTTATCACAACCTTAATTTCACTTGAAATCTAATTTCCCACTGCCATGCAACCTAACATATTTGTATGTTATACTCTGGGTATTAGGACGTGAACATTTTTGGGAGACCATTCTTTTGTCTACAGCAGACATAATCTATTTACCTGCAGATTAAAGTTTTCTTTATTTTTCTGCCTCCCTCTCTTAATTTTTTTAGATAATATGAATTGTAGTAAAGAGAAAGAAAGAAAAAAGAGGAAGGAAAGAAGGAAGGAAGGAAAGACAGAAGAAAGAAAAGAAGGAGGAAATGAGAGAAGGAAGGAAGGGAGGGAGGGAGGGAGGGAGAAAGGGAGGAAGCGAGACAAAAGAAAGCAAGAACACAAGAAAGAAAGAAAGAAAAAGAAAGAAAGAAAGGAGGAAGGGAGGAAGGAAAGGAGGAAGAGAGAAATATAAAAGGGAGGAAGGTGAAGAAACAAAGAAAATAAAGAGGAGAAGGAAGGAAGGAAGGAAAAAGGAGGAAAGGAAGGGAGGGAGGAAGGAAGAAAAGGAGGGAGGGAGGAAGGGAGAAAAAAAGGAAAGAAAGCAAGAAAGTGAGAAAGAAAAGAATAAGAGAAAAGAAGGGAGGGAGAAAGGAAGGGAGGGAGGAGGAAAGGAAGAATAAGAGGAAAGGAAGAAGGAAGGCAGGAGAAAAAAGAAAGAAAAGAAAGGAAAAATAAAAGAAAGAGGAAAAGAAGAAAGGAAGGAAGAAGGCAAGGGAAGGGAAGAGAAGAGAAAGGAAGATGGAAAGAAGGAAGGAAGACCGCAAGTATTAGAAATTCTGGGCTTATTAGAGAATACGCCATACTGTTTTTCTTTTCACTTGAAAGGAAAGAGTATCTGCCATTGAAGATTTGATGTCTTGTTGGTGATATCGTTGTTCTTATCTTCCATATGATTAGTGAGTTTGTGCCTAGTCTGTCCATTACTAAGACAAAAGTATTGAAGTCTGCAAATATAATTTTGGATTTTTCTAGTTCACCTTTGATTTCTTTCGTGTTTTACCTCATGTAATTGGAGGTTCTGTTGTTAACTGCATACCCTAATTAGTAGGATGTTTACATCTTCTTGAGAATTGATTATTCTATTATCTATTATCTCTCATCTCTGATACTATTTCTTGTTCTGAACTCTGTTGTGTCTAATATCAATGTAGTCCTTCCACAGCTTTATTTTAGTGTTTCCATGATATGGCTTTCTCCATATCTTGATGATAACCTATTTATATCTCTATATATTTGGAGCAAGATATAAAATTTAGAGTTGATTTTTTAAAGATTTTTCAAGATGTAATTCTTATTTGTTTTTGTTCTATTTGACATTCTCTGAGTTTCCTATATCTGAAGTTTGATTTTCTGTCACTTCTTTTCGAATATTTTTGGCACTTATTTTGAAAAATATTTCTTTTGGCTGCATAAATATCTTCTTTTGAGAAGTGTCTGCTCATGTCCTTCACCCACTTTTTGATGGGGTTGTTTGTTTTTTTCTTGTAAATTTGTTTGATTTCATTGTAGATTCTGGATATTAGCCCTTTGTCAGATGAGTAGGTTGTGAAAATTTTCTCCCATTTTGTAGGTTGTCTGTTCACTCTGGTGGTAGTTTCTTTTGCTGTGCAGAAGCTCTTTAGTTTAATTAGATCCCATTTGTCAATTTTGGCTTTGGTTGCCATTGCTTTTTGTGTTTTAGACATGAAATCCTTGCCCATGCCTATGTCCTGAATGGTAATGCCTAGGTTTTTTTCTAGGGTTTTTATGGTTTTAGGTCTAACGTTTAAGTCTTTAATCCATCTTGAATTGATTTTTGTATAAGGTGTAAGGAAGGGATCCAGTTTCAGCTTTCTACATATGGCTAGCCAGTTTTCCCAGCACCATTTATTAAATAGGAAATCCTTTCCCCATTGCTTTTTTTGGTCAGGTTTGTCAAAGACCAGATAGTTGTAGATATGTGGCGTTATTTCTGAAAACACATGAAAAAATGCTCACCATCACTGGCCATCAGAGAAATGCAAATCAAAACCACAATGAGATACCATCTCACACCAGTTAGAATGGCAATCATTAAAAAGTCAGGAAACAACAGGTGCTGGAGAGGTTGTGGAGAAATAGGAACACTTTTACAATGTTGGTGGGACTGTAAACTAGTTCAACCACTGTGGAAGCCAGTGTGGCAATTCCTCAGGGATCTAGAACTAGAAATACCATTTGACCCAGCCATCCCATTACTGGGTATATACCCAAAGGACTATAAATCATGCTGCTATAAAGACACATGCACACGTATGTTTATTGCGGTATTATTCACAATAGCAAAGACTTGGAACCAACCGAAATGTCCAAAAACGATAGACTGGATTAAGAAAATGTGGCACATATACACCATGGAATACTATGCAGCCATAAAAAAATGATGAGTTCATGTCATTTGTAGGGACATGGATGAAATTGGAAATCATCATTCTCAGTAAACTATCATAAGAACAAAAAACCAAACACCGCACATTCTCACTCATAGGTGGGAACTGAACAATGAGAACAGTTGGACACAGGAAGGGGAACATCACACTCTGGGGACTGTTGTGTGTTGGGGGGAGGGTGGAGGGATAGCATTGGGAGATATACCTAATGCTAGATGACGAGTTAGTGGGTGCGGCACACCAGCATGGCACATGTATACATATGTAACTAACCTGCACAATGTGCACATGTACCCTAAAACTTAAAGTATAATAATAATAAATGAAAAAATAAAAATAATAATAAATAAAATGTAATAAAACCAAAAAAAAAAAGAAAAATATTTCTTTTGCTCCATTATTTTTTCCTCTTTTCTTTTTGGGATTTCAATTATAACTAGGGTAGGTAATTTCATCTCAGGCTTATGCAGGTACTTTTTCTCAGGGTCTCAGGAATGTAGCCTTCTCACACTTCTGTTCTTTTCCTGGCTGTGTTGGTGAGCTCAGTGATATTCCTCCTTCACCTTCAAGAGCAGTTTTGTTTTGTTTTTCCTGTTTTCATACTCCCAGCATCAGGTGTATTCTAAGTGTGGCAGTTTTTGTTGCCTTCCCCTACATATTAAGTGGAATATCTTGCTCTATTTGGACTCTTAGAACAAAGCAACATAAACTGGGTGACTAAAAAACAACAGATATTTCTTTTTTCAAACTTCTTGAGGCTGTAAGATCTCAGGTCAAGATGCTCACAAATTCAGTGTTGATGAGAGCCCATTTCATGGTTCATAGATGGTGCCTTCTTTCCATGTCCTCACATAGTGGAAGGCACACAAGAACTCCATTGAGCTTCTTTTATAAAGACACTCATCCCATTCATAAGGGCTCGGCCCCCAAGACCTGGTCACCTCCCAAGTGTTCTGCTCTCCCTGATCCGTATCATATACAGACTCTCTTGGATTCCTTACCAGTTGCTTGAGTGATCACAGTGGGTTTGTGGGGAAAAAGTTTTCAAGATGATGGATCTTTCCCAACTTCTGCAGCTGTCAGCGGTCTCCCAATCTCACCAGTCCCACTTTGTCTTTAGGAATTTATTGATTATTCCAGCTTTACTTGTCATAGTGGTGTTTATTTGCATCTGTCCTATATAAGTGCATCTGTCCTCTTTCTCCTTGCAGGTGCTTGTTTTCCCTCACATTTTGACTCACTTCTTGGCAAGCCTGGTTGCTATAAAAATAACGTCATGACTTTGAAGTTAGTTTGGTTCTTTCATTGTTGTAAGGTTAGGAGCCCTATTCCATCCCAGCTCTCCAAAACCGAGAATTTTTGGGGGGTTGAAACTTTAGGCTTTCTCTTTGAATTGTAGTTTTATCTTATTTCAGTTACAATTTGCATTTTCATAATGATTAACGAGACTAAGCTTTTTTTGTGTAGTTGACAGTACCTTTGGATTTTTTTCCCAAATCCCTTTTCAATTCTTTTCTTTATGGTTTTAGAAAATGTAGTTTACATAATTGCAGCTTGATTTTTTACTCAGTTAATGGCATGCTGAATGGAGAGAAAAAATATTAACTATATTTCCCCTTTTAATTACTGTGCTTTTTTCTTTTTAAGGAAATATTTCATTATGTTAAATTTTAGTGTTATTCTACTTAGCTATTCCTTAAATATTATAGTATTTTGGATTTCACATATAAATTTGTAACACATCTTGAGTTTATTATGTATAGGGTAAGGCTATTTTCTCTTTTT